>NC_000008.11:39860102-40163132 GCF_000001405.40 Homo sapiens
TGAGATGGGTAGGTTTTAAAGACTGTGCCTAAGG
This sequence comes from Homo sapiens, assembly GCF_000001405.40. NCBI lineage: Eukaryota > Metazoa > Chordata > Mammalia > Primates > Hominidae > Homo > Homo sapiens. Next base: position 39,860,137 of record NC_000008.11, read on the forward strand.
ACAAAATTGGGCATGCTCAAAATGATCCTTGAACATCTCCTAAATTACCAATAAAGTTCCCTTTACTGCGGTAAAAAAATAAAGATCAAGCTGGTGGTCTTCCTGCCTGCCCTGTGTCGTAAAATGGTGTCCCTTACTGCATTATCAAAGGGAAGGCAAGACTGGGTTGTCTAGTCCACAGGAAGACCTGCACCACTGTCGCCTTCACATGGTTTAACTCAGAAGACAAAGGAGTTTTGGCTAAGCTGGTGGAAGCTATCAGGACCAATTACAACAACAGATATGATGAGCTCTCCCATCAGTGGGGAGGCAATGTCCTGGGTCCCAAGTCTGTGGCTCGCATTGCCAAACTCAAAAGGGCAAAAGCTAAAAAAATTGCCACTAAACTGGGTTAAATGTACACTGCTGAGTTTTCTGTACATAAAAATAATTAAAATAATACAAATTTTCCTTCAAAAAAAAAGGAATCTAGAAAGAGAACCACAAAATAACCTCAAAAAGTACAGGAAAGTAAATAACAAACTGAAAACAGAAATGAATGAATAAAAAAATAAAATATACAAGAAAACATTTTTAAAAGCTGGGATTATAGGCATGCACCCCCACGCCCAGCTAAATTTTGTATTTTTAGTAGAGATGAGATTTCACCATGTTCGCCATGCTCGTCTTGAACTCCTGGCCTCAAGTGATCTGCCCGCCTTTGCCTCCCAAAGTGCTGGGATTACAGGCGTGAGCTACCGCTCCTGGCCACAATTAAGTACTTCTAATTCTGCTGAAGCAGCAGACAAATCAGGTTTTACTGTTGTGGCTGAGGTAATAGTCCTTGTTATAGGGCAAAATAAGGCTGTCCTGACGTGCTGAAACAAGAGATAATAATGCCGAAAACTAAGCAGTTATACCAACTACACTACACTAACTACACCTGAATTAAGACTATTTGAGAAAACATGTCCTGGGTTATTCCACCAGAAAACAAAAACGATCCTTCACTAGCTAAGGTTCTGGATGACATGAAAGAAACAAAACAAAATGTATAGTAGAAAGAGTATCTCTGTCAGCTCAGACTGCTCTTTAAAAAAATACCATAGACTGGGTGACTTAAAAAACAGAATTATTTTTTCTTATGAAGTCCAAGATCAAAGAGGTGATTTGGTTCTTGGTGAAAGCTCTCTTCCTGGCTTGCAAGTGACCTCTTTCTTGGTGCATCTTGGCATGGTAGAAGGAGGAAGCCCTGGTGTCTCTTACTTTCCTTAAAAGGGCACTGATCCCATCACCACAGTTCAACCTGCATGACCTAGTTACTGCCGGAAGGCCCTGCTTCCAGATACTTTTTCACTTTGGGAGTCAGGGTTTTAACACATGAGCTTTAGAAAGACACAAACATTCAGCCCATAACAAAAGAGGAAGCTAAAAACATCAACAGTTGCCTTGTTACCCATTTCAGAAAAGACTTTTAATAGCTATGAGTAAGTCTCTTATTTCCTTTCTCATTCTACATGAAGATTGACATTTGTCAAACTTACGGTTCATTCTTTTTTTTTTTTTTGAGACGGAGTCTTGCTCTGTCACCCAGGCTGGAGTGCAGTGGTGCAATCTCGGCTCACTGCAAGCTCCACCTGCCAGGTTCACGCCATTCTCCTGCCTCAGCCTCCCGAGTAACTGGGACTACAGGCGCTGGCCACCACACCCCACTAATTTTTTGTATTTTTAGTAGAGACGGGGTTTCACCATGTTAGCCAGGATGGTCTCAATCTCCTTACCTCATGATCCGCCCGCCTTGGCCTCCCAAACTGCGGGGATTACAGGTGTGAGCCACCACGCCCAGCCGGTTCATTCTTTAATTAGAGAACATGCAGGCCAGTTAATTCCCAGAGATGAGGGCAGTGACTGAGGAAGCTTTGTGTCTCCCTTTCTGAGAAGATGAATGTGTCTTCATTTGCATGAGTAATGATGCCTTTTAGGAAGCCAGTTACGTGTAAACAGTATGCTGCATGAAAGTTTAAACACAGCACTTTGGGAGGCTGAGGTGGGCAGATCACCTGAGGTCAGAAGTTTGAGACCAACCTGGCCAACATGGCAAAACCCCGTCTCTACTAAAAATTCAAAAATTAGGGCCGGGTGTGGTGGCTCATGCCTGTAATCCCAGTACTTTGGGAGGCTGAGGCGGGCAGATCACCTGAGGTCGGGAGTTCCTGAACAGCCTGACCAACATGGAGAAACCCCATCTCTACTAAAAGTACAAAATTAGCTGGGCATGGTGGCGCATGCTTTAATCCCAGCTACTTGGGAGGCTGAGGCAGGAGAATCACTTGAGCCCAGGAGGCGGAGGTTGCGGTGAGCCGAGATTGCACCACTGCACTCTAGCCTGGGCAATAAGAGCGAAACTCCATCTCAAAAAAAAAAAAAAAAAAAAAAAAAAAAAAAAAAAAAAATTAGCTGGACGTGGTGGCACACGCCTGTAATCCCAGCTACTCGGGAGGCTAGATAGGAGAATCACTTGAACCTGGGAGGTGGAGGTTGCAGTTAGCTGAGATCACACCACTGCACTCCAGCCTGGGTGACAGAGCAAGACTCCGTCTCAATAACAACAACAACAACAAAAATTCAAACACAAATAAAAGGGTATGTTTATGACTATTTGCCAAAAAAGAGAACATACCAAGTAGTACCTGTCATATCTCAGCTTCAGTTTCCTGTCTAAACCCTGCTCATTCTGACAGCTATATTCCCTAAAATCCTTTGCCAGTTCACTTTTTTTTTTTGTGGGGGGTTATTCTGCCAATGGGAAACAATGGCAGGAAATATAATGGCAAGAGGAAAAAAATTTTTTTCTGATATTTGACAGTGGCAGATACAGTGGTAAAAGGAGAGGCAGTCAAATGGTAGGAATGGTGAGAGTGAGCAGAGAGTGTAGACTCAGGATACACAGTGTGGTTCTGACTGCAATGGCATCTTTTATGAAGCAGTTGCAAGCTCTGAATAATATTCTTACTTTTGTTCTATTTCTGGGGATGATATTAGCTTCCTGCAGTTGTCACTGATTATGTAATTTCTTTTCCTCCAGAACCTTCAAAATTCTATATAACCAATAATTTATAAAATTCTGGAAGATCTATTAAGAAAATTTAAAGTGTAACCTGAAGCTTGCACAGCTCACTGCCTCACCCACCCGCCCCCCAACTGCTCCCCCTCACAGTTTTTAGGCACAGATCACTTCAACTATGTATATACTAAAAATCAAAGGAAAAATTATTTGAACCTTAAACAAATCCTTCAAGACATTAGAAAAGCAGGAGGTACTCCATAAATACCTTTTATAAGTCAGCCTAACCTTTATATTAAACCTGACAAGACACTTAGGAAAAGGAAAAAGTACAGGTTAACATTATTCACAGAGTAGGCTGGGCGCAGTGGTTCACGCCTGTAATCCCAGCACTTTGGGAGGCTGAGGTGGGTGGATCACCTGAGGTCAGGAGTTCAAGACCAGCCTGGCCAACATGGCGAAACCCCGTCTCTACTAAAAACACAAAAATTAGCTGGGCTTGATGATGGACGCCTGTAATCCCAACTACTTGGGAGGCTGAGGCAGGAGAATTGCTTGAACCTGGGAGGTGGAGATCACAGTGAGCTGAGATTGCGTCACTGCACTCCAGCCTGGGCGACAAAGAGAGACTCCTTCTCAAAAACAAACAAACAAAAAACATTATTCACAGAGAAACTATAATCTTAAGAAAGTCTTAGCACACAGCATTTAGTGTTATTTAAACAATGTATCATTAATAAGTTGTACTTTCCAGTAATTCAAAATTGGCTTAACATTTAAAAATAAATAAATATGACTTCCAGCTTCTACATTGGGATGTTGAGAAATAAAAGAAGTTTTCATTCTCAGTCTTACAACACAAAAAGGGCCAGATCAATTTCAAATTTATGACTTTTTGGAACTCTTTGGAGGGCTGGTATCATGGAGAAATTAAAACTGTTGCAAAATCTAAAGACAGGCAATGTCTGCTTTAAGACACAAACAAGCTATCATTTTAGGCAGGCAGAACTAAACACTTTTAAACTTTTTTAAACCAAACACTTTTAAACATTTTTAAGCTAAAATAGGTGAACAATTGGTGATGACTGAGTGAGGGCTGGAAAACCGTGTGAAACACCTGGGACATGTAGAAAGTGAAGGAATCTGTATTTCCTTTTGGTCTCTGTCTTTATGAACTTTATGTGGGCTCTAACAGCAAAATGTGCAAAGAGCTCTAAGAAGTATTTATTGTGATACAGAGCACGAGGAGGAGCCCAGCAGTCATGAAGAAGGAGCAAGAGTTCCTTCTCTTTTACATCCACTATAAAACAAATTGGCTTTCTTAGTGCATTAATGGACACTAATTGCAGCGGGGGGAAAAATGGCTGCAAAAAGAAAAAAAAATCCTACTCTCGAAAAAGGGCCAAGATTAAGCACTGAGCGCAATAACCACATTCAGAGAGATGCAAGAGAATGGAGAAGGCCACATCCCCAAGACTCAGGAAGAAAATGCATGCTCCAGACCAATAATGAAAACAAGAGAAGGTGCGTCCCCACCCCACCACCACTCTAACCACCAAACTAAGTTAGCTTTAAATAAAAAGTGACATCCATCTCTAAAATATACATAATAGAAAAAAATTAAAAATAACATGTGACAATAGAATACTTCTGGGAGAGAGGCAGGAAAGTGTTAACCTAAAGAAATGAACTGAGGCAAAAATTAATAGACAATTAATTTGGGCCACGGTTGAGGGCAGCTACCCAGAACACACTTCACAGTTGCCTTGAGGAGTGCTCTGCTCAGCCTTTGTTACAGCAGGGTCTTAAGGCAAAAGGGAACAAGGACTGGACTGACACAAAGCTGCTTGATAGGAATTCCCATTGGTTTACAGAAATAATATTGATTAGTAGCTGGCTATATATTGTTGATCTATAGGGTATCAGTTATGGTGTCCAGCATATGTAATTTTATGGCTACTTGACATCTGTATGTCTAGAGCCCACATAAGAAGTGGTTTCAAGAGGTAATTATTTAGTTCAAAGCGGTAGCGGAATGTAACTGCAGTCACACACTGTCACATTTCAGTGCCTCTCTGGGCCCGATAATTAAAGGAGCTCATGTTCATCAGATAAATTTTTTTTCTTTCTTAAAAGGAATAGACGATAGAAAGAGACCCTCTCTTATACACGGCACAAAAAGAATAACTAAAACTCAGAATCAGACATGGATCTGCTAAACTAATGCTCCACCAAAAGTATAAGCAACCTCTATAGGAATTTGAAGCCCATGGTGCACTGAAAGTAACCATGTGACGACAACCAAGTGACTCCTAAAAAGATTAGCAGGATGGGTGCAGTGGCTCACTCCTATAATCCTGAGGTCAGGAGTTCAAGACCAGCCTTGCCAACATGCTGAGACCCCATCTCTACTAAAAATACAAACAAAAATTTAGCTGGGCACAGTGGCGTTCACCTATAATCCCAGCTACTCAGGAGGCTGAGGCAGGAGAATGGCATGAACCCAGGAGGCAGAGGTTGCAGTGAGCCAAGATGGTGCCACTGCACTCCAGCCTGAGCAATAGAACAAGATTCTGCCTCAAAAAAAAAGGAAAACACACACACAAAACAAAGAAACAAAAAGATTAGCACATAGCTGTGCACTAGAGGCTTAACAGATGACAAGGCATAACAATTTCCAGACAAAAAGTATTGACCTCAATCATTACTGTTCTATACAACCGGCCTTTCTGTTGTTGTTGTTTTTGAGATGGAGTCTTGCTCTGTCGCCCAGGCTGAAGTGCAGTGTTGCTATCTCAGCTCACTGCAACCCCCGCCTCCCAGGTTCAAGCAATTCTCCTGCCTCAGCCTCACGAGTAGCTGGGACTTCAGGCACATGCTCCCATACCTGACTAATTTTTTGTATTTTTGTAGAAATGGGGGTTTCACCATGTTGCCCAGGCTGGTCTCGAACTCCTGAGCTCAGGCAATCCACCTGCCTCAGCCTCCCAAAGTGCTAGGATTACAGGCGTGAGCCACTGTGTCAGACCTATACAAAATGTCTTTCTTGCTGAAATATAATGCAAAGCATACAAAAAAGCACAAACATACACACTCTCTCTCTCTCTCATTCTTTCTCACTCCCTCCCAAAGGTCCAATCATCAAATCTAGAATCAAATATATTGGGGGGACACGCCCCCAATATTTCAACATAGATTCTTTCTATTTTCCATAAGTGTCGGCCAGCTGAGAAATAAAGAGAGACAGTATAAAGAGAGGAATTTTACAGCTGGGCTGCCAGGGGTGACATCACATATCTGTAGGACTGTGATGCCCGCCTGAGTCTTAGACCAGCAAGTTTTTATAAAGAGTTTCAAAAGGGTGTAAGAACAGAGAGTAGGTACCAAGATCACATGCTTCAAAGAGCAAAAAGCAGAACCACTAATAAGGGTCTAACAAAGATCACATGCTTCTGAGGGAACAGGACAAAGAGCAAAAGCAGAACCACTGATAAGGGTCCAACAAAGATCACAGGGCAAAGGGCAAAAGCAGAACCACTGATAAAGGTCTATGTTCAGCAGTGTATGTATTGTCTTGATAAACATCTCAAACAACAGAAAACAGCGTTCAAGAGCAGAGAACTGGTCTGACCACAAATTTACCAGGGCAGAGTTTTCCCAACCCTAGTAAGCCTGAGGATTCTGCAGGAGACCAGGGCTTATCTCAGTCATTATCTCAATTGCACAAGACAGACATTCCCAGAGCAGCCGTTTATAGACCTCCCCCTAGGAAAGAATTCCTTTCCCTGGGTATTAATATTAATATTCTTGCTAGGAAAAGAATTTAATGATATCTTTCCTACTTGCACGTCCATTTATAGGCTCTCTGCCAGAAGAAAAATATGGCTCTTTTTGCCTGACACCGCAGGCAGTCAGACCTTATGATTGTCTTCCCTTGTTCTGTAAAAATTATTCTGTTCTTTTTCAAGTGCACTGATTTCATATTGTTCAAACATACATGTTTTACAATCAATTTGTACAGTTAACACAATTATCACAGTGGTCCAGAGGTAACGTACATCCTCAGCTTATGAAGATAACAGGATTAAGAGATTAAAGTACAAGACAGGCATAAGAAATGATATAAGTATTATTTGGGAACAGATAAATGTTCATATTTGATGTACATTTAATAAACTGACATATATAAGCACATACAAATCATTTAACATAATATGCTATGCAATACATTGAAGCCTTTTCCACCTCACCTCTGAAGTGTTTCCTCTTCCTTCCTCCCCATCACTGTCATCATCTTCTGTCTCTGCTGCTGCATTATTTTTAGGGCTACCTCCTCCAAGCAGCAAGTTAATTGTTTTGTTCCAAGCATTTGTGCTAGTTGACATTCCTCCTCCTCCTCCTCTTCCTCCTCTTCATCCTTCTCCTTCCTCCTCTTCTTCTTCTTCTTTTTCTTCCTCCGCCTTCCTCCTCCTCCCCCTCCTTCACCTCCCCTTCCCCCTCCTTCTTCTTCTCCTTCTCCTTTTCCTTCTCCTTCTCCTTCTTCTTCCTCTTCTTCTTCTTCTTCTTTCTTCTTCTGGGTCCAGATGTTCCATGAGAAGTTTGAATTCTAGATACTTTTTTACTATACTCCCATGCTGGATAGTTTGTAAAGAAAGGTTTGTTGTTAAGAGATTTGTTTATCTCAGGGTTCTGCAGGCCGTAAAAGAAGCATGGCTCTGGCATCTGTGTGTGGTGAGGGCCTCAAGCTGCTTCCACTCATGGCAGAAGGTGAAGGGGAAGTGATGGGGAGCCAGTGTGCTGGACTTTTTAAACAACCAATTCCCATGGGAACTAATAAAGGGAGGACTCATTCATTACCATGAGGACAGCACCAAACCATTCATGAAGGATCTGCTGTTATGACCCAGACACCTCCCATTAGGATCAAAATTCAACATGAAATTTCGAGGAGACAGATATCTAAACTATGTCATTTGTGTAAAAATACAAAATAAAATAAAAAACCTGGCAAATTAAATCAGGAAAAGCCATGAAGGGAGGGTTCTCATGCATGAATCCCTGATAACACAAATGGCCAAGTGCAGTGGTTAATGCCTGTAATCCAAACACTTTGGGAGAATGAGGTAGGCATATCACTTGAGGTCAGGAGTTCGAGACCAGCCTGGCCAACATGGTGAAACCCCTGTCTTTACTGAAAATACAAAAAATATTAGTCAGGCATGATGGCACACACCTGTAGTCCCAGCTAATGGGGAGGCTGAGGCATAAGGATTGCTTGAGCCTGAGAGGCAGAGGTTGCAATGAGTCAAGATCATACCACTGCACTCCAGCCTGGGTGACAGAGCAAGACTCCATCTCAAAAAAAAAAAAAAAAAAAAAAAAAAAAATCACAAAACACTCTATGTAAACCGCAACCTTGCATAAAAAAGTCATCTTATACAAAACAATACTTCTGTGAGGACATCTGCTCAGCAACTGCTTCTCCAACCTTAAACTGGTGCCACCCTTTTGTATCCTTGACCCAAGGATTATTACCTCAAAACAAAATATTCATAAGATTAATCAATAAAATAATGGAAAGGCACAAATAAGCTATGTCATAAATGAAAAGGTCATATTAGCTACAAAAGTTAAAAAGATGAAAACAGATCACAATAAACAATGTGACAATAAATTGCCAAATTCAGATGAAACAAAAAAGTTCCTAAAAAATATAACTCATTCCATTGATTCAAACATAGAGACAAATGAGTATTTCCATATTAATTAAACCATTTGAATCATTATGTCAAAATCTTCCCAAATGTAGCTTCAGTCCCATAGCTTTTCTGGTAACTCCTACAAAAAAAAAAAAAAGTGAAACAAATAATTTCAATCTCCTAAAAACACTTCCAGGGAAGAGAAAATGAAAGGTGGAAAAAAATCAAAGCACCATTAAGAAAGACAAATTGGAGGGAAATTTCACTGATTAATATGGATACAATCACCTTAAACAAAGTATTAGAAAGCTCAATTAAGATTCCTAATATAAATGTATAAACAAATTTGATTCAATCCAAGAATGCAAGATCAGTTTAATATTAGAAAATGAATGAAGGTGTTCTGTCCTTTAATAGATTTAAGGTGGTTTAAAAAATAAACAACAGCACCTTAAAAGTATTGAAATAGCATTTTATAAAATCAAACTTCATGGCTGGGCACAGTGGCTCATGCCTGTAATCCCAGCACTTTGGAGGCCAAAGCAGACAGGTCACGAGGTCAGTAGTTTGAGACCAGCCTGGCCAACAAGGTGAAATCCCATCTCTACTAAAAATACAAAAATTAGCTGGATGTGGTGGTGCACACCTGTAATCCCAGCTACTGGGGAGGCTGAGGCAGAAGAATGGCTTGAACCCAAGAGGCAGTTGCAGTGAGCTGCGATTGTGCCACTGCACTCCAGCCTGGGTGACAGAAAGACTCCATCTCAAACAAAATCAAACTTCAGATTTTTTTCAATGACCTATGAAGCATTACCTGTTATGGAGATTTCTCTGTCCATAAACAAATCAGACAGATACATGGAACAATGATGTTCAGACACTGGACAACAGGTAGCACAAGACAAGGATCTCTGAGATACGGAAAGGAAACAAGGGGAGCTCTGTGATGGTCCCAGCTTAATAATAGGAGGTAGCTCTCAATATATTAAGGGGAAATCAAAATAATCTGGCATTCTAACTGAGTTGAGGAGATAAGATCAAAATGCAGAAAGGGTGAGTTTGCAGCTATTTGTAAGCAAAAGTACCAAAGAGAGGAAAACTGCACAGAGGTAGAGCTTGAGAAATATGCAAAGGAGATCTCTTGAGTGTTTGCCTGAATTCTACTCTGGGCAGGCATGGAGTGAAGTTCCACAGAGTTAAGGAATTAGCAGAAGACCAAGCAATTTCTATAACTCACACAAGACTGGAAACGGTCTTTGTTCCCATCTACTAAAGTAGAGAGGTATCATTGGGTCCAGAATTGGTTCCTTCCAGTGGGTTCTGGGTCTTGCTGACTTCAAGAATGAAGCTGTGGACCCTCGTGTGAGTGTTACAGTTCTTAAAGATGGTGTGTCTGAAGTTTGTTCCTTCAGATGTTCAGATGTGTCCAGAGTTTCTTCCTTTCAGTGGGTTCGTAGTCTTGCTGACTTCAGGAGTGAAGCCGCAGACCTTTGCAATGAGTGTTACTGTTGGGAAAAGGCCCCCCAAAATCTGGCCATTAACTGGCCCAAAACTGGCCATAAACAAAATCTCTGCAGCACTGTGACATGTTTGTGATGGCCATAATGCCCAAGCTGGAAGGTTGTGGGTTCACCAGAATGAGGGCAAGGAACACCTGGCCCATCCAGGGTGGAAAACTGCTTAAAGGCATTGTTAAACCACAAACAATAGCATGAGTGATCTGTGCCTTAAGGACATGCTCCTGCTGCAGATAACTAGCCAAAGCCATCCCTTTATTTCAGCCATCATTTTGTTTCCCATAAGGAATACTTTTTGTTAATCTATAATCTATAGAAACAATGCTTATCACTGGCTTGCTGTCAATAAATATGTGGGTAAATCTCTGTTCAAGGGTCTCAGCTCTGAAGGCTGTGAGACCCCTGATTTCCCACTCCACACCTCTATATTTCTGTGTGTGTGTCTTTGATTCCTTTAGTGTCGCTGGGTTAGGGTCACCCTGACCAAGCTGGTCTCAGCAAGTGGTGTCCATCGTGGGGGCTCGAATCCAGGTCAAAGGGTCACCAGAGCAACAGTTGGAGAATGTGGACCTAAGCTGGAGGACACCCGAGTACTCTTAAAGCAATCCCCATGGTGAGTAAGAAGGGGAGCTCAGAAGCATCAGGGTAACAATGGGACAAGTGTGGGCTCTGGTTCGTTCCACTTTAGAACCTTTTCACACTAATGATGAGGAGGAAGGAGAGTATAATGAAGGAGCAGAAGAGGTTAGAGAGCAGGTTTGTTTGCCAGCTAAAACAAAAGCAGCAAAGGAGGGAGAGGTTCATCCCTACCCTTCTGCATCCCCTCATTATTATTTTGAAGAAAAAGAGTGGCCTGACCCTCCAGATCTTTCTTTTCTGGAGGACACTGGGCAAAAAGTAGTTGCCCCAGTGACTGTTAGAGCAGCACCTCCAGTGACTACTCTCAGTTCTATTCAGGCAGGAATTCAGCAAGCTAGATGAGATGGTGATACAGAGGCTTGGCAGTTCCCTGTTAGAGTACATCCCCTAGATCAACAGGGAAATATTATAGCTACATTTGAGCCTTTTTCTTTTAAATTACTCACAGAATTTAAACAAGCTATTAGTCAGTATGGACCAGGGTCTCCTTTTGTAATGGGACTGTTAAAGAATGTTGCTTTTTCCAGTTGGATGATTCCTACTGACTGGGATCCTCTTACTTGAGCTTGTCTAACTCCTGCTCAGTTTTTACAATTTAAAACTTGGTGGGCAGATGAAGCTTCCATTCAGGCTGCTCGCAACACCCAGGCCCAACTTCAAATTAATATAACTGCAGACCAGCTTTTGGGTGTTGACAGCTGGGCAGTTTTAGATGTACAAGTGGTCATGCAGGATGATGCCATAGAACAGCTTAGAGGAGTGTGCATTAGAGCTTGGGAAAAAAAGTCACTTCAGGTGCAGAACAATACCCTTCCTTTAGTGCTGTAAAACAGGGACTGAAAGAACCGTATGTGGATTTTATAGCTTGGTTACAGGAGTCTCTTAAAAAGGTAATTACAGATTCGGCTGCACAGGATATAGTGTTTCGGTTATTAGCTTTTGACAATGCTAATCCTGATTGCCAGGCTACTCTGTGACCTATTAAAGGGAAAGAACATTTAGTTCATTATATCAAGGCCTGTGATGGTATCAGAGGTAATCTGCATAAAGCTACTTTGTTGGCACAGGAAATGGCAGGACTGAGAGTGGATAAAGGAAATACTCTGTTTCCTGGAGCTTGTTTTAACTTTGGGAAGCATGGTCATACTAAAAAAGAATGTAGAAAAAATCAGTGAGTCAGGCTGCCAGATATGGAAAAAAAGAAAACTGCTGAGTCTGAAATATGTCCAAAATGTAAAAAAGGAAAACATTGGGCTAATCAGTGTCACTCTAAGTTTGATAAAGATGGGAACCCGATTTCAGGAAATGTCATAAGGGGCCCATCCTGGGCCCCTTTCCAAACCAGGGCATTTCCAGCTCAGGCCATTCCCTCACCCCTGTACAATATCTGTCCCCCACCACAGCTGGTAGTGCTGCAGTAGATTTATGCTGCACAAAAGATGTGAGCCTTCTGCCTGGGAACCCCCGCAGAAGGTTCCAACAGGAGTCTGTGGACCCTTGCCAGCAGGGACGTTAGGATTACTTCTCGGCAGGTCTAATTTAAATTTAAAAGGGGTAAAAATACATACAGGAGTCATTGATTCAGACTACAATGGGGGAAATTGAAATTGTTATATCTACTTCTGTTCTCTGGAAAGCAAAGCCAGGAGAGCGTACAGCACAGCTCCTGATTGTGCCGTATGTGGAAATGGGGAAAAGTGAAATGAAATGAACAGGAGGAGCCAGGCTCGGTGTCTCATGCCTGTAATCCCAGCACTTTGGGAGGCCAAGGTGGGCAGATAACAGGGTCAGGAGATCAACACCATCCTGGCTAACACAGTGAAACCCCGTCTCTACTAAAAAATACAAAAAAAATTAGCTGAGCGTGGTGGCAGGTGCCTGTTATCTCAGCTACTGAGGAGGCTGAGGTAGTAGAATGGTGTGAACCTGGGAGGCGGAGCTTGCAGTCAGTGGAGATTGCCCCACTGCACTGCAGCCTGGGTGACAGAGCAAGACTCCATCTCAAAAACAAACAAACAAACAAAAAAATGAACAGGAGGATTTGTAAGCACAAATACACAAGGTAAAGCAGCTTGTTGGGTGAATCAAATTACTGATAAACATCCTACCTGTGAAATAACTATTCAAGGAAAGAAATTTAAAGGTTTGGTAGATACAGGAGGACATTTCAATCATTTCTGTACAGTAGTGGCCATCCATGTGGCCAATTCAACCCACTCAATTTAACACAGTTGGAGTTGGCAAAGCCCCTGAAATATATCAAAGTAGTTATATTTTGCACTGTGAAGGGCCCGATGGACAACCTGGGACTATTCAACCAATTATAACTTCTGTACCTATAAATTTATGGGGGAGAGATTTGTTACAACAATGGGGAGCACAAGTTCTAATTCCAGAACAATTATACAGCCCTCAAAGTCAACATATGATGCATGAAATGGGATATGTCTGTGGTATGGGACTAGGAAAAAATTTGCAAGGTTTAAAGGAACCACTTCAAGGGGAAAGACAAAGTTCCTGCCAAGGTTTAGGATATCATTTTTGATGATGCCATTGTTAAGTCTCCAGAACCTATATCTTTAAAATGGTTAACAGAAAAGCCAATTTGGATAGAAGAATGACCACAGAGTAAAGAGAAACTGAAGGCTTTAGAGGACTTAAAATTGGCCTTTAATAGTCATAGATTTAAAGACTGTTTCTTTACTATCCCCTTAGCTGAGCAAGACTGTGAAAGGTTTGCGTTTACAATTCCTGCGGTAAATAACCTGCAGCCTGCTAAGAGTTTTCATGTTCCACAGATGGGTCTAGTAAAGGTAAAGCTTCTTATTCTGGCTCAAAAACTAAAGTTTTCCAGATGCCCTATACTGCAGCTCAAAAAGCGGAGCTTGTAGCTGTAATTGAGATATTGATTGCTTTCAATATGCCTATTAAAGTGATTTCTGAGTCTTCATACATGGCTCATTCCACACAGTTAATTGAAAATGCTGTTACGATTTCATACAGATAATCAACTGATGACAAAAACAAAAAAGGGGGAGAAACAGGGATTAAGGGGCAGTTCACACACAATTGAATCTAGCATTATTAACTTTAAATTTTTTGAGCCTGCCCAAAGGCCAGATGTTATCAGCAGCTTAACAGCATCTACAGAAACCAGCTGCAAAGACAGAAGCAAAACAATTGGTTTGGTGGACAGATCTGATAACAAAAAGTTGGGAAATAGATAAAATAATAACTTAGGGTAGAGGTTATGCTTGTGTTTCTCCAGGCCAAAATCAACAGCCAATTTGGATACCATCAAGACATCTGAAAACTTATCATGAGCCAGATGCTGAGGAAGAGATTCCAGGAGCATCCCAAGGACCTCTTGGTTGCAGCCATGTCGAGGCTGATGCTGAGGAGGACCCCAACTGTCATGTGCAACACCCATCGAACACAGCCTCCCACCTGGGGACAGATCAAGAAACTGTCACAGATGGCAGAAGAAAACCTGAGGAAAGTGGGGCAAACAGTCACAATGAGTAATTTAATGGTAGCTATGACACCGGTGATCACCATTGCCATGAGTATTCCTTCAACAAGGGCTGACACAGAGAACAGTTATACTTATTGGGCATATTTATCAATCTTGGCTGGCAATAATGCCTGAATGTAATCACTCCGTGACACAGTTACACATGCTTTCTGGTCTCAGTATTTACCATAATAAATCTGCTCCTATAATTGAGGCATACTGCCCTCAAAAACCTATTTGTAAACAAAATAGAACCTGGCCAGAAATAATGAATGTTCTTGTTTAGGAAGATTGCATTGCAGAACAGGCAGAGGTGCTGTGCAACGATTCCTATGGAATCATTATTGATCGGTCCCCTAAGGGGATGTTTAGCTTAAATTGCACCACTCAGTCTGTGTGCCATGGCCACACTATGTTCAGCTGGTCTGAACAAAATGGTCAGATGGTAGAAATGGAAAGAAGTATGGCAAGAATTCTATTATCTGGAACCATGGCTGTATAGTGACACCTCAACCTCAAATGATATGGCCTGCTCTAGGAGCTTAATGTAAGGATTTGTGGAAACCATTAATAGCTCTTAATAAGATCAAAATTTGGGAAAGAATAAAAAAGCATTTAGAAGGACACTCTACAAACTTGTCTTTGGATATTGCAAAATTAAAGAACAAATATTTAAAACATCCCAGGCACACCTGACCTTAATGCCAGGAACTGGAGTGCTTGAAGGAGCTGCAGACTGATTAGCAGCTAGTAACTGATTAAAATGGATAAAAACACTGGGAAGCTCTGTGATTCCAATAATGATTGTACCTTTAATCTGTGTTGTTTGTCTTTGTATAGTCTGCAGATGCAGATCCTGACTCCTGCAAGAAGTAGCTCACTGTGACAAAGCTGCCTTTGCTTTTATCACTTTGCAAATCAAATAAGGGGGACATGTTGGGAACAGGACCGCCCCCCCCCCCAAAATCTGGCCATTAACTGGCCCTAAAACTGGCCATAAACAAAATCTCTGCAGCACTGTGACATGTTCATGATGGCCATAATGCCCACGCTGGAAGGTTGCGGGTTTACCAGAATGAGGGCAAGGAACACCTGGCCCACCCAGGGCAGAAAACCACTTAAAGGCATTGTTAAACTACAAGCAATAGCATGAGTGATCTGTGCCTTAAGGACATGCTCCTGCTGCAGATAACTAGCCAAAGCCATCCCTTTATTTCGGCCATCCTTTTGTTTCCCATAAGGAATACTTTTAGTTCATCTATATTCCAATCTATAGAAACAATGCTTATCACTGGCTTGCTGTCAATAAATACGTGGGTAAATCTCTGTTCAAGGCTCTCAGCTCTGAAGGCTGTGAGACCCCTGATTTCCCACTCCACATCTCTATATTTCTGTGTGTGTCTTTAATTCCTCTAGTGCCACTGGGTTAGGGTCTCCCTGACCCAGCTGGTCTCGGCATGTTACAGCTCTTAACTGTGGTGCGTCCAGAGTTGTTTGTTCCTCCCAGTGGGTTTGAAGCCACAGATCTTCTCAGTGAGTGTTACAGCTCTTAAAGGTGGCATGTCTGGAGTTGTTTGTTCCTCCTGGTGGGTTTGTGGTCTCGCTGACTTCAGGAGTGAAGCCACAGACCTTCGCAGTGAGTGTTACAGCTCATAAAGGTAGTGTGGACCCAAAGAGTGAGCAGCAGCAAGATTTATGGTGAAGAGTGAAAGAACAAAGCTTCCACAGGATGGAAGGGGACCTGAGAGGGTTGCCACTGCCGGCTTGGGTGGCCAGCTTTTATTCCATTGTTTGGCCCCACCCATATCCTGCTGATTGGTCCATTTTATGGAACACTGATTGGTCCATTTTACAGAGTGCTGATTGGTCCATTTTTACAGAGTGCTGATTGGTGCATTTACAAACCTTTAGCTAGACACAGAGCACTGATTGGTGTGTTTTTACAGAGTGCTGTTTGGTGCATTTATAAACCTTTAGCTAGACACAGAGCACTGATTTGTGTGTTTACAATCCTGTAGCTAGACAAAAAAGTTATCCAAGTCCCCACCCAATCCAGAAGCCCAGCCGACTTCACCTCTCAATCCCCCCTCTAAACAGGACATCCTAACTGCTGTTGGGAATTGGGGGATGACCAGTCTAGCTACTTCCTGCTGGATAGGGGCAAAGAAGGGGCCCTGCAGTTATAGTGTCCTCCAGAGGGGAACTCTTTAGGCCAGTGAAAGGGTCAGTGGGTCAGTCCAAGAGTCCTTGGTGGAAGATGTTAGTTGAGCTCATTTGGCATTCCATTTGTGAGACCATCTGTAGCTTGATGGCCTTGATCCTAGAGGAAACAAATTTGACAAAGAGGCTAAAAATACAGGGCCTGAAGGTGAGTAATAGCAAGATGGCTGCCATGGGACCTAGGAAGGGGAGAAGCCATGTTACCAACCTCAGAAGTTGGTATAAGAATTTGAAAGGTGTTGTCTGATTTCAGAAGCATTTTCCTGTAAATGTTGGGCAGCATCTCATACTATCCCTGACTGGTTAGTGTAAAAACAACACTCTTCCCCTAAGAAGGTGCAGAGTCCTCCTTTCTCAGCAGTGAGGAGGTCTAGGTCTTGGTGATTTGGAGAGTCACTGCTGCCAAAGAGTCTATTTGGGATTGTAGAGTAAGGATAGATTTCGTTATTTCTTGCAAACTGTCTGAGAAATCCTTTGAGAGTGTGTGGTAGTAGGATAATGAAGTAGATAAATCGGCTATTCTGGTTCCTGTAGCAGTAGCCATTCCCAACCCTATAAGTAGAGGTATTAGTTGTATGGCTCTGCACTGATGGACTTGAGCTTTGAGGGGTACCGATAGGGTCTGATTTCCTGGGGCAATGTTAATGTTGGGACTTAGAAAGACTAAGGTGCAGGTGCCTGTCCAGTTAGTGGAGAGGCAGATATAGGTCAACATTCCACATAAGAATATACCTTGGCTGGGTAGACAGAACTGGTTGTGTATGTTAAAAAGGTGTGTGACTTTGTTGTTTTCATTTTCCCATACTCCTAGAGTACTTGCCAAGGTAGCTCTGCTGAGCAGCTGGAAAAGAGTGTTGGGAGTAAACTGAGTGGCTCCCTGTGTTCTATTTTCCCATTGGAGAAAAAACCATTTTGTATCTACTAGGAACCATTAGAGAGAGTGATTGAAAGAGGGGATGAGAAGGCATTCATTAGTGGTGGGGGCCCTGCTGCAAGGGGTCCAGGGGTGAATGTTCAGGCTGGGAGTAAGTTTGCCATTATAAAACCTGGACTGTTCGTTAAGCAGGGAGGAGGTGATGATTTTTGCGGGCCCTGAGAAGTAGACAAGCCATCTGAATGGAGCTCTTTGGGTGACTCAGAAGTTACTATGATCAGTTGGGGCTTGAAGTTGTAGAGTGTAATTACACAGATGGGGTAGTAGGTGCCCCAGGGGCAGACCTGATAACAGGTTGTGTTGGATGCATAAAGGGGCTTGGAAAGTTAAGATCGTATTCATGGTAACAGGGCCGTGTATGGGCTTTTCATTGCTTGTGTAATAGGTGAGGTTGGAAATGTAAGAACATAAAAGTTGGATTGCACATCTTGTTAGGGTATTCTTGGCCCTATCAGAGATGGAGAAGTTGGCTAATGATTGCATATTTAGAAGTCTGAAAGGGTCTTTCCCTTCGTAATGAGGGTGGTAGGTTAAGTTGTTAAAGACCCAATGTTTTGTGGGAATGGGAGTGGCAACGTAAGCAGAGGTTGATAGAGAGACACAAAGACAACAGTCATTTGCCAGGGAAGGATTGGACTGGTTTAACAGAGAGTGGGTTAAGTTGAGAGTCTTGTAGAGGCAATTAGGAGCTAGTGGAAAGGGAGGGGTGATTGTATGAGGTATCCAAGGAAGCAGGAGGTATAGGTAAGCAAAGAGTAAATAGGAAGGTAAAGAGTGTGCTCTGGAAGACGAAATCATTTTATCCAGGCTGAGTTAAAGGTAGGAGTAAATTGCAGTCAGAAGGAAGGAAGATAGAAATAAGGTTGATGTGATTAGGATTTTTGTCCCAGCAGGAACTACAGTATATAGCCCTATCACAAAGAGTATGGTTAGTATGCTGCTTAATAATATAATGAAATAGTAAAAGGATTCCATTAAAGGGGTAAGGAGGGGTGTTAAAGATAAAGATTATGTAGGTTTTCACTTATCTTTTTTAAGGAGGATGGAGTTTTTCTTCAGGATCAGTGGTAGGAGCCTTTTTAGTCTGGGATATTTCCTTCTGAAATAGGAGATGCAAGTCCTCTAATGGTTCTCAGGTTTATCGAGGCTGGTCTGGCTGATCTTGGGACTCCTGAGCTGACAGTCCCACAGGTTCCTCAGGGGGTGTCCAAAATTTAACTCAGGTGTGGTGAATCCAAGATTCCACTCCTGCCACCTTAACTGCAGTGGGGGTAGAGAGGATTACTGAGTATGGTCCTTCCCACAGAGTCCATAGATGGGGAGGTAGAGGGGAGAGATTTGACCTACGCTAGATCTCCTGGTTGAAACAACTCTGTTCCCTTTTCTCTGGACATCCTTCAGAGCTATCCCTGCTCTCTCTGTGACATAGATTTTAAAGGTTTTGTTGATATTTTGAAGAAGTTATATCTTTGACCATGTTGGCCATATTCTGATCAAGTAGGAGGTCATTTGTGAGAAAAGATCATCCATACAGCATTTCATATGGACTGAGCCCATTTTGCAAGGAAAATTTTGGATTCTCAACAAGTCCATGAGGAAAAGAGTAGGCCATGGGAGATGAGTTTCTTGTGTTAGTTTCCTTAAGTGCCTCTTGAGTGTTTCATTGGCCTTCTCAATCTTCCCTGAGGATTGTGGCCTCCAGGTGCAGTGAAGGTGATATTGTATCCCAGCGCCCTGGAAATTCCCTGAGTTATCGTGGCTTTAAAAGTTGGACCATTGTCAGTCTGTAAGCTTTGGGGAAGCCCAAATCTAGGAATTATTTCATGAATTAGGACTTTAATCACTTCCTGAGCCTTCTCTGTCTTGCAGGGGAAAGCTTCTATCCAATTTGTAAAGGTATCAACACAGACCAACAAGTTTTGAAATCCCTTTGACTTAAGCATATGGGTGAAGTCTAACTGCCAGTCTGCTCCAGGATAGTGACCTATTGTTTGTTCCCCCAAAGGGGGCTTACGATGGACCAAGGGATTACCCCTTTGGCACACCTCACAGGCTTTGACTACCTGTCAGATGGTCTGGAGGAAATTTGGCCCTGTAAATAGGGATTTGGCCACTTGATGAGTGTTTTCAATACCCATATGAAAAGTTTGGTGGAGGGTTTTAAGTATTTTCCACTGGCTGTCTTTGGGTATAAGTACCTTTCCTTCTTCTGTCATTAACCACCCTGAGGGGAGAAAACTATGCCCCCGCGAAAGTTCCCATTCTGTTTCAGTTGGGGAATACTGGGGCTTAATCTCTTGTAGGGGGTTGTTCCATACCAAGGGTCCTTCCATAGGTATTTCTAATGGGAGGTTTTGCCTGGCAGCAATTTTGGCCCCAGCATGTGCCTGACTGTGTCTTTCTGCCTTTTCTCCTTCATCTTTCTGATAGCTTTGGCAGTGTAAGACTGCCACCTCCTTGGGTTTTTGCACTGTGTGCCATAACTCCATAATTTCCTTGTGGTATTTAATGGGGGTTCCCCCAGAGGTTAGGAACTCTCTTTCTTTCCATATTGCAGCATGGGCATGTAGGATTAGATAAGCATACTTGCTATCTGTATACACATTTATTCTTTTTCCCTTTCCCAGTTCTAATGCTTGGGTAAGTGCCACTAGTTCTGCTAACTGGACGCTGGTCCCAGGGGGAAGAGGCTTACTTTCAAGTATGGTTACATCACTAACTATGACATAACCTGTCCTTCATATCCCATTCTCCACAAATGAACTTCCATCAGTATATAGGTTAAGGTCAGGATTAGCTAAGGGGACTTCTAACAGATCATCTTGGGTGGCATAAGTCTGGACTAT
Organism: Homo sapiens; assembly: GCF_000001405.40. Lineage (NCBI taxonomy): Eukaryota > Metazoa > Chordata > Mammalia > Primates > Hominidae > Homo > Homo sapiens. Next base: position 39,880,549 of record NC_000008.11, read on the forward strand.
AATTTGTTGGCAGTCATGCTCGATGGATTCCCCATCCTCTGGGAGAAAAGTGGCAGGGTTGAGGGCCACGCACATATGTATTTGAACCACCGGTCCCTCAAGAAGTACTGCCTGGTATCTAAGTAGATGGTTGTCTGATAGCCATAAACTTCCTTTGGCACCTAGTGTGCCATTTACATCATGAGTAGTCCAGACAGTGAGATCCTTTCCTTGTATTATTTTGATAGCCTCTGACACTAAGATGGCCACTGCCACAACTACCCATAAACAGTGAGGCCAGCCTTTTGCTACTGCATCAATTTCCTTACTTAGGTATGCCACTGGTTGTGGGGTTGTCCCACGAGTCTGAGTAAGGACTCCAAGAGCTATCCCTGCTTTCTCTGTGACATATAAAGAGAAGTTTTGTCCTGTGGGAAGGCTTAAAGCTGGAGCTTGTACTAGGGCCTGCTTTAAGGTTTTGAAGGCTGTTTCTGCCCCTGGTTCCCATTCTACTAGATGAGTATTTGCCCTCTGGGTCTCCTTGATTAGAGTATAGAGGGGCCCGGCTATCTAGCTGTATCCGGGGATCCATAGTCGGCAAATCCCCATGATTCCAAGGAACCCCCACCACTGTTTTAATGTCTTAGGGTGAGGATAAGCCAGTATAGGCTGTATTCATTCCTTGCTGAGCACCCTGGTCCCTCTGGCTAAGATTAGGCCTAGATATTTGACCTGCTGTAGGCAAAGCTGGGCCTTCGACCTAGACGCCTCATATCCTTGATTAACTAGAAAGTTCAAGAGATCTAGAGTAGTCTGCTGATACGAGGCTTCCGAACTGGTAGCCAAAAGTAAATAATCCACATACTGAAGGACCAGAATGCCTGGACTTAAGAAGTGGCCTAGATCTTGTGCCAGTGCCTGACCAAACAGATGAGGGCTATTCCTAAACCCTTGGGGCAAGACTGTCCATGTAAGTTGGGATGTGTGGTCTGTGGGATCCTCAAAGGCAAAGAGAAACTGGGAGTCAGAGTGCAGGGTAATACAGAAGAAGGCATCCTTGAGGTTCAGAACCGTGAACGATTCTTCTTCCTCTGGTATTTGAGAGAGCAGGATATAGGGGTTCGGTACAACTGGATACAGAGGAATTACCGCCTCATTGATTAGTCTAAGATCTTGCACTAGTTTCCACTGACCATTCAGTTTTTGTACTCCTAGAATTGGGGTGTTGCAGGGACTGCTGCATTTCCTTACTAAGCCTTGAACTTTTAAATGTTTAACAATATCCTGTAATCCTTTATGAGCTTCAGGCCTTAAGGGATATTGCCTTTGATAAGGAAAAGTGGTGGGGTCTTTTAGTCTGATTTGGACTGGGTGGGAATTTTTGCCCTTCCAATTTGTCTTCCCAATGCCTAGACTTCAGGTTTGATTCCCTCCTCAAGTAAGGGACAACAAATGGGTAACTTGTACCCCATATTCATGTAGATAATAGCTCCAGCTTTGGCTAATATATGCCTCCCTAATAAGGTTGTGGGGCTTTCAGGCATGACAAGAAAGGCATGTGAAAAGAGCAAAGTCTCCCAATTACAACTGAGGAGGTGGGAGAAATACCTGGTTACAGGCTGTCCCAGGATTCCTCAGATGGTAACAGACCTTGAGAACAGTCATCCAGGACAGATTAACACTGAGAAGGCCACGCCAGTGCCCAGGAGGAAGTCAATTTCCTGGCTCTCAATGGTTAAATGTACCTGGGGCTCAGTGAGGGTGATGACATGAGCTGGCGCTTGCCCCAGACATCCTCAGTCCTGTTGTTGGATCATCTGGTTGGGGGCTCCTGGCCCAAAGAACCTTTTTACTCTGGAGCAGTGTGCCTTCCAGTGATTGCCTCAGCATAGTGGACATGGGAGAGGGGGCAGCTTGTTTCTCATTAAACAATCTTTTTTAAGGTGTCCTTGTAAACCACACTGATAACAAGCCTTACTGGGTGATTGGCCTGCTCCATTTTCTGTCCCTTCTGAACCACCAAGGTTTGTTTGTCTGAGGGCCATGACTAAGGCTGTGGCCTTTCTCTGATCTTGCTTTTCCTTTTGGGCCTGTTCCTGTTGGTCCCTATTATAGAACACTGAGGTTGCCTGGTTTAATAATGCCTCCAGATTTTGTTCAGGGCCCAGGGCTCGCTTTTGGAGCTTTCTTCTGTTATCTGCAGCTGATTGGGTAATAAACTTATCTTTTAGAATCAACTGACCCTTGAGTGAGTCATGTGACAGGGGAGTATATTTTCTTAAGGCCTCCAGTAGCTGCTCGAGGAAGGCAGAAGGATTTTCTTCCTTTCCCTGAGTTATGGTAGACATCATTGAATAATTCATGGTCTTTTTCCTAATTCTCCTTAGTCCTTCTAGAACACAGGTCAACAGATGTTTGCAACTCCAGTCCCCATGATCTGAGTCGAGGTCCCAGTGGGGATCCATAATGGGGATGGCTTGCTGACCGGTAGGGAATTTGTCCCTTTCTTCAGCTGTCATTCTATCATTTACTTGACTAAGATACCAGGTATCTCCAAACTCTCGGGCTGCAGCTAAAGCCTCATTCTTTTCATTAAAGGCCAGGGTTTGACCTAACAATAGCATGACATCTCTCCAAATGATATTGAAGGTTTGCCCTAGACCCTGTAGGACATCTATATACCTATCAAGATCAACTGAAAACTTCCCCAGGTCTGCCTTCATCTGCTTTAAATCAGAGAGGGAGAAGGGGACATGTACCGGGGTTAGGCGAAATTCCCCTCCCCCTACAGCTTGAAGGGGACATAACCGATAGCCTGGGGGGTTTTGTGGTCCTTTGGAGATTTCTTTGCTTACTTCCTTCTGGGCAAGGGAGATTAGAGGAGGCTTATCATTAACAGGAAGGGGAGCTATATAGGGAGGCTAGGATATGGGGGTAAGCTGAGAGGTCCTCCTGTGGGATGTAAATTGCAAGCTTGGTGTAGTTTTGTATTCTTCAATGAAAAGAAAGCTTGGACATAAGGTTTTCACTCTATTGCCTTCCCTCTTACAGAAAACGTCAAGCTGCAGGATAGTATTATAATTTATACTTCCCTCAGGTGGCCATTTTTCCCCATTAGAGAGAGAATATTGGGGCTAGGCCATAGTGCAGAAAAAAAGAGCCACCTCTTTTTCAGGGTTTGTGGGTCAAATTGGTCCCAATGACTGAGGATGCATTTCAAGGGTGAGCCTGTTGATGCCTGAGTGTTTCCCATCTGAAAGACAAAACCACCCATGGTTTTGGTTTGTTTGTTTCTCCCCCTGCCCAAGAACCTGCAACAGTCCCTGGACCCTGCTGATTGGAATAGTTGCACTCACTGACACAGCAGCAGAAATGCTAGTTTTCCTCCTAGACCACAAGGAGGACCAAGGATGGTAGGATTTAGAGGCCCCTACTGATGCATCCTTAAAAGCCTGCACCCTTTCCTGTCCTCCTAGACCACAAAGAGGATGAAGAAAAATTGGATTTAGTGGCTCTTATTGATGCATTCTCAAAAACCTGTTAGAGTCCTAAGCATTCTCCTGTTAGTATTGGGACTTTACTTGTGTCCTATACAGATGTTATGCCCCAAAAATGAAGTGGAGGGCCATATCCTGAGGGAGGGAAGGGATCTCCAGAGCTGGAAGAGATATGCCTTTTGTCCCCACTTATATGAATAGGAAGGATATAATTTCTGAGGCTCCCCATATCCTAGCTTCGGGAATAGCTTTTATTAGGCCTGCTTATCTGAGGAGGGATCCTTAAATTCCAGCTAGTCCCCCCTACAATGAGGCTTTGGGCAAAAATTATATCTTTCTGATTGGTGAGCCCAGGTGCCTAAAGAAGGTAACAGAGTCCTGAAGTTTATACTAGAAATCATTCTTACAGGAGAAACTAGAAGAGCACCAGAGACAGGGAGTGGTTTTTAGAAGCAGGACTATCCTTGAAGAAGAGAGGCAAGAGGAAGTTTGTCTGACAGGCATTAGGACCCAGGAGGCAAGGGTCAGGATAGATAGGATAGATGGGCAAGTCTCGCTTGGGTGACATGACTTTGAGAGTTCTGCTCATGGCTGCAAGGTCAACCAACATCTTGTTGGGACCCTGGAGCTGAATGGCTTTCCTCTCTGCTGACCCTCAGCTCAGTCGAGAAGTACAGGAAAAGTGGAAGTTCGTTCCAGGCAAACCAACGCTCCCAACTCTGAAGAGTCGGGGGTTGTTAGAGAGCCCTTTCCCAGAAAGCCTGAAACCTGTGTCTTTAGTCCAGTGGCCATGCTAGTTGCTTTTAACTGGCTGACAGGTGTTCAGTATTTAACCCCCGAATTCTAAGGAAAAATAGGGCAGAATAGCAAGCAAAAGTGGTCCGATGGTACTCACTGCTTGGCGATATGTGATAGTCCCTTTGTGGTTGCCAAAATGTGTCTGGAATTGACTCCTTCCAGTGGGTTCTTGGTCTCGCTGCCTTCAAGAATGAAGCTGCGGACCCTAGCAGTGAGTGTTACAGTTCTTAAAGATGGTGTGTTTGTAGTTTGTTCCTTCAGATGTTCAGATGTGTCTGGAGTTTCTTCCTTTCAGTGGGTTTGTGTTCTTACTGACTTCAGGAGTGAAGCTGCAGACCTTCGTAGTGAGTGTTACAGTTCATAAAGGTAGTGTGGACCCAAAGAGTGAGCAGCAGCAAGATTTATTGTGATGAGCAAAAGAACAAAGCTTCCACAGCGTGGAAGGGGACCTGAGCAGGTTGTCGCTGCTGGCTCGGGTGGCCAGCTTTTACTCCCTTCTTTGGCCCTGCCCACCTCCTGCTGATTGTCCATTTTACAGAGCATTGATTGATCCATTTTACAGAGTGCTGATTGGTCCATTTTAACAGAGTGCTGACTGGTGCATTTACAAACCTTTAGCTAGACAAAGAGCGCTTATCAGTGTGTTTTTACAGAGTGCTTATTGGTGCATTTACAAACCCTTAGCTAGACACAGAGCACTTATTGGTGCATTTTTACAGAGTGCCGATTGGTGCATTTACAAACCTTTAGCTAGACACAGAATGCTGATTGGTGCATTTTTACAGAGTGCTGATTGATGGGTTTACAAATCTTTAGCTAGACACAGAGCACTGACTGGTGTGTTTACAATCCTTTAGCTAGACTGAAAAGTTCTCCAAGTCCTCACCCAACCCAGAAGCCCAGCTGGCTTCACCTCTCATCATTAAATATCATTAAATAGGAGGTATTATGTAGAGTCCTTGGAAAAATCTTACCAGACTAATAATAGAATCTGAAACCACCTTAATGAGCTTAAAAGTAAATCTTGAAAAAAGTAAAAGTTAGCCATTAGGAGCTTAACTTCATGCAGGAAAAACAGTCTAACACCTTTCAAAGGAATACATTAATGTTCAGCAGTCAGCAACACAAATTTGCAATACCCAGCATTCAATGAACTGTTATGTCTAACAGAGAAGCAAAAAAGTGTGACTCATACACAAAAAATAGAATTTTTTCATAAATGACAAAAATGGTAGAATAGATGAAGACTTTCAAACAACTATCATAAATATTATACATATGCTCAATATTTTAAAAATATGAACATGGGCTGGGTGCAGTGGCTCACACCTGTAATCCCGGCACTTTGAGAGGCCAAGGCAGGTGGATCACCTGAGGTTGGGAGTTCAAGACCAGCCTGACCAACATGGAGAAGCCCTGTCTCTACTAAAAATACAAAATTAGCTGGGCGTGGTGGTGCATGCCTGTATTCCCAGCTACTTGGGAGGCTGAGGCAGGAGAATTGCTTGAACCCAGGAGGTAGAGGTTGTCGTGAGCCAAGATCATGCCATTGCACTCCAGCCTGGGCAAGAAAAGCAAAACTCCATCTCAAAAAAAAAAAAAACCTCTCTCTCTCTCTCTCTCTCTCTCTCTATATATATATATATATATATGAATGTGATCATGAGATAAATGGAAAAAAATCCATCAAATGGAACCTCTAGTGATTAGAAAATAAAACATTTAAAATAACTAAGGAAGATTAACAACATATTAGAAACTGTGGAAAAAATATACGGGAACTTGAAGACATGGCCATAAAAATGACCCAAAATGAAACACACAGAGAGGAAAAGAAACAATAAAAGAATGACCTAATGCTGTGTCTTAGTCTGTTGTGTGCTATAACAGAATACCAATCACCAGGTAATTTATGAAGGAAAAAAGGTATTTTTCACTGTTTTGGAGGCTGGGAAGTCCAAGATGGTGGGGCCTGCATCTTGCTAGGGGCTTCATGCTGTCATAATATGGTGGAATGCATCTCATGGCTAGAGAAAGAGCAAGAGAGAGCCAAACTTACTTTTATTACAAAACCACTCTCACAATAACAAACCCACTCACATGGGATGATGATATTAATTTATTTATGAGGGCAGATCCCTCACGACCTAATTACCTATTAAACTCAACACTGTTGCATAAGTTTTCAACATGTGAACTTTGGGGAACAAATTCAAATCATCGCAGTCATTAACCTCTAGGATAACATCAAGTAATCAAACTTGAGTAATTGGAGTCCTTGAGGCAGGGGAGGGGAAACAGGAAACATATTTGATGCAATACTGGCTGAAAATTTCCCAGCATTTGAACTGCAAACTCCACATTCCAGAACCTCAGTGAGTTCCAAGAAGAATAACCACAGAGAAAAATTTTCACCTTGGCCTATCATAATCCAATTGCTGAAAACAAGTGATAGGAAAATGTTAAAATAAGTCAAAAATGAAAATTCACCTTGCTTCCAAAATTGCAAATATAAGAATGACAGTAAATTTCTGTTTAGAAATCATGAATGCCAGAGATGGGAAAAGACAACTATATGAAATCTTAATGACTAAAAGGAAAATAACTGCCAATCTAAAATTTCACATTGCAGCCAAAGGCATCTCTTTTAAAAAGTGCACCAAAACATTTACTTTTAGGCTTGCGGGCCATATAATCTCTATTGCAACTATTCAACTCTGTCATCATAATATTTAAAAAGCCACAGACAATACAGAAATAAATGAATGTGGCTGTGTTAACAAAAAAATACAAATAGTAGCCAAGATTTGGTCCGTGAGATGCAGTTCCCCAATTTTTCAATTATAAAACAGATATTATCAAATTGAATTAAGAAAAGCAAGACAAAATTGCATGTTGTCTACAAAAAAAACCCTATTTTAAATATAAAGGCAGAGAAAGAATGAAAGTAAAAAGATGGAAAAATATACACCATGCAAACAAAAATAATGAGCAGAGGTGGCTACATTAATGGCACACAAAGTGAAATTAAAGACAAGAATATTTCAAGAAGTACTTCTGCAATAATAAAGGGATAAATTTATCAAGCAGCCATAACAATGCAAAATGTGCATGCAACTAATAACAAAGCTCCAACATGCAAGAAATGAAAACAAACAGAACTGAAAAGAGAAATAGACAAATTCACAATTATACTTAGAGATTAATTCCCACATTCTCTCCCTGGAATTAATAGAAAAAATAGAAAAAAATAACCAAATATGTAGAACATTTGAAAAACATTATCGGCCAGGTGGAGTGGCTCATGGCTGTAAGCCCAGCATTTTGGGAGGCTAAGGCATGTGGATCACTTGAGGTCAGGAGTTTGAGACCAGCCTGGCCAACATGGTGAAACCCCGCCTTTACTAAAAATACAAAAATTAGCTGGGCATGGTGGCAGGGGCCTGTAATCCCAGCTACTCAGGAGGTTGAGGTAGGAGGATCGCTTGAATCTGGGAGGTGGAGGTGGCAGTGAGCCGAGATCACACCACTGCTCTGTCTGGGTGACAGAGCGAGATTCCATCTCAAAAAAAAAAAAAAAAAGGAAAACATTACCAACCAACTTAAACTAAGTGGCATGGAATGAATTAACAATAAGACATTGCATGAATTCAAAAATAAACTTCTTTCTCAGTGAATAAGAGAACATATACCATGAAAGACCACATTATGTGCCAAAAAGAAAGATTCAATATGTTTAAAAGGATTCAAATCTTACTAAGTATGTTTTCTGACTGCAATATATGAAAAAACTCAAAATATTTTAAAGAATATTTAAAAATCACACAATTCTAAATAAACTACAGCTTGAAATAGAAATCACCAGGAAATCTGGCAACCATTTTAACTGAATAAAACTGAATATACAAGATAGCAAAATTTGAGGCATGTAGGTAAAATAGTCCTTGAAAGAAATTTAGTTTTAAATGCTTATATTAGAAAAAAAAATGCCTCAAATAAATGATCAAGATGTAGTCTTAAAAAAATAGGAAAAGAAGAGCAAAACGAAGTGAGCACAAGAAAGAAAATAGTGACAAATAAAAAGTAATAAACTAGAATGTGCTCAATAGAAAAAAAATAGTGAAACCAAAAGTTGTTTCTTCATCATGGACTTGATAAATGTTTAGCCAAATTAATTAGGGGAAAAAAAAGCAAGAAGATGCAGAATTGCCAATATCAGAAAATGGAGAAGGGACATTATTTCATATCTTACAGATAGCAAAAAAAGATAATATATATCATAAAATGTTATGCTAATAAATGTGACAACGTAAATGTGACACCAAAAGCCACAAATTAACAAAGCCAATTCAAAAGAAAAAGATTATTTGAATAACCACTTAATAAATAAATTAAAATCAGTTCAAAATGTCAGATAGAAAACTCCAGACCCAGGTGGCTTTATGAATGAATTCCCACATTTATGGAAGAGATAATACCAATTCTACAAAAAATCCTGACAGAAAATTATGTTAAATGGAAAATAATGGTGTGTTTTTTGTTCCCTTTGACTAATAAATTATGAATAATGTAAACGATGTTGAGGTTAAGGTGTGACTACTTTTGGCCCATGTGATACTTAATGAGAATAGGAAAAGGCACCCACTGCAAAGAACAACCATATATGGCTTCAGCATAAACAGCCCTGGAGAAAGCTTTTTTTTTTTTTTTTTTTTTTTTTTGAAATAAACTCTTTCTCTGTTGCCCAGACTGGAGTGCAGTGGCGCAATCAGCTCACTGCAACCTACGCCTCCCCAGTTCAAGAGATTCTCCTGCCTCAGCCTCCTGAGTAGCCGGGATTACAGGTGACTGCCACCACGCCTGGCTAATTTTTTGTATTTTTAGTAGAGATGGGGTTCCACCATGTTAGCCAGGCTGGTCTGGAAATCCTGACCTCAGGTGATCCACCCACCTAGGCCTTCCAAAGTGCTAGGATTGCAGGCGTGAGCCACCGCACCCGGCTGAAAGCATTTTTTAAATGGATAATTTGTCCAATGGACTTTCCACAAATTCCGTGTTCACACTATTAATAGGAACAAGGTTATTTGTATTGAATGTTGCAATACAACAGACAGACAAATTCTCAGACAGACAAATTCTGTCTGAGACTCTGTACAAAGTTCTAACAGTATTGTACAGTTGTAGAGTTGTAAAGTTGTAACAGAGTTGTACAGTCCTATACTGTTGAAAAGTCTGTACAGGAAGCTCCAACAGATGCAGCATTAGCATTTTCTCTGAAACTTATGATAATATGTTATTTGCACTTTTTAAAACTTTTTGTAACAAATTTTTTGTAATAGCTTCTTCCATGATTTCATAATTTAGCCAGTATTCATCAAATGATGTGTCAAGATCAACTATAGAACTCAAAAATCAGAAAGAAGTGTTTGAAGCATCAGTACAATGGAACAAAATAGAAAACCTTAATAATGTATGTAAACTAAGGTTTACAATCACCACAGTGGTAAAGCAAATGTTAAACATTTTTGTCTGTGAATATCAACTTTTCCATGCTGGGTCAAAAGTTTAGGATCATTTTCAATTTGTCTACCTGTGAGGTGCTCATCATATAATTTTGAAATACAGACAAGTAATGCTAATCTCTGAATTTCAAGAGTTAGGAATTTTTATTAATTTTTGTCAATAATTCATACTTTCAAAATTCTTGCCAAACTTCTTCTTTAATGTATGGGCAATATAGTTTGAGACATTCATTGAATTGCTGGGTAGATTCAAATCATACATAGTATAATACTTTGTGGTTTCAGAATCTCCATTACAAAACAAAACTGCCCATCATCTTTTAAAAGAGGTCCTTACAGACTGCATAATGAAAACGTTTACATTTGTATATTTGCTGAAAATAAGTTAAAACACTGTCCATAATATATCATTTCTTTTTAGTAAGCTTCTCACTATAGTGTTTGCTCTTAAACATGCTTTTGTTTATTTACTTATTTTTATTTTATTTTATTTTTTGAGACAGAATCTCAGGGTCGCCCAGGCTGGAGTGCAGTGGCAAGCTGTTGGCTCACTGCAACTTCTGCCTCCCAGGTTCAAGTGATTCTCCTGCCTCAGCCTCCCCAGTAGCTGGGATTACAGGTGCCCACCATCACACCTGGTTAATTTTTGCATTTTTAGTAGAAATGGGGTTTCCCCATGTTGGCCAGGCTGGTCTTGAACTCCTGACCTCAAGTGATCCACCCACCTTGGCCTCCCAATGTGTTGGGATTACAGGCGTGAGTCACCCCGTCCAGACTTAAAAATGCTTTTGAACTGCATAAGTGGTTGAGCACTCGTCTTGCCATGCTCTAAGAGATACACTAAAGATACACTGATTTGATGACTAAATCCAAAGTAGGCTGGGCATGGTGGCGGGCACCTGTAATCCCAGCTACTTGGGAGGCTGAGGCAGGAGAATCACTTGAACCCAGGAGGCAGAGGTTGCAGTGAGCTGAGATCACTCCATTGTTCTCCAGCCTGGGCAATAAGAGCAAAACTCCATCTCAAAAAAACAAATCTCACCATTAACAAATAAAATCCGCCGGGTTGTGGGGGCCTATAATCTTAACACTCTGGGAGGCCAAGGTCGGAGGACAGCTTGAGGCCAGGAATTCAAGATCAGCCTATTCAACGTGGTGAGACCCCATCTTTATTTAAAACAAAACAGGCTGGGCGCGGTGGCTCACGCCTGTAATCCCAGCACTTTGGGAGGCCGAGGCGGGCGGATCATCTGAGGTTGGGAGTTCGAGACCAGCCTGACCAACATGGAGAAACCCTGTCTCTATTAAAAATGCAAAATTAGCCGGGCATGGAGGTGCAGGACTGTAATCCCACCTACTCAGGAGGCTGAGGCAGGAGAATTGCTTGAACCCGGGAGGCGGAGCTTGCAGTGAGCCGAGATCACGCCACTGCACTCCAGCCTGGGTGACACAGCAAGATTCCGTCTCAAATAAATAAATAAATAAAATAAAATAAAATAGAATAAAATAAAACAAAAAATAAATAAACACAGATAACTATACAATGTTCATATTTGCTGCACCAAAATAAAAATACTCATGCATAAACAAGAAAACATTTGGGTTCATTGCTGATGCTCTGTAACAAATTGGTCCCCCACTCATCAGGTGTGGCTAGAATAAAATAATACCACGCTTGTATTCCTCAAAAAAAACTACTTTTCTGAATCTTTTTCTAAATGGTAAAATCCCATGACCTGTGAAGATCAAATCCAGCCAGACATCAGGTACAATGGGGTTTCATTCTGCTCTAAGAAAAAAAATGGGGCTGCTAAGGAGCATGTTAGCTTCAATGTAGTCAGAATCCACAAGATGGCGCTTGAGTCTAAAGAACAGGTCTTAGTGTCCTTGTGTCCTTCAAACCAGGCCTCCAAAAATCTTTCCTACTGGGACAGTGCATTTTTAGCACTTCATTACTATTAAGCTCTATTTATCTCAATTAAATTAGAAAAAAAAATCTGGATATTTTGCAGCATCTATCTTGGGATAGATTCCCACCAAATTTATGAGAGATTTTTAGGTTTATGAAGAAAAAAAAAAACCAAGATGATATTCATCATCAGGGATTTCGGAAATGCTTAACGTAAGTCCTTACTCTTTCATGACACACCTTCCTATCAGTACTTTTGTTCCTCAACTCTTATATCGGATAATTCCAAATCCTAATGGACCCTTCACTGTTCTCAGAGTTCTCACCCAAAGAACTGCTTTCAAGTATTTTTGACACTGGAGATACGTGCTTCAGAGTGATCAAAACTACTCATTGTACATTGGGAAGATTGGGGTGATCAGGGTGGTTCTGTAATACATTTCCCAAGGAAGGAAGGGAGGAGCAGGCATGAGTCTCTTTTACAGGGTCTCAGGAGTCAGAGACAGTGATCAGGTAGCACTAGATCTTCAAAAACATTGAGGATGGTAGCTACATTAACCATTTCTGGAAGCTCTACTTAATTAATCATGGGGTTCACTTGGAACCATTATGTTGAATATTATCCTCCCTATCACAAAGGATATCACAGTCTGACTTCACTTTGAGTTTATAAGCAGCTTAATGTTTTTACCTCCAGCCTTAAATAGCCTGACGATTTCAATCTGTAGTCTTTTATTAGCTTTCTATGTATTGCTATCACGACTGCAATTTAAAAGATACATTTTTACATATATTTATAGACATGGCTAAGGATATAGGCATAGATATATGTATAATAAATAAATTCATATTATCCACTTCAAATTTGAAACCATGTAATTTTCCTTCTGACCAAGGCTCGTTCAGACAAGTGGGACAAGATCCATTTGCAGCTATGTTCCTGTGACCCATTTCACCAGGTAAAGTTTGTGTCTGTAAGCCACTCCATGTTATGTGCTCTCTCAAATTCACAGAGAGGATTTGGGAGCATTATTGGGCTCTCAGAATTTTTAGTTTTTTGAAAAGGAAAGGTTTAAGGGGCAAGTTTTATTTGGTCTGTGGTTTCCATCAAGACTTGGATTGTCCAAGCTCATGCAAAATCTCTGTGGCTGATAAAATTCTTTAGCCTCAGGATCAGACTATTTTCCTAACAAGTCCTGGGTAAAATTGTTTTACTCTCCTCTGAACTGATAACAGGTAAGGGATTATGACATATTAGTGAGGTTACTGAGTGCCCCAACACTTGATGGTCACTGGTATACCAAATGTTCTACAAAAAATAAATAGGGTATTGTTTTAAAACTCACTCCCCTAAATTAATAGGAATGATAGACTAGGTAGATTTCCATGCTTTCCTACTCCCTGGTGGTTCAAAAACTCCTGAATTAGTCATGTGGCAAAACTGAAGATTATTATGCCCTACTTGCCATCTGGCATGTTAAACTTACATAAGTTCTCTAAGTTATTAATATTTATAAAAATATTTTGCATAATTTGACCTGCTAAACAATAGGAGACTCTTCCCCAGACAATACCAGCAATAATCTATTCCTTCATTTAGAAAAGTGCATATATGCAAATGACTGTGGCTATTATTAATTGTCGTTTAACAAGGTATATAGGCCTCTTTTTCATTAGCCAGCACAGCTGCCCCCAGAGAGAATTTTACTTACCTGTTTGCACAGGTAAGTTACTTATTTGCACAGGTAATTATTTTCATAGTTACTTATTTGCACAAGTGACTTATCTATTTGCACAGGTAAGTTAAGTTTATAAAAATGAATTGAGATCTACGTTATACTAGGTGTACTTTTCTGTATGCATATTTTACTCTAAGAAAAAACATAGTGTGGAGATGTGGAAATGTTTAAAAAATGCTGGGGAGAATAATTGTATATGATCAATTTGAAAGGTGATTCTGAAACATCTGGTATAGCTTAAGATATTCATACCAAAACCCAGGAATTCCCCTTTTTTGGAAGTAAACCGTAAGAGTTTTATTCATACATTTTGACCACAGCCCTCATAAGTAAAAATATCTTACGTGGGCCCCAGTACATGCCCATACACATTTGCACATTAGTAAATCAAAAGCTCTATTAAATTATAGTTACCTTTGTATGTCTGGTACACCTTGAAATTTTGTATTGTATTCTATTCCATTGAGCTCTTCAAAAAGATGTTTGTCTCAATATACTGTAGGAATTTTATTATTTATTAATGGGTCTCAACCATCTGTAATCATCCAGTGGGTTCACCTTGTCCACTGCCTAGACAGAGCCGATTTCTCAAGACAGGGGAATTACAATAGACGAAGAGTAATTCACGCAGAGCCAGCTGTGCAGGAGACCAGAATTTTGTTATTACTCAAATCTCCATTTAAAAAAAAAATTTGTTATTACTCCAAATTTTGTTATTACTCAAGTCTCCCAGAGCATTCTGGGAGCAGAGTTTTTAAGGACAACTTGGTGGGTGAGGGGAAGCCAAGAAGCCAGGAGTGCTGATTGGTCAGGGATGAAATCATAGGGAGTTGGAGCTGTCTTCTTGCCCTTATTTGGTTCCTGGGTGGGGGCCACAAGATCAGATGAGTGATCTGGGTGGTGCCAGCTGATCCATCAAGCGCAGGGTCTGCAAAATATCTCAAGCACTGATCTTAGGAGCAGTTTAGGGAGGGTCAGAATCTGGTAGCTCCAGTTGCATGACTCCTAAACCATAATTTCTAATCTTATGGCTAATGTTAGTCCTACAAAGGCAGTCTAGTTCTCAAGCAAGAAGGAGGTCTGCCTTGGGAAAGGGCCGTTATAGTCTTTGCTTTTTTTGTGTTTTTGTTTTTGCTTTTTTGTTTTTTGTTTTGTTTGTTTGTTTGTTTTGAGACAGAGTCGCACTCTGTCACCCAGGCTGGAGTGCAGTGGTGCAACCTTGGCTCACTGCAACCTCTGCCTCCCGGGTTCAAGCGATTCTCCTGCCTCAGCCTCCTGAGTAGCTGAGATTACAGGCATGCACCATCGTGCCTGGCTAATTTTTTTATTTTTAGTAGAGACGGGGTTTCACTATATTGGCCAGGCTGGTCTCAAACTCCTGACCTCAAGTGATCCACCCGCCTAGGCCTCCCAAAGCGCTGGGATTACAGGCGTGAGCAACCACACCCGGACTCGTCTTTGTTTTAAACTATAAAGTATATACTAAGTTTCTCCCACAGTTAGTTCATCCTACTCCCAGGAATGAACAAGGACAGCTTGGAGGTTAGAAGCAAGATGGAGTCAGTTAAGTTAGATCTCTTTCACTGTGTCAGTCATAATTTTGCAAAGGTGATTCACCTCTAGTTGGACAAAATTCATGGTTTGGAAAACATTGCTGTAAACATGTGTATATTTACTTCAGCATTATTAATAGGAACAAAAAAGTAGAACCACATAAATGTTTGAATATAGATATAATATATTCATGCAATGAAATAAATTCAAAAATAAAAATGAATGCTTTGGAGTTACATTCATTAACTTGAAACATAATACTGAATGAAAAATATACCCAGAGAATATATATTTGAAATCTGTAAAACAATACTATATAGTTTTTATAGATTCATATCTGCAGTAGCAAGAGAATAAAATTATGTATGGGAATAAGACATTGAAATCACAATAATGCTTTCTTTTATGGAGCAAGGGAGATGCATGGGGCTTCAGTTGTGATTGTAATGATTTGTCTCTAATAGATCTGCAGTGTTCTGAAAGTGTGTAATGTTTCATGTCTTAAAAATATATCTGAAGCCATATGACATTCTATTTTTGCTATTCTATATTGTTCTTTTTGCTAATTTGAAACTATTCATAATTTGGAAAAGAATAATAAAATGTGGCCAGGCACAGTGGCTCATGCCTGTAATCCCAGCACCTGGGGAGGCCAAGGTGGGTGGATGGCTTGAGCCCAGGAGTTGGAGACCAGCCTGGGCAGCATGGCAAAGGCCCATCTCTACAAGAAATAGAAAAATTAGCCAGGCATGGTGGCATGTGCCTGTAGTCCCAGCTACTCAGGAGGCTGAGGCAGAAGAATAGCTTCAGCCCAGGAGGCAGAGGTGGCAGTGAGCCAAGATTGCGCCACTGCACTTCAGCCTGGGCTACAGGAGTGAAACCCTCTCTCAAATAAAATAAAATAAAATAAAATAAAATAATAAAATAAAATAAAATAAAATAATAAAATAAAATAAAATAAAATAAATAAAATGTCCTGATTAAATGGGTACCAGAAATATCATGAGCATTAAGAATTACCATAAAGCTTCGGAACATGGTTCTAGACAAGTTGTTTTTTGTTTTGTTTTGTTTTTGTCATTGTTGTTTTGTTGTTGTTGTTGTTGTATTTTTTGACAGAATCTCACTCTGTTGCCCAGGCTGGAGTGCAGTGGCATGGTCTCGGCTCACCACAACCTCCGCCTCCCAGGTTCAAGCGATTCTCCTGCCTCAGCCTACCGAGTACCTAGGATTACAGGCGCCCGCCACCACACTCAGCTAATTTTGTTTTTTTATTAGAGACTTGGTTTCTTCCTGTTGGTCAGGCTGGTCTCAAACTCCCAACCTCAGGTGATCTGCCCACCTTGGCCTCCCAACATGCTGGGATTACAGGCATGAGCCATTGTGCCAAGCTGAAAACAACTTTTTGTTGGTTTAGTAATATCCATCCCATCCGCCATCGGTGCATTCCAGGAGGGATTTATTTGTTCTCATTTATGGGAATTAATGCAAGCATGGACTCATATAGTAAAAAGTGCTAAGGAATCATAACCCACAACCATGATTCTCACTCAGCTTGTTCTTCAGAAAGGCAACAATCAAGAAGAGAAGGGAATTTGCTAGCATCCGTGGGATGAGAATGGGGAGGAATTATTTGTTCCAGCAACACAGTCTCATCTGGCCCTACCTAAATTTAATCTCAAGAAGTTTCTTATTACTAGATCCTCTTTTACAGATAAGGATAAAAGGATTAGAATGTCTCAGTCCCAGGAAAATATAAGGGAAAAAACATTTAGAAGTTTTAACTTGGCTGGGTGTGGTGGCTCATGCTTGTAATCCCAGCACTTTGGGAGGCTGAGGCAGATGGATCACCTGAGGTCAGGAGTTCGAGACCAGCCTGGCCAACATGGTGAAACCCCTTTATTACTAAGAATACAAAAATTAGCCAGGTGTGGTGTGGGTGCCCTACTAAAAATAAAAATTAAAAAAAAAATTAGCTGAGTGTGGTGGTGGGTACCTGTAATCCCAGCTACTCGGGAGCCTGAGGCAAGAGAATCACTTGAACCGGGTAGGCAGAGGTTGCAGTGAGCTGAGATCATGCCATTGCACTCAGCCTGGGCAACAAAAGCCAAACTCTGTCTCAAAAAAAAAAAAAAAAAGTTTTAACTTTATTAACACTGCTGGTGGAGAAATCCTGGTAAACACTTTCTTAATTAAAATATATATATATGGATACATAATAGTTGTACATATTTGTGGGGCACCTGTGATATTTGGATACAAGCATACAATGTGTAATGATCACAACTGGCTAATTGGGATATCCATCACCTCAAACATTGATCATTTCTGAGTTTTCAGAGTGAACATCACAAATCTACTCTTCTAGTTATTTTGAAATATACTATAAATTAATTGTTAACTATAATTGTCCTACTGTGCTACTAAATCCTAGATCTCATTCCTTTTCTTTTCTTTTTTTTTTTTTTTTTGAGATGGAGTCTCACTCTGTCACCCAGGCTGGAGTGCAGTGGCGCGATCTCGGCTCACTGTAACCTCTGTCTCCCAGGTTCAAGCGATTCTCCTGTCTCAGCCTCCCAAGTAGCTGGGACTACAGGGGCCTGCCACCATGCCCCCCTAATTTTTTGTATTTTTAGTAGAGGCAGGACTTCACCATGTTGGCCAGGCTAGTCTCAAACTCTAAATCTCGTTTCTTATATCTAATTGTATTTTGGGCCCCTTTAACCATCCCCTTTGTCCCCACTCCCCACTATCCTTCACAGCTTCTGGGAATCATTATTCTATTCACTACCTCCATCATAGAAATTTTTCTCAGTCCCATATGTGAGTGAGAACATGTGACATTTGTCTTTTTTTTTTTCTTGGCTTATTTCACTCAACATAATGTCATCCAGTTACATCCATGTTGTTGCCAAAGACAAGATTTTATTCTTCTTATGAGGGAATAATAGTCCATTGTGCATATACACCACATTTTCTTTTTTTTTTTTACACCACATTTCTTCTATCCATTCATCTATTGATGGATACTTAGGTTGATTCGTATCTTAGTTATTGTGAACAGTGCTGCAATAAATATAAAAGTGCAGATATTTCGTCAATACGCTGATGTCTTTTCTTTTGAATATATATCCAGTAGTGGAATTGCTAGATCATATAGTAGTTCTAATGTTAGTATTTTGAGGAACCCCCATATTGCTTTCCACAGTTGCTGTACTAATTTACATCCGCACCAACAGCGCAGGAACACTCCCGTCTCCACATTCTCTCCAGCTTTTATTATTTTCTATCTTTTTTAAATAGCCATTTTAACTGGGGTGAGATGGCTGACTGTGGTTTTGATTTGTATTTTCCGGGTGACTAGTGATACTGAACGTTTTTTCATTTACCGGTTGGCTATGTGTATATCTTCTTTTGAAGTGTGTCTATTCCGATACTTTGCCCATTTTTAATGATTTTTTTTTTACTATTGTCTTATTTGAGCTCCTTATACATTCTAGTTATTAGTCCCTTGTCAGTTGTATAGTTTGCAAGTATTTTCTCCCATTCTGTAAGTTGTCTCTTCACTTTATTGTTGTTTCCTTTGCTGTGCAGATTTTTTTTTTTTTTTTTTTTTTTTTTTTTTTTTTTTTGATAGTCTCACTCCCTCACCCAAGCTGGAGTGCAGTGGCATGATCTCGGCTCACTGCAACCTCCGTCTCCCGGGTTCAAGCAAGTCTCCTGCATCAGCCCCCCTAGTAGCTGGGATTACAGGGGTACGCTATCATGCCCAGCTAATTTTTGTATTTTTAGTAGAGACGGGGTTTCAGCATGTTGGCCAGGCTGGTCTCAAAATCCTGGCCTGAGTTGATCCGCCCGCCTCGGCTTCCCAAAGTGCCGGGATTACAGGCATGAGCCACTGCACCCAACCTTGATTTTCATTTTAAAATTAATTTTTCTCTTTAGTGTTAGATTGGATAATTTCTACTAATTTGTATTCAAGTATACTGTCTCTCTCCTCTGTCATTTTCATTCTGATACTGAGCCAATAAAGTACATTTTCACTTAGAAGTATTGTATTTATTTTGTACTCTATATTGTAATTTTGCATTTGGTTTAATTTCTTTGATGTTAATGTCTTTTTATTACTTTTAAAGCATATTCCCATTTACCTAATGGAAGATGGTTATAAAGTGTATAATATTCTCAGGATTGATACCTATTGATTGCATTTTTCCTTGAATTTAGGTCAGATTTTCATGGTTCTCCAAATGCCATGTTAATATTGGATTATATCTTTAGCTTTTTTTTTTTTTTTTTTTTTTTTTGAGATGGAGTTTCGCTCTTGTTGCCCAGGCTGGAGTGCAATGGTGCGATCTCAGCTCACCGCAACCTCTGCCGCCTGGGTTCAAGTGATTCTCTTGCCTCAGCCTCCCAAGTAGCTAGGATTATAGCCATGCGCCACCATGTACGGCAAATTTTATATTTTTAGTAGAGATGGGGTTTCTCCATGTTGGTCAGACCTGTCTTGAGTTTCTGACCTCAGGTGATCAGCCCGCCTCGGCCTCCTAAATTGCTGGGATTACAGGCGTGAGCCATGGCGCCGAGCCTATCTTTAGCATTTTTAATACTACTATCCTTCTAAAATTTTCTAGTGAATGCTGATTTTTAGAATTTGCTTTAGCAGGCAATCAGGCTATTTAGGTTCAGACCACAGTTATTAGCCAAAAGCCTGAGAAGCAATCAGACCACAGTTCTGTCTTGTCCTCTATGGACAGTAATTTACAGTGAGTTCAGCTTTCAAAGCTTTTTCTATGCTATTTGGGTCATGGACCAGGCAGACCCAAATAGCATAGAAGCACTCAAGGTTTAGTCTGAGATTTGAGCAGTCATTTATGTCATAGTTCTCTTCTTGAAATATAGACTACTCTTCTTTGAGTCTGTTCTGTTTACACACAATTTAGAATAAAGCCCAAAACTTATATTAGGTCATAGTAGAATTAGGGGATGCCATTTTTTAGTGCTCTCCTGTTTTTTTATTTCTCCCACATGCTTGAATGCCCTGGGGCCCTTTTTCCAGTTTCTTTGTTCAGAAAGATGTGATAATTCAGAGCTTTAGCCTTCTGCACTGATGTGCGATCATGCACAACCAGAGTCAGCTTTAGAGTAAAGTGTTGATATAAGACAGAGGGAAATACTGGGCATTCTTCCCACATTCTTCAGACATTTGTCCTAGTTCCTTCTCCTAGTCCCTCTGACCAAGAGTCCTTCTCCTAGTCCCTCTGACCAAGAGTCCTTCTTTCGGGGCCTTAGGTACCTGTGCCACCACCTGTGTGGCAGAGCAATGCCACAGCTATGGACTGGCTTCACAGTGGAGCCAGGAGAGAAAGGAGATGAAAAAGAAAAATAGAGATCTCCTCCCATATCTAATATGCAAGAATAACTTTTTCCAGTCATTTGGCTAGAAAGAAGACCTTTTTACTCAGTACCTATTGCACTCTTCTAGGATTTAGACCAGTTTGAGGTCATAATCAGGAAAGAAGGGAGAAAAAAAATTTGCAAACCTCAACCTCCTATGTGTTACTATTCAAATTTTGACTTTAATCCTTAAATCCACCTGATATTGTTTACTTTAAAATTTACCAGTAGTTTACCTTTGTATTTTGTCCAGAGAATCTAATTGTGATCAATGGGAAAATAGACTGTAGTCAGTTAACTCCATCTTTGCTGCAACATGCAAATATTAAATAAAAAATAAATGAAAAGCAAAAAGTAAAGAATTGCCAGTGTATTGTTCTATCTGTGGAAGCCATCTTTTAAAAAGTCATATGAACTGTTCTATTTTAGAATAGTATCTTACAAAGATCTGTACAGAAGTGTTGAGCCTGAGAAATCAATTCCCCAAAATATAGCACCCTGGTATGATGACTATTTTATTTTATTATTTTATTTTATTTTATTTTATTTTATTTTAGTGAGACAGAGTTTCGCTCTTGTCTCCCAGGCTGGAGTGCAGTGGTGCAATCTTGGCTCACTGCAACCTCCACCTCCCGGGTTCAAGTGATTCTCCTGCCTCAGCCTCCTAAGTAGCTGGGATTACAGACACGCACCACCATGCCTGGCTAATTTTTGTATTTTTGTAGAGACAGGGTTTCACCAGGTTGGCAAGGCTGGTCTTGAACTCCTGACCTCAGGCGATCCTCCCGCCTCGGCCTCCGAAAGCACTGGGATTACAGGAGTGAGACACCTTGCCTGGCCCAATGATTATTTTAAATTAAAATAATTTAAAAGCCCTTGGTGACCAACATGCACTGGAGGTAACTGTTCTCTGGAGTTACTTTATCTGCCTAAAGTCTGGAACTACCAAAGAATAAAACAATGACCACTGGTCCTTTTTATGTGTTTGCATTAACTTAATTCATATCAAAGGAAGAAAGACACACCTGGACAGAGTTTTGTCACAAACCATCGCCTTCTATTTCAGTCTAATTCAGTATTTCAAAGAAAATCATTTCATAGCCATTGTCTGCTCTGCAGGCTCAACAGACCTTGTTACAGGCCTTTTTGAGTTCTCCAAGTCCATTCATTTCCCCTAAAAAATCATTTTATATACCCCAAATTGTCACATTTACCCCACTTCTTCCCTATGAAAAGTGGTATATAGGCATCTCTACCCCCATCGGGTTATTGGGTAATCCTTCTCCTACAATCCCCCTATGCTATGCACATTAACATAAAATTTGCATGCCTTTTCTCCTATTAATCTGCTTTGTCATTTGATTTTCAATGAACCTTCAGAGGGCAAAAGGAAAGTTTTCCCTCAGCTCCAACAGTTTTGGCCCAGTGAACAGGACAACCAAAACTGCTCTGCTCTTCCGAAAATTGCAGTCAGGGAACCTGGGACCCGGCAAGCCAGCAGAAGGGTAAGAAATTCTTTCCAGTCAGAATCTTGGTCTGTGTTTGTCTTTGGAATCTGGATGAGCGGATAGTAAAAAAACCATGTTTGTCTCTCTTTCCATATGTAACATTAACAGGAGAAAATCATTTTTGACTGGTCTTGGGTGTAGCAACTCTGGTGTATTTTATTGTATAGATATTCATATTGTCTTATCTTTTTTCTCCCAGAAATAGATTTTGTTTCTCCATTGTCTTTGTCTTTATGTGTTGTTTTGTCATAAAGATGGGTGTCATAGGATAGAACATGGGTCTAAAGTCTCTATAAGCCCCTTGTCTGAGCTGGCCCCCGAGAGACTGGTGATGTTTACAGTTTCATCAGACCTATGTACAATTGTACGTGCTGTGAGTCCCCGAAATAAAAACTGGATGAGGGTCCCCTTATATCTTGTTTTGTGTTTGTGAGAACTTGACTTGTTTGTTACTGGTGGGAGCACTCGCTCTTGTTTTTCACCATCTGGGGAGTATGATTTTCGGGACATAACTGGTGGCCAGTCTGAAAGGGCCAGAACCCTAGACACCTAAGATATTAAGCAGCACACTCTTAGGTCTGAATATGCCAGACTCTCAGGGGACTTTGTCCTATCTATAAAGGACCTTTGTTGTCTCAACACATGCTACCTGGTTAGTTCTGGAAAAGTCCAAACCCAGGAGGGTCTGCTGGTGCAACAGATTAAGGGGTCTGTGACTGGCACACCCCACAACTTTGTGGGATAGTGTGGCACTGCTGCACACACAGACAGCACCCTGCGCCATCTGTGGTAATGAGTCTTTTGCTACCTTAGCCTATTTCTGAGAGTGAATTTTTGAGGAATCATGAGGGCTACATCAACTGAACCGATTTTTAAAATGCCACTTAACATTCATAGTATTGTAAACTTGGAAAGTTACCTCTGGGACTTTGCATGAAAAAAGCTGATTGGCTTCAGTTGCTTTGCAATAAAGAAACTGGCTATATTTAAGTGAAAACTTTTTAGAGGGCTCTTGCCTTAATCAGCTGTTATTGGTACTTATATAAGAAACAAAAGAAATGTAGCCTTAGAAACTCCTTTGGCAAGATTTCAAAAAGGCAGAAAGCAGATTGTAAATGTACTTAAAATCTTTTTGCTTCAAACTGCCTGCTTTGGGGTTCCCGCTGAACCTACAAAAAGATACCCCAGCTTGTAGTGTAGGGGCTAGGATTCTACTCTTCACTGCTGTGATCTGGGATTGGATTCTCATTCAGGAAATCAGACCCTTAGAGATCTAGATCTTTGCAACTCAGGAGAAAAAGAAAAATGTACAACAATTAGCTTGAATTATTTGTTTTGAATTTATGTTTGTGTGACTCTCGACTGTTTGGAGAGTTACATTACCATTTGATATTGATCTTTTTCCCTTTTATGGACCATTTTTACTTTTCTGTTATTGAAGTCTCTTTAGGGGCTGGCTCCAGATCTTGTGAGGACTTCCTCTTCATGCCACTTTGAGGTGCCTCATATCTGTCCTTTGTTACCTCATAAAGGATTTACTGGCTTTGGTTCTGAGTCACTCAGTAGATACCTTTGGTTAGAAAGGAGAAATAAAAGTTCAAAAACAAGGAATACTGGTTTTTTGTCCCAGCTGAAATCTGATAATAATAAATTCCAATTTTTAAAAAAAGAACTCTAAGGTCAGAAAACAGCTTAACTAAAAGCTGATATTCAGGCTATAATTTTTACTTTATTTTTTTAATTTATTATTATTATTATTATTTTGAGACAAAGTCTCACTCTGTATCCCAGGCTGGAGTGCAGTAGCATGATCTCGGCTCACTGCAACCTCTGCCTCCCAGGTTCAAGTGATTCTCCTGCCTCAGCTTCCCGAGTAGCTGAGATTACAGGCACCCACCACCATGTCAAGCTAATTTTTGTAGTTTTAGTAGAGATAAGGTTTTGCCATGTTGGCCAGGCCGGTCTCAAACTCCTGACCCAGGTGATCCACCCACCTCAGCCTTCCAAAGTGCTGGGATTACAGGCGTGAGCCACCTTGCCCGGCCGTACTTTGTTTTATTTTTCACAAAGACTTTTCCCTTTTGGATCTTCTTTCTACCCTGTGTTGGTTTTTGTTTTGTTTTGTTTTGGGCTTTTTTGTTTTTCCAGTCAACTGAAGCTCTTTTTAAAAATTATACATTTGGTCCTTTTTTTTGCTTCCTTTCTTATTAGAATTATTTTTACTGAGAAAAAAAAGTAAAATTTCATTGGTCTTTTTGGAAAAGCTTAAAATATTCCCGATGGGCTTCTCTAAGAGTTGTTTTCCCATTTACTTCTACTTCACCTTTCTTTTGCCACCTTTAATATTACATTAAGGGGTCTAACCAGGACTTTGACTCTCATGAGGGGACCCTGTGACCCTTTGAAGAACACACAAAAAAAGTGCCACTGGCCTCTTGGGGCGGGGGGATGTTCCCTGTCTCCATTACAGAGCTCCAAGAGGTATGGGCAGGTTCCTCTCAGGTCTAAAGATTTGCCCTCTGTTGTGTTAAGCCCCCTGATGTCTGGCTTTTGGATACATATCTGTGTGTTCTGTATTTTATGTCTACACATATTTATATTTCTATACATATGCTTGTATATTGTCTAATGGTAATAAATTGACTTGAAAATAAAAACACATATAAATTAAGTAAATAGGTTCAATGCTTTTCAAATTCATATGACCTTAAGAATCTTTGCTAAATAAAACTTTTAAAATTATTGGTAAAATAAAATAAAAATTTCTTCAGAATTTAATTTATACATTTTTGCCTGGGGCTACTGCTCAGGCAGGTTTGGACTGTCTCTGCTAAATGTAGTAAGGTCATAAAACTATCTCTTCTATGATATTTTTGGTACTTCTTTGATTTGTCTGTGAGCTAAAGCTACTACAGCTGGTGGCTGGGCTCCCCCAATGCCTTGCACACATCTTACTGTGAGCCTATGTTTTTGCTTTTGAGTTTCTAGGTCTTGGAGCCTAGAAAGATTGCCATGATGAAGCCTGAAGATATATGTGTGTCCACAGCACCTGGGCTACCAGCTGCAGGGCAGAGTCAAGCTCAGTAGGGCCCTATCCTCCCACATCCAGCTCTTCCTCTTGGTCATGCTGGGAGGGGTCAGATCCTCCAGACATCATCTTCATAGTTCTGTCCTCTGTCCCGGGCTTTACACTTGGTGTGTAAATCCAGGACCCAGGTGGACCCTCCTTTTCATAACCATCGTGGGTGCCCATGGGCATTTGGATCCAGGACAACCTGGAGGATAGAGTATTGGGGAGGATACCTGTGCCCAGTATCTTAAAGGCCTTGCTCAAGATGAAATTGGCTGATTTAGGGTTGACATGGTTTAGCTGGGAAAAAAACAAAAAACAAAAAAACAGGCCAGGCACAATGGCTCACGCCTGTAATCCCAGCACCTTGAGAGGCCAAGGCGGGTGGATCACAAGGTCAGGAGTTCGAGACCAGCCTGGCCAATATGGTGAAACCCCATCTCAACTAAAAATACAAAAATTAGCTGGGCACGGTGGCGGGTGCCTGTAGTCTCAGCTACTCGGGAGGCTGAGGCAGGAGAATGGCGTGAACCCGGGAGGCAGAGCTTGCAGTGAGCCAAGACTGCGCCACTGCACTCCAGCCTGGGCGACAGCGCAAGACTGCATAAAAACAACAACAGCAACAAAAAAAACCCAAACAAACAAAAAGCTTAAGCTTAAATGGCTACTATTGTTTTTCATGAGGAATTCAGACATAATTGTTGATGAGTCAATTAGGTAAATACAAATAGAGTAAATGTTTACAAATAAATTTATCATAGTTTCAAAAATCTTTTTGGTAATTGACACTCTTAAAGTCTTAAAGTCATGTTATATTAAATTAAGTAATAGTTAATAGTGAAATATCTGAGTTATTTCTAAGTTAAAATACTGACACATCAATTATTAAGCATAAGTTTAAGTTTGAATACTCTGATACCTTATTTTGATGTGATATAGAAAAGATAAATATATTTGAATCTCTTGATAAACATGAAAAATTGAGGAAATATTTTTAAGAATTATAAAATGGTTTTCATTTACAAATACTGATATGAAAGAGTTCCCTTAGATTTTCACTAAAAATTAAGATACTAAGAGTTAAATTATAATTAATATATGTAATTAAAACCACTAAAAATAAGGTAAACAATTTTGTATGCAAAGTGTATACAAAAAAAGGCAAGATACGTTTTTGGTGAGAACGCTTATAAGGAAGTCATGAGTATGTGGTTTGGTTAAAGGAAAAGTAATTTTGTCTAGTTTAGAGGTTACTTAAAAGTTGTTTCAGACCAGGCACAGTGGCTCATATCTGTAATCCCAACACTTCGGGAGGCCAAAGTGGGAGGATTTCTTGAGGCCAGCTTGGGCAACAGAGGGAGACCCTGTCTCTACAAAAAAAAAAAAAAAAATTTTAATTAGCTAGGTGTGGTGGTGCACACCTGTGGTCTCAGCTACTGTGGAGGCTGAGGGCTGAGATGGGAGGATCACTTGAGCCGGGGAGGTCAAGGCTGCTGTGAGCCATGATCAGGCCATTGCACTCCAGCCTGAGTGACAAGACCCTGTCTCTAAAAAATAAAAATAAATAAAAAATAAATAAAGATTGCTTCAGACTAAGTGAATGGAGAAAAAAAATGATATAGGTAAAACTAAATGGATATAAAGACTTTTAAAAAGTAGAAGAGTAGGAAAAAATTATAATAGGTTATAGAAGGTTTATGAAAAGTTTATCTTGTGTGCAAAGCTGACTGATATCAGAGAAATTTGTTTACACGTCATTAAAATTAGCTTTAGTATTTAAAGTACACAAAGACAAAGCTAGTGGTTGATTTTCTCTTTTAAATAATATTTTTGCATAGGATTAATAAAAAGAAAAGATTTTTGTACATGTTCTGAGTAAAATGCAAAAAAACAAAAAAAAAGCAAGAGAGAGAAACAGATTTTGTGTGCCTCATGTCTTGTCATGCTTCTTCAGAAGGTGTTTTGATTATTTGCAAAACCGAGTCTCTTATCAATCAAACAGCAAAGGTTTTTGCTTTTTGAAATCTTCTAATTATCACTTTGGCTAAATGAATGACTATTATTTTTTCATTGGACCTATGATCCTATTTTGATCAAGTATTTGAAACCTTTAATGTATTTGAGAGGCTTCTCACAATTATATTTCAAAATCTAAAATTAAGTATTTTTGACCTCAAACTAACTTTGAGATATTCCAAAAAGCTGCTGAAGCTTCCAAAAGAAATAATAAACAGGCTTATTTGATATGTTCATTATGTAAAAAGATTTTCAAATAAGAAATAATATTTAAGGCCGGGCGCGGTGGCTCACGCCTGTAATCCCAGAACTTTGGGAGGCCGAGGCGGGCGGATCACGAGGTCAGGAGATCGAGACCATCCCGGCTAAAACGGTGAAACCCCGTCTCTACTAAAAATACAAAAAATTAGCCGGGTGTAGTGGCGCGCGCCTGTAGTCCCAGCTACTTGGGAGGCTGAGGCAGGAGAATGGCGTGAACCCGGGAGGCGGAGCTTGCAGTGAGCCGAGATCCCGCCACTGCACTCCAGCCAGGGCGACAGAGCGAGACTCCGTCTCAAAAAAAAAAAAAAAAAAAAAAAAAAAAAAAAAAAAAGAAATAATATTTAACCTTTTCAAAATTATATTTGTATTGTCATGTTATTAGTATTTGCTCCAAAATTATATGAGATTCCTAAAAATTGGATTTGTTTTGTTATATGTTATTAGTCATAATTATGAGTATTATGTTAAATTGTTGTAGGTCATAAAAGGAGAAAATGACCTAGTTTTCTTGTTAATTCCATCTTTAACCACGGCCATTTTTAGTCTTGCTCACAATTAATTTTTTTATGCTGATCCTTTTTTTCTGAAAGCTCTTTGCAAATCCTAAAGTGTTGTGTCTTCAAGAAAGCTCATGGAAAGGACTGCAACAAGTACTCTTGGCTGGGCACAGTGGCTCATGCCTGTAATCCCAACACTTTGGGAGGCAGAGGTGGGTGGATCACCTGAGGTCAGGTGTTCGAGACCAGCCTGACCAACATAGTGAAACCCTGTCTCTGCTAAAATAAAAAAATTAGGCCAGCATGGTGGCAGGTGCCTGTAATCTCAGCTACTCAGGAGGCTGAGGCAGGAGAATCACTTGAACCCAGGAGGTGGAGGTTGCAGTGAGCCGAGATCATGCCATTGCACTCCAGCCTGGCCAAGAGCAAAATTCCATCTCAAAAACAAACAAACAAACAAACAAAAACAAAAAACAAACAAAACAAAAAACAAGTACTCTTGAATACAAGTTTCTTATAATTTTAAGATTGTATTATAGCACTGAGTAAACAATTTCAGAACTCTAATTTTTAAAAAGTCATAAAATTGTTAACTCAACATCAAGCAAAACAACTAATTACATTGGACTAATGTAATTTTAATAACTTTTTTGTTTAAAATATTGCTGATTCTTTTTATGTTTTGCTTTACAGAGTTAAGGAAAATGTTTGTTCTGTTAAGCTTTACAGAAATGGGTAAAGTATACTTTTTTGAACAAAATTGAAACATTCACTTTTCTCTCTACCTGATTGATCCTGAATTTGGAAACTATGAGTATTTCTATTTTATGGCAAAATAGTTATTTGAATCAGTTCATTAAGAATCTGTTCCCTTTTGCCACAGAACACAGTTGGAGACTCTGGTTATTTTACCAAGGCTTTGACTGAAATGCCATATTTTCAGATGTGACCAGACAGCTTTAAGAAACTGAGGTTGATATTATGAAGCCCATAGGAGCTTTTGGAAAAACTGGTCTAATATCCTAAATACACGGTTCACATAATGGGCTTGTGGTAAGTAAGAATGTCACTTTCTGACATCCCAGGAACCTCAAGTTAATTGGGGGACCTTGAGAAAAGAGAAATTCACTAATTTGTACAGGTATTACTGACACAATCTAAGAGCAAATCCAATCCTTGACTTGGCTTTCTAGCCTGAAGAGGTTTCTAAAAGTTTAATCTGAGATTCCTTACGAAAAGTTCCAGCAAAGTGAACTTAAAAGGAGCCTGTGTTACAAATTGATATTCTTACTGCACTTTATGCAAATAATCAGGCCAAGTACAATAAGACGAAAACTTAATATGCAAATAAAATGGCTTTGCTTTTATTTATCTTTGGTAGAAATGGGGGACTGAAGAGAGAAAAATCATGTTTCAGGAAAGAAAAAAAAACTATAATTAGATTCCAGTTCATTGTTTGTTTTTTCTTTCTTTCTCAGATTTTTTTATTTGCCTGTAATCTAAACTAAATCTTAAATTGTTAGTCCTATCAAAATCTGTCTTTGAATCTCCAGGCAAGCATTTTCAATTTTCCTCCTACATTTCTGACTTGGAATCACTAAACGTTAAAATTCCCTTTTTCCTAAGACTCTACAAGCTGATACTAGCTAACTTGGCTTTGAAGAAAAATCACTGCAACATTTTATAAATGGACAAACTTTGCACACAAGCTACAATCCAGGAAAATCTGTCAGATTGCTACTGATATTCTCAGCTGTCCTGCAGACTTTAGAAGAAACTAGTTTGTAAACTACTCCAAAGATTAACCTTTGTTTTTCTTCCAATTCTGTAAAAAATGGCTCTTACTGTAGATCTTTTTGTCTGCATTATATATAGAGTCATAGCTTTAAGATCCCATCTACAAAGCCATCTCCTGATATAAGACAAAACTGGCCTTTTCCCAGAAGTGAGAAGACTAATTAGACTGGCCTTTTCCCAGAAGTGAGAAGACTGGTTTAATGAGATCCTTTGCCATTCAGCTACTAACTCAGTTTTTCTCTCTACAACTACCAACTCAACTTTTTGTGTATGAAACATTAGAAAAGTTTCAAACAGGGGAATTACTGGGGCTCAGAAAAGGACACCCAAAAATATGGCACTCTGATATGCTGGTTACTTCAAATTAAAGGCTCCCGGAAGCCAGTAGACACTGGAAGAAGTTGTTCCCCGAAGTTCTCTTACCTGCCTTAAGTCCAGATCTGCCAAAGAAGAAAACAATTACCTCTGGTCCCTTTTCTGTGTTTTCATTAACTTAACTCATGTTACAGGAAGAATGACTAAAGTTTGTCAACACACCTGGACAGACTTTTGTCACACATCATTGTCTTCTATTTCAGTCCAATTCAGTATTTTATTTTACTTATTTATTTTATTTTATTTTATTTTATTTTATTTTATTTTATTTTATTTTATTTTATTTTATTTATTTTTGAGACGGAGTCGCCTTCTGTCGCACAGGCTGGAGTGCAGTGGCACAATCTCGGCTCACTGCAACCTCCACCTCCCTGGTTCAAGCGATTCTCCTGCCTCAGCCTCCCGAGTAGCTGTGATTACAGGCACATACCACCATGCCCAGCTAATTTTTTTGTTATTTTTAGTAGAGACGGGGTTTCACCTTGGCCACACTGGTCTCGAGCTCCTGACCTCAGGCAGTCCACCCGCCTCAGCCTCCCAAAATGCTGGGATTACAGGCGTGAGCCACCGCGGCTGGCGCCTGGTTATTTTTTAGTGATTTTTAGACATCTATAAAAACAATATCAGTACTTTGAGGTCTAAGATGATGTTTTCTTCCTTAAGGGAGTATTTAATTTTGTTTTATTTTGGCAACTAAGGGCCTTAATTAGCAAAATCTGAATCACGTTAATTCCCTTTCAGAGATATCATGAAAGTTTCCTCATAAGCCAATTATAAAAGTAAAATTAGTTACTACAAGCAAAGTTTTTAGAAAATTCCTGACTCTAGTAAGTGCCCAGAAAAATTTGAATGTAATTGATTTGCATGAAAAATGCTGTAAAACATAATAACATAAACGTTAATGGTGAATTCAGTGATGTTGGTATTTCCATGACTTTTTTCATTCTCCTTACATGCTGTAAATTATTTTTTAAATGAAAATTCTTTTATTAAAAAAAGCTACATTTTATAAATTAGTATAA
Organism: Homo sapiens; assembly: GCF_000001405.40. Taxonomy (NCBI): domain Eukaryota; kingdom Metazoa; phylum Chordata; class Mammalia; order Primates; family Hominidae; genus Homo; species Homo sapiens. The sequence goes on from NC_000008.11 coordinate 39,911,490, forward strand.
CATAATGGTAAAGAGAAATGTGAATGTATTAGAAAAGATGCTCCATTGAGAGGAGACACATTTGTATTTATCATGACCTTGAATGAAGGTCCCTCTGCAGATCCTATCATAATAGTCCTTGTGTCAGTGAAGTCCCCTGTGAAACTGGATAACAGGATTTTAAGGTAGAGATGTTCCTCAGGCAGATGGAAATGTAGTCTATAGCTGTGAAGATAAGTCAGGCAATGAAATAATTATAGAGAAAAAATAATGTAAGCTATCAAAGACAGATGTATACAAGGGAGACAGAGTCACATAAAGTCTCAGATGTAGGAGGCCATAGAGCAAAACGCTGAGTTCTGGCTTTCAGGAGTTTTCTAACATAACAACCTGATCACCAGTTAAAAGCTAAGGAGAAAGATGAAGAATCAGTATGAGATCATAAAATTATGATGCTCTTCTAAAAATATGCGAAATGAGGTTTTTAGGGAGGTGTAGGTATGGCTGAAGAAAATCAAGGTGAATGAAGACAAGATCAATTGAGAATGTAGTTTCAGAAATAGCAAAGAAGCCAAAGTTTGAGGAAGTTAAGTGGCTAGGGATAACATTGAGGCACTAAAGCATTATTGGTTCTGCAGTCAAGGGTAGGATAGATTGTTTTTTTTTTTTTTGAGACGGAGTCTCACTCTGCTGCCCAGGCTGGAGTGCAATGGTGCAATCTTGGCTCACTGCAACCTCTGCCTCTCGGGCTCAAGCAATTCTCCTGCCTCAGCCTCCCGAGTAGCTGGGATTACAGGCACATGCCACCATGCCCAGCTAATTTTTGTATTTTCAATAGAGACTGGGTTTCACCATGTTGCCCAGGCTGGTCTTCAACTCCTGACCTCAAGTGATCCGCCCTCCTCAGCTTCCCAAAGTGCTGGGATTACAGGCGTGAGCCACCACACCGGGGGGTAGGATAGATTTAGTGAGATGACTGGATAAACGGAATCAAGAAAAAGCTTTGTCAAAAACTTATGCTTCTTAAAAACTTAATCCTGGGACAGAATCATCTAAAACGTTGTTCCATGTCTTCACTTTGACTCACCCATAAAAACTTCAAGTACAAAGAATGAAAAATAACCACATATTTTCTAATGCTCAATATTTTATTTGTAGTGTTGTTTTCTATATAGATATGATAGGTCTTCATGATTTTTTGTTTGTTTTCCTTGAACTGATTCCCAAAGTATTAGCCTCATGAATCATGTAGTCATAAGAAACACAGTCATTGTATTCTCTTTGCTGTATAATTTTGGTTTCAGTTTTCCTTACATTTCCTATTCAAGGAACATTTTCCTGTAAAATGACAGGTTGAAGAAAACAGCCATAATTTAGTAGAGAATAGCGCGAGAGCTATTCTAGACTGTAACGAAAGCCATATGCTATCACAATTTAATTTATTTCAAGTACTAATAAGCTGATGACAAAACAGCGATGTCTTTTAGTTTACTCACACGAACTATTTCTCTTTTCTCCTTTTGATCATCTAGAGGAACGGGCAACTTGGTTTCTTCTTTAGCTTCCTTGTTCTCATTAAGATTGAACAATGCCTCTAAAGTGAACCACAGACTTGCATGCAAGCTGAAAACCTTTACCAAATGCAGTCTTAATTTGTACTTTGAGAAAAACATTTTCAAGGTATTTTATCCTTTTCTCCAACTTTTGACATATTACAAAGTACCCAAATATGCCAGACTGTTGCCTCATCAGCCCCCCGCAGTCAGGTACAGTTAGATGCAAGGCAATCTTCCTAAAAGTTACTTATTAGAGATGTGAGAAGGGCAAATGCTATCATTGGAAAAACTGACAAAAGTCCCAATAGGAAAAATAAGGAAGTGGAGAGTTACTATGTTTCTAATTTTTCATGTGCTTCTATTTTTTTCCTACTTCAGAGCCATTGACTAATAGTTGAGTATAACACAGGTTGTGTTTCCGGGCTGCTGAAACATGACACTAATATTTTCAAAGAACTGTGGAAGCCTAAAAGGAAGCCAATGAGAAATAACTAAATGAGAGTTTAGGACTGCAGCCTTCATTTTCATTCAAAGATTTAAAAGTTTCCATAAAGTAAAATGTTCTTCTCCGGCCACCTGTTTTCATAGTTCTGTGTTTTCCTTCAGGCCTTTCTGGCTTCCTATATGGCAGTAAGAAAATGATGTGCTTAATGATTACAAATTTCATATGGAATACGAACTTTCAGTTTGTACATATGATGCACAGAGATGCTTTTGTGGTTTTATTGGTTTTCATATTACAAACAAAGAAACTAGAAAATGAAACCATTCCAAAAGTGGAAGTAATTTCTCACTGCCCCTGTGATAAACTGTGGTCACTGGCTGTGGCAGCAACTATTATAAGATGCTCTGAAAACTCTTCAGACACTGAGGGGCACCAGAGGAGCAGACTACAAGAATGGCACACGCTATGGAAAACTCCTGGACAATCAGTAAAGAGTACCATATTGATGAAGAAGTGGGCTTTGCTCTGCCAAATCCACAGGTAAGAGAAGGCAGTAAAATGTGGGAAAATGCATTCTTCTTCTCATTCCTTACCTGGCCAAGTTAACTTCTACTGAACAACTGTGGTTCAGTAACTTCTAGTAAACAAACACATAAAGCTGTGTAAAAATTAGAGAGCTGTAATAACTGCATCTCACTTAATTTGTCTTACATTTTCTCCCTAGAAATGGAGTCATCTATGCATTTCTTACTTACCTAACATGGATACGGAGAGTGGTGAGAAAGGAAACTATAGAAAGTGTATCAGCTTTACATAAGAATTATATAGTAAAATACAAACAATGAGGTTATTACAGTTGTATTTTGAGAAAAGGTGTTTTGCAAAAGCCAGAGTTTTAAATGAGCCATGAGTCAAACAGAAATCCCTTTCTCTTAGGGATATAACTTAAATTATGCAAAACATGTGTTTCTAATTTGATGGGGTTTATGAGATTGCACATCAAGCACCTTCCATGTTATATTATCATTGCTTGTTATTTACTGAGCGTAAGATTCAAGTGAGAGTCTGAACTACCTTTTTTCTTGTTTGCAAGTCTTACCTATAAAGTACAAGGTATGTGGAAAAAAGGTTTGCCTTAAAAACTACATTTTCTAGTCTGTCTTCTAACGAATGCTATGTAAACCAATTTATCATCAATATTTTAATTATCAAATACAGCATTTTTCTAAGCAATTTACAAATTAACCCTTTCCATTCTCATAGCCATCCCAAAAGTTATGTATGTTATTTATTTATTATTATTATTATTATTTTGAGATGGAGTCTCGCTCTGTCACCTGGGCTGGAGTGCAGTGGCACGATCTCAGCTCACTGCAACCTCTGCCTCCTAGGTTCAAGCGATTCTCCTGCCTCAGCCTCCCAAGTAGCTGGGATTATAGGCACCTGCCACCACACCCAGCTACTTTTTTGTATTTTTAGTAGAGACGGGGTTTCACCATGTTGGCCAGGCTGGTCTCGAACTCCTGACCTCAGGTGATCCACCGATCTTGGCCTCCCAAAGTGCTAGGATTACAGGCGTGAGCCACTGCACCCGGCCAGAAACGTATGTTATTATCCTCATGTTCCTAATGAGAAGTATAAGGCATGCAGAATGTAATTATCAAACTATGTAGCTAGCAAGTGCCAGAGGCCAGTATGAGCCTAAGCAGCCTGTCTCCAGAGTCTATGATCTTAAAACCATTATTCCACACTGCCTCTCTTAAGAAGGGATAATAAGACATTGCTTATTTTCTTTCTTTCAATCTTCAGTTTAACAAGGTACATGGGATTCCAGGAGAAGATTTCTATGAACATGTTATAATAATTCTGTAGACGAGTGTATTTTTGTTTGTAGCTCAAACAGTTACAGTCCACATACTAGAGAGCACCTTTAAACACAGCAAATGTTTAGTCAGAGATTTCAACCTAACTGTGCTTAGAAATGAAATCCTGTAAACAATTTGGTGATACTGGCAAATTTAAAGCATCTACCTCCTTCCAATCTAATTTTCCTCTTCAGATTGTTAATTAAAGAAAATGAAAAGTATACTTTAATTTTATTGCCAAAAGCACTAGTTTGCTTTATTCATGCAAAACAATAATACTCAAACTTGCTATTTGCCCGCAGATCTACAAAAATGCTGGGACTGGATGATTTCAAGGATGTACTTATCAATGGTACAATAAAACCATCTTTTTCAGAAACTACTAAACTTTGTATCATGGGTTTTGTTTCTCAGATATTCGATTCTCCTTAAAAATGCAACAACTGTGATAATTATGAATACCTGTAGAACAGATTCCAAGGAGTAAAGCAAAACCCCAAAAGAAAACAAACGAAACTCTTCCTTAGCTACTTAAAAAAAAGATTCTCGGCTGGGGACGGGTGGCTCACGCCTGTAATCCCAGCACTTTGGGAGACGGAGGCGGGTGGATCATGAGGTCAGGAGTTCGAGACCAGCCTGGCCAATGTGGTGAAACCCCGTCTCTACTAAAAAAATACAAAAATTCGCAGGGCATAGTGGCATACACCTGTAATCCTCGCTACTCAGGAGGCTGAGGCAGGAGAATCGCTTGAACCTGGGAGTCGGAGGTTGCAGTGAGCTGAGATCACGCCACCGCACTCCAGCCTGGGTGACAGAGCGAGACTCCATCTCAGGAAATAATAATAATAATAGTAATTCTGACAAGGTGCAGTGGCTTACACCTGTAATCCCAGCACTTTGGGAGGCTAAGGTGGGTGGATCACTTGAGGTCAGGAGTTTGAGACCAGCCTGGCCAACATGGTGAAACCCCTGACTCTACTAAAAATGCAAAAAAAAATTACCCAGCATGTTGGTGTGCCCGTAGTCCCAGCTACTTGAGAGGCTAAGACAGGAGAATTGTTTGAACCTGGGAGGCGGAGGTTACAGTGAACTGAGATTGCGCCACTGCACTCCAGCCTGGGTGACAGAGTGAGGCCCTGTCTGAAAACAATAACAATAATAACAATTCTGCTAGCTGAGATGCTGCAGAAGCTAGATTCACTGTCCCGGAAACATGAAAAAAAATTATTGGTTACTTTTATTTCTTCACTGAAGATCTTTCCTAGAAATTATGAACCAAAAAATGTCTGTTTTATCTCTCATAATCTATCTGCTTCTTAGTCCAAAGGAAAATAATATGTTTTCTGATTCCATATAGATAGATACAAGGCACAATCTCTAATCTAGCAGAATTTGAATGATCCTCAGTATGATTCATTTTTAATTTATATTATACCATTTAGGGATCCTCTGAACCAGAGCATATTACTGATTAAATTTTATACTTGTTGAAAGTGCTGTCAAATAAAATGATCATCATTGTGCAGAACAAAAAAGTATTCTGTTATTTGGAGAAAATCACAACAACCAAAAAAATAAGATGTACTAGATGGTGAAACATAGAATAAAAACAACAAAAATACATTTATTACATTTCTTTTGAAAGTTGGAAACTTCACAATAAACTCGATATACAAAAATCGTTATGTAAACTGTATAAGCCTGGGTTTCCTTATTTATGATACAGAGATAACTTCTTGGGCCATTACAATAATTAAATATGTATCTTTTATATATATGAAATTATCGAGCAGAGTGCCTAGTCCACTATTGACATTTAAAACATCTCATTTTCCTTCCATTCAAAGAACTTAAAATCTAGCCAAGATAAACCAAAGTAGGCCAGGCGCAGTGGCTCATGCCTGTAATCCCAGCACTTTGGGAGGCCGAGGCAGGCAGATCACCTGAGGTTAGGAGGTCGAGACCAACTTGGCCAACATGGCAAAACCCCATCTCTACTAAAAATACAAAAATTAGCCAGGCATGGTGGCTCATGCCTGTAATCCCAGCTACTTGGGAGGCTGAGGCAGGAGAATTGCTTGAACCCAGGAGACAGAAGTTGTAGTGAGCCAAGATTGCGCCACTGCACTCCAGCCTGGGCAACAGAGTGAGACTCCAATTCAAAAAAGAAAAGAAAAGAAAAACCAAAGCAGCAGATAATAATTGTTTAACAATTTGAAAAGGCATAATCCATAGAATTTATAGTGGAGGAGATTGGTTTCAAATAGAGTAGTCAGGAGGATTTTAGTGAAACCTTTGAGGTGAACTTTGAAAAGCTGCAAATGGCAGTGTTTGAAGAGAGAGGAAGAGGTGGAACACAGAGAGGGTCTTCAGCCCTGCGTGTGCAGATGACAAGACAGAGGCTGGTGTTTCCAGACAGGTAAGCCATATGCCAGGGCAACATTGCACAGAATGGATGTGAAGGCAAGGCATACTATCAGTGGGAAGCCAAATCTACAATAACTGCTACTACTAAATAAAGATCTTTTTTTTTTTTCAAGGAAAATCTACCTGATTTTTATAATGACTGGATGTTCATTGCTAAACATCTGCCTGATCTCATAGAGTCTGGCCAGCTTCGAGAAAGAGTTGAGAAGGTTTGACATATGTATTACATTTGTCTTCTTGTATAGCTTCTTAACATTGTTAACTTGGTTTTGAAGCATAAAACATTACTGAGATTGATTTGAGTCAATTGCTCCATTTGTTTTCAGTTAAACATGCTCAGCATTGATCATCTCACAGACCACAAGTCACAGCGCCTTGCACGTCTAGTTCTGGGATGCATCACCATGGCATATGTGTGGGGCAAAGGTCATGGAGATGTCCGTAAGGTTTGGAGATTTTCTCAGATTTCTTATGCTATGTGACAGATTTTCATCTAATTTACATTTAACTTTCCAAAAATTTTCTAAAAGCATTATAACTGCATCATGCAAAGTTTAGATAACACGACAAAATGATAAAGAAAATATGCCCTGGCTTGACATGTCCACTGTTATCATTATTATATTTTTAGTCTTTTACTTCATTTTTCATCCTGTATTTTATCTGGCAACCCTAATTACATAAAACTAATACAGACTGCAATATCTAACCTTTAAAACACACATGGGCCTCCCAGCACTTTGAGAGGCCAAGGCCGGAGGATCACCTGAGGTCAGGAGTTCAAGACCAACTTGGCTAACATAGTGAAACCCCATCTCTACTAAAAATACAAAAAATAGCCAGGCATGGTGGCAGGTGCCTATAATCCCAGCTACTCGGGAGGCTGAGGTGGGAGAATCACTTGAACCTGGGAGGCAGAGGTTGCAGTGAGCCGAGATCCTGCCACTGCGCTCCAGCCTGGGGGACAGGAGCAAGACTCCATCTCAAAAAAAAAAAAAAAAAAAAAAACAACAACAACAACAACAAAAAACCTAACTACTGTATTTTAATCAGGTCTTGCCAAGAAATATTGCTGTTCCTTACTGCCAACTCTCCAAGAAACTGGAACTGCCTCCTATTTTGGTTTATGCAGACTGTGTCTTGGCAAACTGGAAGAAAAAGGATCCTAATAAGTATGTAAACAGTGATAACAACAGGAATTTTTGGAGTGTGTGCCGATTAAATAAAACAGGGGTTGTTCATTGGCTTAATTTTGGGCAGCGCAGCTTTCCTCTCAGCTGGGTATGGTTCCTCTCAGTTCCTCGGCTGGGTACGGTTTCTTGGACTGCTGTGTCTACCACTACAAATGTACACATATGTGACAGGTGTATAGTTAACACAGTAAAATGCACAAATCTTAAGTGTTCAGCTTGAATTTAACTATTATATACATACATACACCCACCATTCTCAGTAAGATACAGAATTTTTTATCACCTCAGAAAATTTCTTTGTGCCTCTTTCAATTCCCTTTCCTGCCACAGACAAATATATTTTTATTTGCCTTATCAAAAATTAGATGATTTTTGTTATTGGGTTTCATATCAATGAAACCACAGAGTATAGACTCTTGTGTCTGGCTTCTTTTGATGAGCATGTCTTTGAGATTCTATTAATTTAATTTTTTAGCAGCCAATTGTGGTTAAGAGTCAACACATCTTTAATTACAGGCAGCAATGACTGGTTTCTCAGAGCAGTCTGCTCAGGATATAGGTGATTTTTACCCATTTAGGCATAAGATCTGCTACAATAAAGGAAAGGGAGAACCAAAGCCCACGTCTCTGGGTGTGTGCCTGTAGAAAAATATTCTGCAAATGGGAATATCATAAAATGAAAGGATTCAATCTAGAAAGTTTCTTCTTATTAAAAATTAGTTTTTTTAAAAAAAAATTCACCGGGAATGGTGGCGTATGTCTGTGGTCCCAGCTACACAGGGAGTTAAGGCAGGAGGATCACTTCAGCCCAAGAAGTTGAGGCTGCAGTGAGCCATGTTCGTGCCACTGCACACCAGCCTGGGTGACAGAATGAGACCCTGTCTCAAAAAAATAAAAATAAAACAACTAGTTTTGACTGTCCATGTGTGTTCCTTGCATATTTAATTATTTCATTCATTTGTAAGTTATTAAGTTAAATGTAATGCCTACTGAAGAAACATTTTAATAAGCTTTTTCTTTTTACCTATGTCTTACCTCTGATAGTAGCATTCAATCAAATAGCAACAACTCATCATTATTTGATGTTAAATTGGTTTTCTTTCTCTCTTCCAATTGGTCCATTGCTTCATGGCTGCTTTCATAAGGCCCCTGACTTATGAGTAAGTATCTGATTCTTGTTTGATTCTAAGAATTATTTGTTACTTATAGTTGAATGTAGGTTTATCAATAGACTCCAAATGCATTTTTAAATGATTAATTGAATTCAGCCAAAAAATAATTTAAGTGACTATTTAGAGAACAAATAATCTCAGTCTTTAATTGTATCTATGATTGTGTTACAACTATGTCTATCTGATATTATAGCTATAGATATATACAAGAATACTACTCAAATACATCTGTAGGAAATTAATATGCAAACATACAAAATGCACATACATCTGTGTATCTATGATTTAATAACTCCCATGTCCATAACTAGTTACCGGTGTCAATAAGTAACCATATACCAACTTGTTCTTTTTGACCCAATCCTTACTACTTTTGACCTATAATATATACTAAACATAGGCTAAGAGATGGAAAACCTGGGCTGGGTGCATGGCTCACGCCTGTAATCCCTGCACTTTGGGATGCCGAGGCAGGTGGATCACCTGAGGTCAGGAGTTCAAGACCAGCCTGGGCAACATGGTGAAACCTCGTCTCTACTAAAAATACAAAAAATTAGCCGGGCCTGGTGGCGGGCGCCTGTAATCTCAGCTACTCAGGAGGCTGAGGCAGGAGAATCAATTGAACCCAGGAGGTGGAGGTTGCAGTGAGCGGAAATCACGCCACTGCATTCCAGCCTGGGTGACAGAACAAGACTCCATCTCAAAAAAAAAAAAAAGATGGAAAAACTAAGGTAAATATCATCAGTATAAACCCACCTTGGTGAAGCTAGACTAATGAAGAGGAAAGGCAGTATATGAAAATTATGTAAATTGCGATATGATAAAGATAAGGCATAAGAAGTTAAAGTATTGGGATCCCTAACCAAATAAAAGGAGTGATGGGGGAACCCTTGAAGCAAGTTATTTGAGGAATTAGCTAGAGGAAAAAGGTAAGAGTATTCATAGCGGAAGAAACAGCAAAAGTGAGACCTTGAAGTGACAAACATCTTGGTGCGTTATCAAAGCTGAAGGATGGCTAATGTCACTGATAATAAGTGATAAAAATAACAGTGTGAGAAAAAGATTAATTTTTTTTTTTAAAGATCGCTGGGAAAAGTGGGTGAATCACCTGAGGTCAGGCATTCGAGACCAGCCTGGCCAACATAGTGAAAACCCTCCTCTTCTGAAAATGCAAAAATTAGCGGGGCATGGTGGCACATGCCTGTAATCTCAGCTACTCGGGAGACTGAAGCAGGAGAATAGCTTGAACCCAGGAGGCAGATGTGGCAGTGAGACGAGATTGTGCCATTGCACTCCAGCCTGGGCGACAGAGTAAGACCCCATCTCAAAAAATTAAAATAAAAATAAATAAAGATTATGTAGGATTTTATTAGCTATGATAAGGAGTTAAAACAGTATCTTAAGGGAGAAACTGGAAGGTTTTTAAAAACGAGGATGACATCAGCAGTCAGTCTCACTTTACAGATGAGAACACCAAGGCAGACGGTGTCATATCTTGCTCAAGGTCACACAGCAAGTAAGTTGCAGAGATGGTCTGGCTTCAGATACCATGAATTTAACCACCACAAAACTCATAGATATACAGATAGTAAGACTATGTTTGCACCAACGCCCAAACTTCAATTAAAAAGAAAAACAGGGTCTAATCAGTTATTTGAATTTCGCAGTCAATTCCTTTGTAAAGCATATAAACCACTGAGAAATTGAATTAGGCTCACAAATTAAAATGTGAATATGAATATAATTATTTAAACAAAAGACTACCTCTTAAAACTCTACCTCGCAGATATCCTGTGAGAAGTTGACGGGATAATAGAAACAGAACTAGTTTGGGAATTTCTAATTCTGAGTGTTTTTTGTTGTTGTTGTTTTGTTTTGTTTATTTGTTTTCTGAGACGAGTCTCGCTCTTGTCGCCCAGGCTGGAGTGCAATGGAGTGATCTTGGCTCACTGCAACCTCCGCCTCCTGTGTTCAAGTGATTCTCCTGCCTCAGCCTCCCGAGTAGCTGGGATTACAGGCGCCCATCACCATGCCCACCTAATTTTTGTATTCTTAGTAGAGACGGGGTTTCACCACATTGGCCAGGCTGGTCTCAAACTCCTGACCTCAGGTGATCCACCCGCCTTGGCCTCCTAAAGTGCCGGAATTACAGATACAGATGTGAACTACCATGCCCGGCCCTAGTTCTGAGTTCTAATATGAAACTTTAGGTCTCAGTTTAACCTACTTACTATTAATTATATGATCTTGGACAATGGGCCTAAAAAAGGAGTCTTAATATTCCCAACTACATAATGGAGATAGTAAGGCCTGCCACACCTCTCTCATAAAATTATGTTGAAACTAAAATAGCATAAATAAAAATGTCAAAAAATATCCCATAATTTTTGCTAAACTTCTTGCCTTCCTTATCCAATTTCCTCAGGAACATGGACGTTTTGTTCTCATTTCGTGATGGAGACTGCAGTAAAGGATTCTTCCTGGTCTCTCTATTGGTGGAAATAGCAGCTGCTTCTGCAATCAAAGTACGTCTATCCTCACTTCAAAATTTATATGTCAATTTACGTAAGCAGAGCAATCACTTCGGAGCCTAAACTATACTAAGCATGAGTTAACTTTATCCTTAACAAGTACAACATGGGATCATTTAATTGGGGGTAAAGGATCAATTATTTATTTTTGTGTATTACCTAAAATATAAAATCTCAGAGCCATATACTTAAAATCCAACTTGAAACCTCTGTAGGAGATAAAAATTTTCAATAAAATCTGGCTTTGGAACTATGATACAGTGTCATAAATTCAATAGTTTTGATTATCAAAAATAGAAATGAAACATATACAACTATATAAATATCTTTAAATTAAATGCTATGTGAATAAAAACAAATCCAAGCTTCTATAAATGTAAGGAAATTAGTCAAATAGAGTGTCCAGCCCAGGAAAGAAATGTAAAAATCCCAAATTTAATTTATGGATTAAGACGGGGGAATTTGGCAGGGCACAGTGGCTCACACCTGTAATCCCAGCACTTTGGGAGGCTGAAGTGGGCGGATCACTTGAAGTCAGGAGTTCGAGACCAGCCTGGCCAACATGGCGAAACCCCGTCTCTACTAAAAATATAAAAATTAGCCGGGCATGGTGGTGGGCACCTGTAGTCCCAGCTACTCAGGAGGCTGAGGCAGGAGAATGGCGTGAACCCGGGAGGCAGAGCTTGCAGTGAGCTGAGATCGCGCCACTGCACCCCAGCCTGGACAACTGAGCGAGACTCCGTCTCAAAAAAAAAAAAAAAAAAGAAAGAAAGAAAACCTTAAATGTTTGTGTTTTGTTTGTTTGTTTTAGGTAATTCCTACTGTATTCAAGGCAATGCAAATGCAAGAACGGGACACTTTGCTAAAGGCGCTGTTGGAAATAGCTTCTTGCTTGGAGAAAGCCCTTCAAGTGTTTCACCAAATCCACGGCAAGTGTTGTGTGCAGTGCAATAGTCTAGGCTGACAAGTCAAATGTTCCAGGTGTAGAATAGTTGAAAAAAGGGAAGCAAAAAGCAACTATCACTTAGTATGTTTTCACTTTAGGTATTTTATCTTACTAAACCATTCCACTTTCTATGTGGTAGGTTTCATTATCTCCATTTTATAAGTAAAGTCATCTAAATTCAGAAAGACAGGGTAAATGACTTCAGATTCCACAGGCGGTGAAGCCAGAGTTCCAAGCTGGGTCTATTTAACACTAAGGAACTTCCTTGCCTCCCGCTAAAAACCTTAGAGAAACTTTCCACATGGGAGGGTGGTTTTAAGTCCCGAAAAAAAAAAAATAGCTTCTGCTTGATAAGAACTCCTTCCTAATTCTGTTTTTTTACAAATTAAGAAACAATACAGAAAAGTCATTGAGGTCAAAAGTTGTTGCAAAATTAACAGCTAAAAAACTACCCACAAAAAAACACACAAAAAAGTGCATAAGCAGTAATTTGCAATAGGAAATCTGCCCTACTGAACAGACTCAACAAATACTTGATTGTTTCTCTCTGGGTTTTGAGTTATTGCTGTTTAGTCCTTGGCAAGAAGCTAGATTTTCAAATCAAGTAGGGTAGGAGACTGAGTGCGGTGGCTCATATGTGTAGTTTCCAGCTACTTGGGAGGCTGAGGTGGGAAGATTGCTTGAGCCCAGGAGTTGGGGCTGCAGTGAGCTATGATCAATACATTCCAGCCTGAGTGATGAAGTGAGACCCTGTCTCCAAACAATTTTTAAAAATTTTAAAAATAGAGAGGGAAATCTAGTTTCTAGGGTTTTGTTTTGGTTTGTTTTGATTTGTTTTTTTTTGTCTTTGGTTTGTTTCTTTATGTAAACAGTTTACTTGTTACGTCAGTAAGCACGTAAAGTAAAGTAGTGCTAAATAAATAGATACAGTTTAATGGGCTTCCTGGAAGAGGGTAGGAAAGTGAATGCTTATCTGCAGGGGCTTTGTTTAGCATAGACTGACCTAATGCCTTTTCCTGCAGCCTGTGCCAAAATCCATTATCAGTTGTACACAACACCTTGATTTCCCTGTATACCTCTGATGCTGCTTAATTAAACATATTCCATCTTTTTACAGATCATGTGAACCCAAAAGCATTTTTCAGTGTTCTTCGCATATATTTGTCTGGGTATGTAGTCTTATGTTTGAATTTGTTTGCTCTCACTTAACAAAGAACACCACCAAATTCTCTTGGTTGGTCCCTAATATCCATTGGGTTTGGCTAACAATTTACATCCAAAAATTCACATGGTAGAAAAATACTAGACTGTTCTGTTATCACTTGGCCAGGAATGTACTGGAGTGGGGGACAGGAAAGCTAGTTATTTTAAAAAGAGTGGTCTGTGCTAGTACAAAGGTAAGATTCCATTCCTAGAATAGTTATGCCAAATCTGCTCAGGATTATATTATTTACTATTCTCATGCTTGAAAATGAGCAGGGGCAAGGGGGTATGAAAAAAGGATCATGAAATCCATCTCTTGTCACCTTCTGTTCAGCACTAGTGCAAGATTTGGTACCTGAAAATTAGCAATTAACCTAAAGAATGATTTTTCTTTTTTTCTTTCTTTCCTCTGATAGCTGGAAAGGCAACCCCCAGCTATCAGACGGTCTGGTGTATGAAGGGTTCTGGGAAGACCCAAAGGAGTTTGCAGGGGGCAGTGCAGGCCAAAGCAGCGTCTTTCAGTGCTTTGACGTCCTGCTGGGCATCCAGCAGACTGCTGGTGGAGGTGAGTGGAAAATAACAAGAAATAATTATCTCTTATGTGAATACAATAGTATTTGGATATCTACAAAGCACCTTCCCATCAGCATCTTATCTGAGCTTATCTGATAGTTTTAGCAGAATCAGGCAAGTAGGGATTTGGTTGCCATGATCCCATTTTAAAAATGAAGATGCAGAAACTTAATGAGAGTCAGTGACAGGTTCCTTGTGAACCAGCTAGAAAGTGGCAGAGCTGGCCAGGTGCGGTGACTCAAGCCTGTAATCCTAGCACTTCGGGAGACCTAGGCAGGTGGATCACCTGAGGTCAGGAGTTTGAGACCAGCCTGACCAACATGGTGAAACCCGGTCTCTACTAAAAATACAAAAACTAGCTGAGTGTGGTGGTGGGTGCCTCTAATCCCAGCTACTCGGGAGACTGAGGCAGGAGAATCGCCTGAACCCCACAGGCAGAGGTTGCAGTGAGCCAAGATCGTGCTACTGTACTCCAGCCTGGGCAAAAGAGCAAAACTCCATCTCAAAATAAAAATAAAAAATAAAAAGCCAGGTGCAGTCGCTCACGCCTGTAATCCTAGCACTTTGGGAGGCCGAGGCGGGCGGATCACAAGATCAGGAGATCGAGACCATCCTGGCTAACACGGTGAAACCCTGTCTCTACTAAAAATACAAAAAAGTAGCTGGGCATGGTGGCGGGTGCCTGTAGTCCCAGCTACTCGGGAGACTGAGGCAGGAGAATGGCGTGAACCCAGGAGGCGGAGCTTGCAGTGAACCGATATGGCGCCACTGCACTCCAGCCTAGGCAAGAGTGCGAGACTCCATCTCAAAAAAAATTAATAAATAAAAACAAAAAGAAAAATAAAATAAAATAAATTGGCAGAGCTTTCCTCACACCCAAGTTCCATCTTGAAATCTGAACATGTCTATAAAGACTGGTTGACTCCGGTGAAGCCAATATCACATGCTCTGAAAATGTATGATCAGACTCAGAAAGAGACACTCACCTGCAAATGAGACAGGGCTGTTAGTGGGGAGATAAAGACCTCAGTGACAAGCAGAGTCTGGGCCCTGCTCTTGTTCAGCTGTCCCGTGGCCCCAGCCACCCAGAGCAATGCCTGCACCAAAGTTTAAAGGTGAGCCACATTCATTGTATGCCTTCTAGGGGCTTAGCTGGAGGGGAGGAATAAGCTCCAAGAAGAACTTCTTTTTAATTTTCTCTGTTTTGTTAAACTTCTGTTTAACAGTCAAAGGGGAAAGCATCGGGCTGGGTAAAAACATGAGTTTTTCTTAATTTGAGCACTCATTTTTAAAATTTTTTTATCATATTTAACTTTTTTATTTTAGATTCAGGGGATACATGTGCAGGCTTATTACACAGGTATAATGGGTGATGCTGATGTTTGGGCTTCTAATGATCCCCTCACCCAAGTATAGAACATAGTGCCCAATAGGTAGTTTTTCAACCTTTGCTTTCCTTCCTCCCTCCCTCCCCTATTTGAAATCCTCACTGTCTATTGTTCCTATCTTTGTGTCCATGTGTACTCAATATTTAACTCCCACTTATCGGTGAGAACATGTGGTATTTGGTTTTCTGTTTCTGCATTATTTCACTTAGGCTAACTTAAGCTAATGGCCTCCAGCTGCATCCATGTTGCTGTGAAGCGCTTGATTTCATTCTTTTTCATGGCTGTGTAGTATTCCATGGTGTACATGTACCACATTTTCTTTGTCCCATCTACCATTGATGGGCACCTGGGTTCATTCCATGTCTTTGCTGTTGTTGAACACTCATTTAAACACAATCTCTTAAACTCTCTTAAGAATCAGTCATAATCTGTCAAATGCAGATTATATATGCCCCTTGTCTATACCATCAGCTTCTTACAGTAGAAAAGAGAGAAAGAAAGTGCAAACAAAGGCCAGGCGCGGTGGCTCATGCCTGTAATCCCAGCACTTTGGGAGGCTGAGGCAGGTGGATCATCTGAGGTCAGGAGTTCGAGACCAGCCTGACCAACATGGAGAAACCCTGTCTCTACTAAAAATACAAAATTAGCCGGGCATGGTGGCGCATGCCTGAAATCCCAGCTACTCCGGAGGCTGAGGCAGGAGAATTGCTTGAGCCCGGGAGGCACAGGTTGCGGCGAGCCGAGATCGTGCCACTGCACTCCAGCCTGGCCGACAGAGCGAGACTCTGTCTCAAAAAAAAAAAAAAAAAGCGCAAACAAAAATACTTATTGTGAGAAAATGAGTTTAGCTCATTCAGTTTTCAAAATTAATAATATTTTACAATAATTACGATTGCTAGTAGCAAGACTAATAGCCAAACATTAGCCTTCAAATAGAATGACCTTGACCTCAGTGAATGCTATATTGGTGATCTCCTGCCCACTCTGACCTCACTCTGCCTTTCTCTCCTGGATTGGGGAATGCTGTGACCTCCGTATTTCCTCTTTCTCTTTTTCCTATAGGACATGCTGCTCAGTTCCTCCAGGACATGAGAAGATATATGCCACCAGCTCACAGGAACTTCCTGTGCTCATTAGAGTCAAATCCCTCAGTCCGTGAGTTTGTCCTTTCAAAAGGTGATGCTGGCCTGCGGGAAGCTTATGACGCCTGTGTGAAAGCTCTGGTCTCCCTGAGGAGCTACCATCTGCAAATCGTGACTAAGTACATCCTGATTCCTGCAAGCCAGCAGCCAAAGGAGAATAAGACCTCTGAAGACCCTTCAAAACTGGAAGCCAAAGGAACTGGAGGCACTGATTTAATGAATTTCCTGAAGACTGTAAGAAGTACAACTGAGAAATCCCTTTTGAAGGAAGGTTAATGTAACCCAACAAGAGCACATTTTATCATAGCAGAGACATCTGTATGCATTCCTGTCATTACCCATTGTAACAGAGCCACAAACTAATACTATGCAATGTTTTACCAATAATGCAATACAAAAGACCTCAAAATACCTGTGCATTTCTTGTAGGAAAACAACAAAAGGTAATTATGTGTAATTATACTAGAAGTTTTGTAATCTGTATCTTATCATTGGAATAAAATGACATTCAATAAATAAAAATGCATAAGATATATTCTGTCGGCTGGGCGCGGTGGCTCACGCCTGTAATCCCAGCACTTTGGGAGGCCGAGGCGGGCGGATCACAAGGTCAGGAGATCGAGACCATCTTGGCTAACACGGTGAAACCCCGTCTCTACTAAAAATACAAAAAATTAGCCGGGCGCGGTGGCGGGCACCTGTAGTCCCAGCTACTCGGGAGGCTGAGGCAGGAGAATGGCGTGAACCTGGGAGGCGGAGCTTGCAGTGAGCCAAGATTGTGCCACTGCAATCCGGCCTGGGCTAAAGAGCGGGACTCCGTCTCAAAAAAAAAAAAAAAAAGATATATTCTGTCATAATAAATAAAAATGCATAAGATATAATAAATGTTGCTTCATTTATAACCATAATAAAATATTTATTTAGATGAGACCTACTATAAACTGCTTTCAGCAGGGCTAATAGACTCCTATACTTTCCCTATGTTAATGTGAGACTTTTTCATAATTACCTGTCAACTTGTCTATATTCTTATTACATGATAAGCTTCTTGATGCCAGGGACACTCTGTATTGTTTACCAGATTTATACATCCCAGCTTTTTTTTGTTTGTTTGTTTTTGAGACAGGGTCTCACTCTGTCACCCAGGCTGGAGTGCAGTGGCATGATCTCAGCTCATTGCAGCCCTGACCTCCCAGACCTAAGTGATCCTCCTACCTCAGCCCCCTAAGTAGCTAAGACTACAGCTGTGCACCAACATGCTCAGCCAATTTTTGTATTTTTTGTAGAGACAGGGTCTTGCTATGTTGCCCAGGCTGGTCTTGAACTCCTGAGCTCAAGTTATGTCTGTATCTTATCATTGGAATATATGATAATCCCAGCACTTTGGAAGGCCAAAGTGCTGGGATTATAGCATCCCTCCCAAAGTGCTGGGATGCAGCCAGGTGTGGTGGCTCATGCCTGTAATCCCATGTGATTATGAAAGATATGATTTGGCCTCCCAACGTGCTGGGATTACAGGTGTGAGCCACCGCACCCAGCTGCATCCCAGCTTTTAGAAGACACTTAGCAAATTTATGTTCAATAAATACATAAAAGAATAAATGAATGTATGATAAATTAACCTGGGCTAAAGAGAAGATTCACCTTTGAAATAACACTTCTCCTGAGAGATCCAGATTATTGGGCACTCACATTCTGGCATGTATATATTTAATAATAGAACCCTAAGAAGCTAGAGCCTGAGAGGAATTTAAGAATTATCAAAGCAAAGCTCTTCATTTTAAAGATGGCAACATTGAGGCACAAAAGGGTGAAATAACTTACTGATGGCCACACAATTAGTTGGTTAACAATGGGAGAAAAAAATTTTGATGACTCACGTCTTTGTTCTTTTTGCTCTACTTGGAGTAGACTAGGTTGAAGGAAAAAATAATTTTGGAAGGGAAAGGGGAGGAAATGAAATGACTAGGCAGGAACTCATGAGATTGTAAATGGTCAGCCAGAAATCAAGTTATGTTATAGAAGATGAGAGGAGGGGGCTGGGCGTGGTGGCTCACGCCTATAATCCCAGCACTTTGGGAGGCCGAGGTGGGTGGATCACGAGGTCAGGAGATCGAGACCATCTGGCTAACACGGTGAAACCCCGTCTCTACTAAAAATACAAAAAAAATTAGCCGGACGTGGTGTTGGGCGCCTGTAGTCCCAGCTACTCGGGAGGCTGAGGCAGGAAAATGGCGTCAACCCAGGAGGCAGAGCTTGCAGTGTGAGCGGAGATCACGCCACGGAACTCCAGCCTGGGCGACAGAGCGAGACTTCGTCTCAAAAAAAAAAAAAGATGAGAGGAGGAAAAAGCACCATGGTCTTATGGGTGTGGAATTAGCAAGCACTTTGAAGTTATGAAAACCTGAGTTCTGAGGAGCTCTGAGCTCTTTTAAATACACAGGAATTTAAACGAGTATACCCAAATAGGTTTGAGGAAGGAAATGTAGCCATATATTTCTAAAAACCAAACTTCTAAAAACTATTTTAATATTGTTTCTTAAATACACCGTAATGCAGTGAAATCTTCCTGCTCACAGCAGACTTTCACTAGATTCCATAGAAAATGCACCAAATGTCAACGATAACGGTATTTATCAGGCCGGACACATTTTCTTCTTTATGCTTCTGTCAATGTTTCTGCAATGAGGACATATAATTCTATAATGAAAAAAGTAAATATGCATCATGCCCATGTACCTACCAAATACATATATGTGTGTGCACATGCATGTAAGTTTTGTTTTTCTTTCTTTCTTTTTTTTTTTTTCCCTGAGACAGAGTCTCACTCTGTCACCAAGGCTGGAGTGCAGCGGTGTGATCTGGGCTCACTGCAACCTCCGCCTCCTGGGTTCAAGCAATTCTCCTGCCTCAGCCTCCTGAGTAGCTGGGAATTACAGGCGCCCACCACCAAGCCCAGCTAATTTTTGTATTTTTAGTAGAGACAGGTTTTCACCATGTTGGCTAGGCTGGTCTGAAACTCCTGACCTCAGAAGATCCACCTGTCTTGACCTCCCAAAGTGCTGGGATTACAGGTGTGAGCCACCGTGCGTGGCCTGTGTGTAAGTTTTAAGGGATAACCAGAATGACCATCACATTCTTGGAGTTAAATGTGGTACAGAAATCTCTAACCTGAGAGTCAAGAGACCAGGTCATGGGTTCCATTTGGACATCTTTCAGCTTTGTGACCATTTTATGTCTGCAAAATAAGCATAACAACACTAGCCCTGCCTTATTCACAAGGTTACTGTGAGGCCTGAGTGGAATATGGTGTTGAAGTATTAGGAAGCTATAAAGTACTACTAGCATAGGTAAGTAACTTGCTAAGGATCTTTTTTTTTTTTTCTTTGAGAAGGAGTCTTGCTCTGTCCTCCAGGCTGGAGTGCAATGGTGCGATCTGGGCTCACTGCAACTTCTGCCTCCCAGGTTCCAACAATTCTCCTGCCTTAGCCTCTTGAGTAGCTGAGACTATAGGCACCTGCCACCATGGCCAGCTAATTTGTTGTATTGTTAGTAGAGACGGGGTTTCACCATGTTGGCCAGGCTGGTCTCGTTCTCCTGACCTCAGGTGATCCACCCGCCTCAGCCTCCCAAAGTGCTGTGATTATAGGAGTGGGCCACTGTGCCTGGCCTGCTAAGGATCTTTTATTGGCCTCCTAAGGATCTTTTATTGGCTCCAGGTCAAGATGCTATCTATCTTGTGTTCTCCCACCTGCAGCACTGATGGCCCACAACCCTGGAAAGGCTACACTTCAGGCACATCAGGCATTTCTCTCTTCCAGAGTTGGTTTCACCTAATTAGTATTGACGTGCAGAGAGTCTCTGGTTGCTAAAGAAAGACCCTGTAGTCATGCCTTCTCCTTTAGAACATCACCTTTATTCTGATAATAAGGGAGAGAGGGAAAGGAAGTAAGGAGCATTGTCATAAAAATTGCACCCACTGCTGCCTTGTAGGTGAGAGAGGGACTGACACTGGGCTCCACGTGCTCCTACAGAGGGTGTGAACACTAGCTCCAGAGTCTCTTCTGTGTTTCCACATAATAGAAACCAAAGGCCAGGCATGGTGGCTCACACCTGTAATCGCAGCACTATGGGAGGCTGAAGCGGGTGTATCATGAGGTCAGGAGTTTGAGACCAGCCTGACCAACATGGTGAAAACCTGTCTCTACTAAAATACAAAATTTAGCCACGCATGGTGGCGTGTGCCTGTAATCCCCACGCATGGTGGCGTGTGCCTGTAATCCCAGCTACTCAGGAGGCTAAGGGAGGAGAATCGCTTGAACCTGGGAGGCAGAGGTTGCAGTGAGCCAAGATCGCGCCACTGCACTCCAGCCTGGGTGACAGAGTGAGACTCTATCTCAAAAAAAAAAAAAAAAAAAAAAAATAGAAACCAAGATTCCTGAATTACTCTAATTAAATCATCTCTGGAGTGGGAAAGGCACAACAAAATGCTTGGTATGTTTCATGAGAAGCCCTGCTGCTTCTGCCCACCACTCGCCCGCCCCCATCCCAGGCATTTTCTGCACATCGCAGTGAGTGCTCCTCCAGGGGTAGGGTGGGATCACCAGATGGTGAAGGTGGTATCCTATCACAGGAGATGGTTTTAACGAGATGTTATGTATTTTAAGTAACATGGTTCCTATTTGAATGAAATTAAAGATAATTCTATCCCAGTCTGTGTCATGGGAAAAACAGAAATTCATAGTGGTGGTGGGGCACGCTGGCTCATGCCTATAATCCCTGCACTTTGGGAGGCCGAGGGGGGGCAGATAACTTGAGGTCAGGAGTTCGAGACCAGCCTGGTCAACACGGTGAAACCCTGTCTCTGCTAAAAATACAAAAAGTAGCAGGGAGTGGTGGTGGGTGCCTGTAATCCCAGCTACTCAGGAGGCTGAAGCAGGAGAATCGATTGAACCCAGGAGGCGGAGGTTGTAGTGAGTCAAGATCATCCTACTGCACTCCAGTCTGGCAAACAGAGCAAGACTCCTTCTCAAAAAAAAAAAAAAAAAAAAAAAGAATGAAAGAAAGAAATTCATAGTGGTGTATTTCTTCACATGGTTGTTTTCCATAAGTAAGGATAATTTAGCTTAAAATATGTATCGTTTTCATATCAAGGCTCAAAAAAGTATTCTGTAGCTCTTGCCTCATATAATTCAGTTTTGCATATTAAATGTTGAAGTTATTTATGTATCATTTAATCCTATTTTTTCACTCTACTATATTAAATATAATCTCACAAGGAAATAAGATATATTTTTCTCGGTTCACGCCACTCTGAACTTCTCATGCCCTTTAAACAAGAGCTAGTGCAGTCATGCAGTTGTAATGGTTGGAAATTAAAGTTTGCTCATTTCCACATAATTGTTTTATGTCAATAAACAATAAACAATTGAAAAGTTAGAAGTTCACACAAGCCAAAAATTTTTCATATAAACATACACTTAATGGTTTATAAGATTCTTGCCAAATATGAGACAAAATGGCCCACACAGGCAGAAATTCCATCTCTAGATCCTCTGGGAAACAGCAAACTTATATTTAGAACTCACACCATCAATTACTGCTCCTAATGGTCTTTATATAAGTCATTTAATCTTCAAAGCAATTCTATATATTATTACTCTCCTCATTTTACAGATGCAGAGGCCAAGAAATTTGTTCAAGAATATAGCAAGGAAGAGACAATGCTAGGGTATAAATTTGCATAGTCAGGCTCTAAAGATGAGCTCTTAATTACTATAATATATAGGAGGCAACGTATCCAGCTTCTGTGGGAATACCTCTAGAGAAGGGGATGTCAATAACACATATACAGCTCAACTCCCTTTTGCACAGACACTCACTCTTTCAGTTGCTTGACATTTAAATATCAATAAAAATGTTTTAACTTTCTCTAATCTCAATTAGCATACAGAGACAAGACATCATATTGTGTTTCTTTGGGGGTGATTACCTCTGTAATCGTTAGACTAACAAGAAAATTGTGTGTGATAGAGGCACAAAATAGAAAATGATTCTTTCTGTTTGAAAAGTTGAGGAATGTTTTTTACAGGAGGTAAGTTTGATACTTAACTTTAAAGTTGAATTGATTGGTGTACCTTCATTGAAAATTTTCTCCTGAATGCCCAGCATTAAATAAATAAGCAAACATATAAGTTGCTTGTTGACCTAGCCTCATATATAATGCAAGAAGTAAACATAAACATATAAATGTTGTAAATGAGCATCAGAATCATCTAATATATAGAATCTTCTGGGAGAGCTACTTTTTAAAACTATAAATTAATGATGATAGCTAATAATTACTTAATTCTTTCATATGCCTCTTACTGTCCAAAAAGTGTCATATACATTAATCACTTGATCAAAACAATGAATCTAGAGACAGGTACTATTACTAGTACTTCTTTTTCCTATATGGGAATTGATACCCAATATAGTTCAGTAGTTTTCAAGAGCCACACAGCTATGACAAAGTAAAAGATTGAACCCAGGCAATCTGACTGCAGAATACTTCAAACCGCTACACAATACAATCTCCTCTCTTGGAAAATGTTCTTTTACAAGGGAACTAGGTTCCTTTTGAACTTTGCTATCACAGTATTGGATAATTGACTGCGCAAGTCTCTCCTCAAATTCCCAACTCATGCATGACTTTTTATTACGTTGTAGCAATAAAAGAGCAGTGGAGGTGGGGTGGAAGAAGACTCATTTTTGTCTTCATTACTGCTATGTGGAGCAAGGGCCCAAGCTTTTAAAAACAAGAGCTCAGAGACATGGCCCTGGCCTTGGAAGATGCCCTAGAGACGCTGAGGTGGTTGTACTTTTGCCATAGGAGTGGCAGCCAGAGAACTGAGCCCAATGAATGCAAAGGCTGGTGCCTGGAAATATTGTGACTTTGCCACAGAAAGAAGATGGAGAATTTTAAAGTTGGAAATCTGCCTGGTAAGGGATCATTTGCTGGTGTCTGCAAAGTTGAGTCCATACACACTGGTTTGGAAATTTCAGTCCAGATGATAGTTAAGAAAGCAGTAAGAATACAGAGAGTCCACAATGAGATGAAAATGCACTGCCAGTTGAAACATCCTCCTACACTGGAGCTTTATAAATATTTTAAAGACAAGGATTGGATTAGATTTGACATTAGAAATGTACCATAATACAGAAGGCAATGGACACCTAAAGAACAGAATGAAAACCTTCTTAGGAAATGAAGCTTGACACTTCACCCACCAGGCCACCACAAGAATGTTGCATTTTCATTATTATGGTAAGTACACTGGTAACTTCTTTTCTAACCTCGTATGCATAATGTAAACATCAAGACTGACAATTTGGGGCTAGCAACTCAATTGGAAAATCACTGTTCTCTATTGTAAAATTCCTAATTATGTTTCCCTAGAAATTGCAAAGTGCACATGTACTTGCATTTAATGTTTGGTCCATGGGCTGAATGCTTTGTGCATTACTTTTCTGGTTGTTGTTGTTGTTGTTGTTGTTGTTGTTGTTGTTGTTGTTTTGAGACAGAGTCTCACTCTGTTGCCAGGCTGGAGTGCAGTGGCATGATCTCGGCTCACTGCAACCTCTGCCTCCCAGGTTCAAGCAATTCTTCTGCCACAGCCTTCCAAGTAACTGGGATTACAGGCGCTCACCACCACACCCTGCTAATTTTTGTACTTTTAGTAGAGACGGGGTTTCACCATGTTGGCCAGGCTGGCCTCAAACTCCTGACCTCAAGTGATCCACCTGCTTTGACCTCCCAAAATGCTGGGATTACAGGCATGAGCCACCTTGCCCAGCCTGTGCATTACTTTTGAGGACACATTTGACAATGGCACAGTCAAGAACACCACATAAAGTAGTATTGGCAGATTATGAAATAGCAATTGTTTTGGAAGACAGCAAAACCTGAAGTATTTTCAGACATGTACATTATGAAGTATTATACCTTCTTTAACTATGTGCAAGTTAAAATCAGTCATAACTGAAAATCAAAAGGGCAATAATGAACATACTTCATCCAGAAGAGGTATCCACAAAACTTCTGAAAGAGGTCTTAGTATATCCAGGGATGGAGATATTATTACAATGTATTATCCAAATGATGGAAGTTTTCTCTTGCTGATAGAATGCATCCACCTACTAACATCAGTAAGTACAGGTTTAACAATTTACCAGAAATGTACTGGAGGAAATATGAATATGCTTCCAGATTTATTCTACCTAAAGGATCTGGCTCTATTTTACAAGGTCATCTATTTTACAAGGTACTGTAGATGCATTTTGATGAAAAAAATTACCCTGCTATTGATTTTGAGGTCTGGTATTATGATAGAGCAAAAACTATCCAAAAGAGATTTAATTCAAGTCATTGCAAAATCTTGGAAAATGTGTGAGAAATCTTACACATGGAAAGGAGGAAGTAAAGATGGTAGCTTAAACATGTGTTCCACTGTGAACAATTCTCTGCAAACCCACCCCCAAAAGTCAAGGAGGCTGACAGGCTGAAGAAAGAGGCTGTCAAATCTAGTTTCTCAGAAAAAGAAAAATTAATAGGGACTTAAGAACAGAAGCCATATATCTGCCCTGAGATGAGCTGGTGGATCCTCACACTGTTACCCCCAGACCCAGGGCTTATATACCACAGGGAAAGACAATTGCAGTAATTTGCTTAACGGCAGGATTTACGGCAAGTACATGCTCTTAAGAGTAGATTAAGTAGTAACCTTAGAGGCATTCCTAGAACTGGAGTTAATCAGAAGTCAACACAGTGGATTAGCATCCAAGATGGAGTTGCTTTAGCCTCCACAAAGAGAAAATGAAGATAAATTTGGTCCATGCTAATTAGGGGGTGTTCCATTTGTTTGAAACTGAAATCTATAATTTCCAAAGAAGAAAATAAACGTGGAAGTCGTCCTTCCTTTTTGGTATGCATAGACAATCTGGCAGTGTTAGGCCCCTAAGGCCTTATCACCTCCTCCTTCTGTGGGTCAAACTTTACAGTGAGAGGAAAGACATCTTTTAAAAGAAGAATAATCATGACTAGTTTAATCATGACTAGTTCATCTTCCCTGCAATAGATACCCATATTTAACATACCTATTGTACAAAGAATATGATTGCACAGCTACAACTTTGGGACAAACTCCTTTTCTGCCGCTTTCAATGATCGTCTTCCAAAATCAGAACAGCTTTTGAATTTTATTTTGTGAAAAATGTCGTTTGAGTGACACAGTAAACTCTGTGGAGCTCTGTGGATACAGTTGAATGATGGCTCCCAGTTTATCATGCAGGTGGGATTATATTCCAACAGTTATGTTTCACAGAAAGGCAAAATAACCAGGTACGGAAAAAATGAAAAATTTGCAGCTTACATCAAACAGAAATTGCAGTGTCTTTCATCTCTTTAAAGTTTTCTAATCAAAATTCTAGTTTTCATCAATTAAAACTTTATTTAGGTAGATACATTTAATAAGTAACTTTTTGTTGGCTTAAAGGGAATGAACTTTATGTAATGTAACTGTCTATTTCAGGAAGCTTTTCTATGAGAATTTAAAACTACACCAAAATATCTTCTTTTTTTTTTTTTTGAGACAAGGTGTCACATTGTCTCTCAGGCTGGAGTGCAGTGGTGTGATCCTAGCTCACTGTAGCCTTGAATTCCTGGGCTCAACTGATCCTGCTACCTCAACCCCCCACGTAGCTAGGACTACAGGCCTGCACCACCACATCTGGCTAATTTTTTATATTTTTGTAGAGAAATGGTCTGGCTACGTTGCCCAGGCTGGTCCCAAACTCCTGGCCTCAGGTGATCCTCCTGCGTCAACCTCCCAAAGTGTTGGGATTACAGGTGTGAGCAAACCTGCCATCTCAAAACATGTGTATTTTAATGAGACAACAAAGATCAAGGGAACTTTAGTCCTTACAATGTAATGATCAAAAAAGTGAAATAGATAATCAACATAACATTGCTTGTAGACCATGCAAACAATCTTATTGCATTTGTATATTTGTAATGAACTGTTTTATAATAACAAAATGTAAAATGTGTATTTTATTTGTCCTTTTATTGTTTTCCTACTTCTTAGACATGTTAAGAACTATGGAAAAAGATATGGGAGTTTGTGAAAATTTAAATAATTCATATTTATATTACAAGAAACAGATATTAGAATATGTTTGTTTTATATTTCTTTTGTAGCAGAATTTTCTAGCCAGGCATTGTGGCTTACACCTGTAATTCCAGCACTTTGGGAGGCTGAGGTGGGACAATCACTTAAGCCCAAGAGTTTGAAATCAGTGAGGGCAACATAGTGAGACTCTATCTCTACAAAAAATTCTCTATCTATATCTATATAAAGGAATTTTGTGAGGAAAACTATATATTTTGTATATAAATGAATTTTATCAGGAAATATATCTGTAAATGAATTTTATAAAATATAGCATCACTTTATCCTTGATTTATTTCATTTAATAATTATTTTAAAGTAATATACTAATAAACTCATTTTAAAAACTGCTATGACCATAAAACTATTAGAGATAACATAAGAGAAAATCTAGGTGACCTTGGGTTTGGAGATAACTTTTTATATATAACACCAAAGGCGCAATCAATGAAAAAAAATGACAAGCTCTATATCACATATCAATATTAAAATGTGATCTGTGAAAGGCATCGTCAAGAGAACAAAAAGACAAGCCACAGACTGGGAGAAAATATTTGCAAAAGACATATGTGATAAAAGACAATTATCAAAATATACAAATAATTCTTAAAACTCAAAAATAAGAAAATGAACAACTCAGTTAAATAATGGGCAAAAGATCTCAACAGAAACCCCATCAAAGAAGAAACACAGTGGCAAGCATATGAAAATATGATCTACATCATATGCCATTAGGAAATTGCAAATTAAAACAATGAGATACCACTACATTTCTACATTGGTGAAAATTCCAAGTACTGACAGCACTCTCAGTGCTGGTGAGGATATGGTGCAGTAGAAATCCACACTCATGCCGGGCACAGTGGCTCATGCCTGTAATCCCAGCACTTTGGGAGGCTGAGGCGGGTGGATCACCAGGTCAGGAGTTTGAGATCAGCCTGACCAACATGGTGAAACCCCGGCTCTACTAAAAATACAAAAATTAGCCCGGTGTGGTGGCGGGCGCCTGCTACTCGGGAGTCTGAGGCAGGAGAATCGCTTGAACCCAGGAGGTGGAGGTTGCAGTGAGCCGAGATGGCGCCACTGCACTCTAGCCTGGGCGACAGAGCAAGACTCCATCTCAAAAAAAAAAAAAAAAAAAAGAGGCCAGGAGTGGTGGCTCACACCTGTAATCCCAGCACTTTGGGAGACTGAGGTAGGCGGATCACTTGAGGTCAGGAGTTGGAGACCAGCCTTGCCAACATGACAAAACCCTGTCTCTACTAAAACCACAAAAATTAGCCAGGAGTATTGGCACATGCCTGTAGTCCCAGTTACTCGGGAGGCTGAGACAGGAGAATTTCTTGAACCCGGGAGGCGGAGGCTGCAGTGAGCCGATATCGCACCACTGTACTCCAGCCTGAACGACAGGGCGAGACTCTGTCTCAAAAAAAAAAAAAAAAAAAAAAAAAAGGAAAGAAAGAAAGAAAGAAAAAAGAAAATTCCGTGATTGCAGTCTTTACGTATTTATTTGTTATTAAGTACAGTAAAATAAAGAAGGATAGATGTCATGGAAAATGTCACGAAAATAAAAGAGTTAAAAAAAAAAAAAAGTAGGCTGCAATGCCAGATGCCTGAAAAGTTAATCAACGAAAGGACTTAAATGTCCCCATTGAATTTAGGAACAAAGAAGTAATTAATGAACTGGGCAAAAACACTCAATGTACCAGCGTTATCGATTTAGAAACTGAAACTAAGTATATCTGATGTTGCTTTTAGGAAACAAGTAAATGAGGTCCTAAAAAGTTAAACTGTGACCATATTTTCTTTCCTTTTTCTAATTTCTCCTTGGGCCATTTCCAAAAAGCCCTAATACCCCGACTGATAGAAATGGATACCTTGCTGTGCACTGGTACTACTGTGATTCATGGAAAGCTGATCATGCAACCCAAGACGCCAAAATTCCCAGCCTTACTGTTACGAAAGAAAGTTTCTAAGCACAATTGTCTCTAGCCAACTTCCTCTTAGTAAGAAAGAGGCCAGGCAGGGCTTCATGCAGGGTACAGCCCTGAGTTTCTTACTGCGTGGTAAGTTTCTGGGGCTGGGAGTAAAGCAGCGTGACCGAAAGCAGTACAAAGTTCTACCGGACACGCAGATCCCGGTCCTACAAATATGAGGTCCATAATGAGACTGAGATATCATTCATCCAACAAATATTTATTGAATACCAAACATTGGGCTTACGGCTAAAGGAAAATACAAAGTTGTGTTGGATATGGGTTCTGTTTTCAAGGAGCTTATAATCTAATAGGAAAGATGAGGTTACTACATTAGTAGCAATCAGACCAGATAGAACTGGAAGTGTGATGTAAATGAGGTACAGATTGATTGTAGAATTTTGCAGAAAGAAAACAATTCTGAAGAAATGTTCATGGAAGTATTAGCAGTTGAGATGTATCTTAAAAGATAAGTGGGGTTCCTGTTGGAAACATTCAAAACTCTCTCTTCTAGCTATTTTAAAATACGCAATATATTATTAACTATGGTCACCTTACTGTGCTATAGAACACTAGAACTTATTCCTACTATCTAACTATAATTTTGTACCCACTAACCAACCTCTCCCTGTCCCTCCTCCCCCTATTCATCCCACCCTCTGGTAACCACTGTTCTACTCTCTGCTTCCCAAAACAAAGAAATGATCACTGTTTCGGTGATGGAGATGTCAATTACCCTGATTTGATCATTACACATTGCATACATGTATAGAAATATCACATGCAACTCTTAAGTATATACCATTCTTATGTACCAAATACAAATAAAATTGAAAAAAAAAAAAAACTTTGGCTGGGCGCGGTAGGTCATGCCAGCACTTTGGGAGGCTGAGGCAGGCGGATCACCTGAGGTCAGGAGTTCCAGACCAGCCTGGCCAACATGGTGAAACCCAATCTCTTCTAAAAAATACAAAAATTAGCTTGGTGTGGTGGCAGGGGCCCGTAATCCCAGCTACTCAGGAGGCTGAGGCAGGAGAAATGCTTGAACCTGGAAGGCAGAGGCTACAGTGAGCCGAGATCATGCCACTGCACTTCAGCCTGGGTGACAAAGCAAGACTCCATCTCAAAAAAAAAAAAAAAAAAGCCTCCTGAGTAACTGGGACTACAGGCATGCGACAATACTCCCGGCTCTCTTTTTAAAAATGAGAAGTAGAAGTAGTGGTGACTGTCAAGAAAGTATTTTGGAAAAATACTATGAATAACCAGACCAAAGAAACCAAATACCAGTTGTTTCAGGAGCAGTAAATCATTTTTGAGGGCTTGAGCAAAGGTCTTGCTAGAAAGGTGCTTAGGGGTCAGATTTTGGACATAATGCCAGGCCAAGAAAATTTGCACTTTATTTCATTAACAATGAGGAGCTCTTGAAAGTTTTATTGGCAGGACCTAAGATAGTTACAGACCCACAAGTAACATGGGTCTAGACCTTGGGAACAAGAAAAGTCAAGATCGAGTATGCAGACTTGGGAACCGAGTATAACTAATGGTTAAGATTAAATAAAAATACATAAGAACACTGAGATAGAGAAATGGCTCATTAATGCTGCAAATGTCTGCATGTTTAGGGATGAAATAGAAAAAGAAGTCAGAAAAATACAGTTCAAACAATAGGAAAGAAAACCAGAAATGCATGATTCTAAGAAATGAATGGGTGGACATGGTGGCTCACATCTGTAATCCCAGCACTTTGGGAGGCCGAGGCAGAAGGATAGCTACAGCCCAGGAGTTCAAGACCACCCAGAGCAACACAGCAAAACCCCATCTCTACAAAAAACAAAAATAAAAATTAGCCAAGCATGGTGGTACACACCTGTAGTCCCAGCTACTCACTCAACAGGCTGAGGCAGAAGGATCACTTGAGCCCAGGAGGTGAAGGATACAGTAAGCTATGATTGCACCATTGCACTCCAGCCTGGCTGAGAGAATGAGAGCTTGTTTCCAAAAATAAAAAATAAGAAAGAATTTTTAGAATGAGAGGAAAACAACATGAAACATGAGAAAAATAACATTCCCTGTTATATGGTAGGTGCTTCGCTTATAGTTTCTCATTAATTCATCATGTAATGTCTCTGGGATAAACATTATGGATTTCCTGCAGAAACAGAAGCTCAGAATTTTATGCCAGGTGTTGAAAGGCCATGTAGCTAATAGATGATAGAACACAGACTCACACTCTGGTAGTCCTGAGTTAACAGTAGAAAAGTCCTGGGCTGGGCGTGGTGGTTCACGCCTGTAATCCCAGCATTTTGGGAGGTTGAGGCAGGCAGATCACCAGAGGTCAGGAGTTTGAGACCAGCCTGGCCAACATGACTAAAGCCTGTCTCTACCAAAACCACAATTACCCAGCGTGGTGGCGGGCACTTATAGTACCAACTACTCAGGAGGCTGAGGCAGAAGAATTGCTTGAACCTGGGAGGTAGAGGTTTCAGTGAGGCAAGATCAAGCCACGGCACTCCAGCCTGGGTGACAGAATGAGACTCTGTATAACAAACAAACAAACAAAATCAGTAAGAAAGTCCCAGACTAAGAGGCATCAAATCAGGATTCTACTCCAACTCTGATGCCAGCTTCCAGGAATACACTTGATAAGTTGTTTCATTCCCATAAATCTTGGGTGATTCGTGTTTAATGAGAGCATTGAACTGAATCATTTATTCTATGACTCAGTTCTAATATTTCACAATTCTATGGTTGTATAATATTACAGGAAATTCTTGAGAAGGTGCAGAGGGAATGGATGAAAAAAACCACATGACTAACATAAAAAATAATGGGGCCATCTTTTCATTTGAGATTGAAGGAAAGAACGAGAGGACAATTAAACATGCAGAGTCTGAGAACTTGCATTTAGGAGGCATAAGATGCTGAACTGCAAAATTGGTTAGATATTGGGCTGAAGAGAATTGAGAATTTTTTAATAATAAAAACTCTTGGCAGGGCGCAGTGGCTCACGCCTGTAATCCCAGCAGTTTGGGAGGCTGAGGTGGGTGGATCACTTGAGGTCAGGAGTTTGAGACCAGCGTGACTAACGTGGGGAAACCCCGTCTTTAAGAAAAATGCAAAAAATATTAGCTGGGTGTGGTGGTACAAGCCTGTAATCCCAGCTACTTGAGAGGCTTAGGCAGGAGGATCACGTGAGCCCAGGAGGTGGAGGTTGCAGTAAGCCGAGATTGTGCCACTGTACTCCAGTCTGGATGACAGAGGGACACTATCTCAAAAAACAAACAAACACTCTTAAGAAATTAGGTGTAGAAAGAATGTTCCTCAATACCATAAAGGCCATATGTAAGAAACCTATAGCTGGCCGGGCGCGGTGGCTCAAGCCTGTAATCCCAGCACTCTAGGAGGCCGAGGCGGGCAGATCGCGAGGTCAGGAGATCGAGACCATCCTGGCTAACACAGTGAAACCCCGTCTCTACTAAAAATACAAAAAATTAGCCGGGCGAGGTGGCTGGTGCCTGTAGTCCCAGCTACTCGGGAGGCTGAGGCAGGAGAATGGCGTGAACCCCGGGGGGCGGAGCCTGCAGTGAGCTGAGATCGCGCCACTGCACTCCAGCCTGGGCGACAGCGAGACTCCATCTCAAAAAAAAAAAAAAAAAAAAAAAGGAAACCTATAGCTAACATCATACTGAATGGTGAACAGTTGAATGCTTTCGTCTAAGAACTGGAACAAGACAAGCACGCCAACTCTCACCACTCTTACTCAACATAGTACTTTAAGTCCTAGCCAGAGCAATCAAACAGGGGAAGTGGATAATTGAGAATGGCTCGAGAGGTGCTGTGGCTCAGTCCTGTTGTCCTGGCACAGAAGGAGCTGAGGCCAGGCGTTCAAGAATGGCTCCTAGATGTCTCATAAGGAACCATAAATCAAACAACTTTCAAAACTGAAACCTGCGTGAGAACGGTTGCATTAGTTAATCTGGGAGCTTCCTGCTTTTTTTTAGCTTTCATATTTATCTTAGAGAAAGGGAGGAAGGAGAGATGTGTATGGATACATAAGCATTCAAATACATTTGTGTATAATCTTATGACCAGAATTCAGGTCCAATGAACAAAAAGGTAGGGTCTTCGGAATTTCCCCAGTGAGATCTATGACCTGAATATTATTACGCAAGGATCCACTTTGGGATTACAGGCGTGAACCACTACACCCAGCCCAGGACTTTCCTGCTGTTAACTCAGGACTACCACAATGTGAGTCTCTGTTCTGTAATGCCCAACCTTGTTTTTACTAACCCCGCTTTTAGACTCCCCGTTTTCCTTTAATCACCTAGCCTTGTTTCCACCTGAATTGACTCTCCCTTAGCTAAGAG
This sequence comes from Homo sapiens, assembly GCF_000001405.40. Lineage (NCBI taxonomy): Eukaryota > Metazoa > Chordata > Mammalia > Primates > Hominidae > Homo > Homo sapiens. The sequence continues at coordinate 39,944,467 of NC_000008.11, forward strand.
AGCCAGACAGACTCCATCTTGGCTCTTTCACTGGCAGCCCCTTCCTCAAGGACTTAGCTTGTGCAAGCTGACTCCCAGCACATCCAGGAATGCAATTAACTGGTAAGATACTGTGGCAAGCTATATCCGCAATTCACAGGAATTCGTCTGATTGATAACGCCCAAAGCCCCGAGTCTATCACCTTGTAATAGTCTTAAAGCCCCTGCACCTGGAACTGTTTACTTTCCTGTAACCATTTATCCTTTTAACTTTTTGCCTAATTTATTTCTGTAAAATTGTTTTAACTGGACCCCCCTCCCCTTTCTAAACCAAAGTATAAAAGAAAATCTAGTCCCTTCTTTGGGGCTGAGAGAATTTTGAGCGATAGCCGTCTCTCGGTCGCTGGCTAATAAAGGATTCTTAATTTGTCTGAAAGTGTGGCGTTTTTCCAACTCGTTCAGGTACAACAGTTCTAGCATCTATTAGCTATGTGGCCTTTCAACACCTGGCATAAAATTCTGAACAATGGCTTGGAAATTAAGATACCTTAGCTCTAGTCCTTGCTCTGCTAATAATTAATAGAGTGAAACTGGACAGGGTTATTCACATGTGTGTGCCTCAGTTTACTGTTAACTGAAGAATGACAAAGTTCATAAATTTGAAAAGGAGAGGTTTCTTATATGGGGTTGCAACCTGCAGGGTGGCCATGCTACAGTCTGGGAAGCATTGCCTCTGGCTGGAAGCCAGAAACAGGCACTTTCAGGGTCAGAAGAATAAGACAGAGATTTATGCTGAATGGGGTGACCAAATATACATATTCAATAGGCTATAGGAGGAGTTATGAATATTTATGAAAGGAGAAATGTGTACATGTGCAATTTGGCTTCATGCCCCTTCATGGGACCTACATTCAAAAAATGGCAGCCTTAGCATGATCTGAGGGAGGATCTTTCAGCCCTCTGAGGTCAAAAGTGAAGGAGAGGACAGGAAACCCTCACTGTGTGTTCTCCGTAGGGGCCAGAACCACTGCATGTTTGGTGAACCTGGCTGGTTGTTATGTTGAAACTGCAAAAGGGAGGGATAACAGTCAGGTGCTTGTTTGATACCAGGGGTAGAGGAGACTTTCAAAAGGGCTGGTTTCTGTTTAGCCCTTAGGGAAGAATGTCTAAAGAGAATTACCTACAAGGGTATAACGAGGAGTGTCTGACATTCCATCTAGTAATGAACTAGAACTCAGTTTTCAAGTTAACTCTGGGACCCTCTTAGCCAAGAAGAGGTCCATTCAGTTGGTTGAAGAGCTTAGGATTTCATTTATATCTCTCATCACTAATCTGCAAAAGCTGGTAGTGAAACCGCCTTTGCAAAATTATGACTGAGACAGCGAAAGAGATCTAACTTAATCGATTCCGTCTTGCTTCTAACCTCCAAGCTGTCCTTATTCATTCCCGGGCATAGGCTGAACTAACTCCGGGAGAAGCTTAGTTTATAGTTTTTAGTTTAAAACAAAGATAGTAACAGCCCTTTCCCAAAGCAGACCTCCTTCTTGCCTTGGAACTAGACTGCCTTTAGTGGGACTAACATTAGCCACAAGATTAGAAACTGTGGCTTAGGAGTCATACAGCTGGAGGCTACAAGATTCTGACTCTCCCTAAACTGCTCCTAAGATCAGTCCTTGAGATATTTTGCAGACCCTGTACTTGATGGATCAGGTGGCACCACCCAGATTGATAAAGTGGCTCATCTGATCTTGTGGCCCCCACCCAGGAACTGACTCAGCACAAGAAGAGAGCTTTGACTCTCTATGATTTCATCTCTGACCCGTCAGCACTCCTGGCTCGCTGGCCTCCCTCAGGCCACCAAGTTGTCCTTAAAAACTCTGCTCCCACTGGGCGGTGGCTCATGCCTGTAATCCCAGCACTTTGGGAGGCCAAGGCAGGCGGATCACAAGGTCAGGAGATTGAGACCATCTGGCTAACATGGTAAACCCTGTCTCTACTAAAAGTACAAAAAATTAGCTGGGCATGGTGGCACGCACCTGTAGTCCCAGCTACTCGGGAGGCTGAGGCAGGAGAATCACTTGAACCTGGGAGGCAGAGGTTACAGTGAGCCGAGATCATGCCACTGCACTCCAGCCTGGGCAACAGAGTGAGAGACTTCATCTCAAAAAAATAAATAGATAAATAACCTCCGCTCCCTGAATGAATGCTCCCGGAGACTGATTTGAATCATAATAAAACTCCAGTCTCCCGCACAGCCTGCTCTTCATGAATTACTCTTTCTCTATTGCAAATCCCCTGTCTTGATAAATTGGCTCTGTCTAGACAGTGGGCAAGGTGACCTCACTGGGCAGTTACAGTAGTACCCACTTCATAAGTGAAATCACTTATCTTAGTGGTAGGGTCCCAAAAGTTGTTTGGTAGGAGAGGGTTGAGGCTGGGAGAGGTGGCTCATGCCTGTAATCCCAGCACTTTGGGAGGCCAAGGTGGGTGGATCTCCTGAGGTCAGGAGTTCCAGACCAGCCTGGTCAACATGGTGAAACCCCATCTCTACTAAAAATACAAAAAATTGGCGTGGTGGTGGGTGCCTACAATCCCAATTACTTGGGAGACTGAGGCAGGATAATCGCTCGAACCTGGGAGGCAGAGGTTGCAGTGAGCAGAGATCGCGCCACTGCACTCAAGCCTAACCAACAGGGGCAAAACTCTAGGACTAGAGCTAAGGTATCAAAAAAAAAAAAAAAAAAAAAAAAGAAGTAGAGTGTTTAATTAAATAATTTGTTCTTGCTGTAAAATGTAAAGTAGATATTCCTCTTCAAAGACTTTCCTCCCCGTCTAATTAGGAATAAATAGTAACTTCTCTTAGAAGCAAAATTTATTCAAAGACCTGTGCTAACATTCTTAAATATCTGCTAGCCACAATAAGGAAATCAATGTACTTTATGTTCTTAGCTCCCACAATTTAGCCTAAATATTTTCCCTGGCATGTTTATACTGGTCTAAGCAAGCATTAGGTCATAGCCTGTTCCTCTTCCTTATTTAAAAGTGTTTTTACCTTTCTCAGCGTTCCACAAGTTACTTCCTCCTTCCTTTGTTCTCCTCTACCTGTGCCTCTTTTAAAAAGTTCTAAGTTGCTAGCCAATTGGGACAAATACAGAATGTAAGGTCCCATTCCAGCCAACGGAAACTGGACACAGCAGTAGGGTGGATGTGTCAGGTTATAAATGACCCTGTCTCCTTTGTTTGGTGTACTCTAGTGGCAAAACTGCTGGCAAGTGTACCTTTTCTGCAGGAAGTAAAAATGGCCTTACTAAATAAATTAAATTTATGTTCAAGTGCTATTTCTTTTTTTTTTTTTTTTCGAGATGGAATTTCACTTTTGTTGCCCAGCCTGGAGTGCAATGGCGCGATCTCGGCTCACTGCAACCTCCACCTCCCAGGTTCAAGCAATTCTCCTGCCTCAGCCTCCCGAGTAGCTGGGATTACAGGCATGCGCCACCACGCTCGGCTAATTTTGTATTTTTAGTAGAGATGGGGTTTCTCCATGATGAGGCTGGTCTCAAACTCCTGACCTCAGGTGATCCGCCTGCCTTGGCCTTCCAAAGTGCCTTGGCCTTCCAAAGTGGCGTGAGCCACTGCGCCCAGCCTCGAGTGCTATTTCTTTACGGCACGGAAGAACAAACATTTCAAACAATGCTATTACCAAGTTTGTTAGTATTTATTATCTCATTTGCTAAACCTAAAAAATATATATCCTTCTTTAACGTGATCGAATATTTCAAAAAGTTATTGTGTTGTTTCTTAAAATAAATCAATCATAATCCTAGACTATGTTGCTCAAACTACATACAACACCTTCTGAGCTTCTGGCAGGCCCTTCCTCCCCTCCCTGCTCACCACAGATCACTGGAATAATTGTCTGCATGTAACTTCTAATTTTGAAGTGGTTGTGGTTTATCAAACCTGGAACATGGCACTTCCAAGTACATGAGCTAAGGTCACAGTAAGACTCAAGCCCCTTCAACAGAATACCTGGAATTTCTCTGTTAAAGATTTTCTCCTTTACCTGACTACATGTTTGTAATGCAGATCCCTCCAGGAGCGCTTACTTATAAACTGTCCTGGATCACTAACGCGACATTTTGATGTAAATTAGTTTATCTTGACGTGCTAATGGTAGAAAAAAAGAGAACATGAGGAAACTTGGGTGCTTTCAGGGCTGGTAGGAAGGATTAAATCTTTGCGGCAATTTCTGAGAAGGGGAAGGAAACCTTGCTAACAATTTTGATAGTTTACTCCATTTGGCTGGAGTAACTCTGATCCATTTGTCAAATTCACGATGGAGCAGGTACCTGTTAGGGTACAGGTTTGATAAACCACAACCACAGGTCTATTTCATTTCTCCTTTTCCAAAGTGGAACAAATTTGTCTCTGGGGTTAAAACTGCTTTTCTCATATTGGTGTGTAAGAGAAAATGAGGGAATTTCTTTGAGTTTGTTTGGTTTGTCTGTTTGTTTAAGCAGCATTTTTTAAATAATTTACTCAGCCCTGTCTCAGAGAAAGTCCATGATGATCTGGAATTCAACCTCAGGGAAAAGTTCTCTCCTGTGCCTGAGACACTGCGCAACTAACTGGAACCGAAGGATGGAACCTGGGTGTTTAATTTATTAGGAACAATTGATTCTTCAGTGACACTTTCCATGCAGATACTTCAAACAAAATAATGGAGCCCCACAGACCGAATGTGAAGACAGCAGTGCCATTGTCTTTGGAAAGCTATCACATATCTGAAGAGTATGGCTTTCTTCTTCCAGATTCTCTGGTAAGGATAGAGCCTTGGTAAGGATAGGTCAGAATATGTTTCTTGAGATGTTGGTTGGTTTGTTTTTTAAAAATGTATGTGATTATTAAGAGACCAATATAAATATCAAGTTGTTTACCTGAGAAAGATGCTACAAAGAGCATAGATTATCATTACTATCAAAAGAGAAGTGACAGATACCACAGAGAACAGGTCAAATGGAACATTTTTTGTTTCAGTTTCTTTTGACTAGATTGTCAGGCCAGAGAAATTATAAGCAAACCTGTAGTTATCAAGAAAAAGCATGAACTTAAATATAAATAAAGAACAAATATAGAGCCTCAGCACCTGGAACATGGCACTTCCAAGTACATGAGCTAAGGTCACAGTAAGACTCAAGCCCCTTCAACAGAGTACCTGGAATTTCTCTGTTAAAGATTTTCTCCTTTGCATGACTACATGTTTGTAATGCAGATCCCCCCAGGAGCGCTTACTTATAAACTGTCCTGGATCACTATTGCGACATTTTGATGTAAATTAGTTTATCTTGACTTGCTAATGGTAGAAAAAAAGAGAACATGAGGAAACTTGGGTGCTTTCAGGGCTGGTAGGAAGGATTAAATCTTTGTGGCAATTTCTGAGAAGGGGAAGGAAACCTTGCTAACAAACAATACCTCTTTCTTAATTCTACTTAGGGCTCAAATTGTAATGCAAATCTTTTTCATCATTTAGCCCTTATAAACACTGTTTTTCTCATCTGGTGTGGTCCAAGGCCTAGAACATTAAAACTATCAAAGCTTTTACAGACCATCAGGTGTCATCCCCCTCTTTCTACATCTGAGCTAGCTGAAATCCAGAGGAAATGACTTGCTGAAAGTCATGAGTGGCAAAAGCAGAACTAGTTCTGCTTATAACTCTTGACTTTTAGTTATTATTATTATTAATTATTATTATTACATCCTAAATGAGGGCCAAGGCCACTCAGTTAAAAATCGTGGGGTCCAGGCCAGGTGCAGTGGCTCACGCCTATAATCCCAGCACTTTTGGGAGGCCAAGGCAGGTGGATCACTTGAGGTTCAGGAGTTCAAGACCAGGTTGATCAACATGGTGAAACCCCGTCTCTACTAAAAATACAAAAATTGGCCAGGCGTGGTGGCACATGCCTGTAGTTCCAGCTATTGGGGAGGCTGAGGCAGGAGAATCCTTGAACCCAGGAGGGGGAGGTTGCAATGAGTGGAGATCATGCTGTTGGGAATGAAGTTTTTGGTGTCACAGAAAAAGAATGAACATGGGAACAAATGATCTCTCAGCAAAAGGACCTTTACTTTCTGCAGAAAGGGTGCTACTCAATAGCTGTCCAGCCACGAGAGCACACCAAACAAAGGAGACAGAGTTATTTATAACCTGACGCATCTACCCTACTGCTGTGTCCAGCTTCCATTGGCTGGAATAGGACCTCACATTTTACACTTTACCCAATCGGCTATTAGTTTAAAACTTTTTTAATTGGATAAGGGAACAGAACAAAGAAAGAAAAGCAAGTTGCCCAGGGATAGTTAAGGAAACATCTCCATATAAGGAATGGCATGCACTATGGGCTGGGGCTTTTCTAGTTCTGTCCAGACATGCCGGAGCAAGCTACGACAGCTGATTTGGACAGCCACTAATAGTGGCTAGCAATCTTATAGTAAGAAATTGTGACTTTTTATAATCTTTGAAGAACTTTCCCATTTCTGACAGTGCCACTGCACTCCAGCCTGGGCAACAAGAGCGAAACTCGTCTCAAAACAAAACAAAACAAAACAAAACAAAACAAAACAGCTCTCTACTCTTGGAAGCAGCAGAGTTTTTATCTTCATTTATATCACTCCGGTAACACTCAGAAGTAGACAAGCCTCAGGGTAGGTATTCAGTAAAAGCCCACTGAATTCCACACTATTCTTTAATCATAGTTAAATGGCAAATTAGGCTGGAGGGTGGGGGTGGAACCTCTCCAAAATTACTGCAATGACTGCAACATCGGACCCCAAGATTTTTTTTTTTTTTTTCTGAGATAGAATCTCTTTCTATCGCCCAGGCTGGAGTGCAGTGGCACTGTGAGAAATGGGAATGGACCGGACTGTTTCCTCTGACACTGCCACTAGGTTGACCAAGTGTCCCTATTTGTTAGGTACTGGATGGACGCCTGACATGCAAGACTCTCAGTGCTAAATCAGGAAAGTGCTGGGACAATTCGGATGAGTCGGTCACGCTAAGTTGCACTTAATAGCTCTTGTGACTTTGACTGAATTACAAACATCCCCTGACCCTCAATTTTCACATTTACTGGATGGAGATCTGGTGCCACCTCCACTAGATTGCTATGGAGAATGAATGTGAAAGCATTTTCATAAATCCAGTGTAAGGACCAGAAGCCAGTCTTCTGACCTTGAGCCAGTGCTTGTTAAAAACTCCACTCTATACATCTAACCCAATTCAGGAATATCCTGCCTAGTTCCAAAGGAAGAAAAGACCAAATTGCTCTTATTGGGATTAAATGCGTACACTGAGCTGAGGAAAAACAGTATTACAAATGAGCTAAACATGACGTAGATCCACAGTTGTAGAATTCCCCTCTTTGTTCTTTCCTCTTTCATAACTACGGAAACAGATGAGAAACATTTACGGCATCAGGTTCTTGTGATGCTCCCTGCCTGATATGCTATGGTTTTGTTAATGGAATGTCCATTCCTGAGCTTATGCAGAAAAAAGTCCCTTGGGAAAGTGGTTTTACTGTGTTATGTTCATTTTCCCCATAGTTCTCAAAATGTACTTCCTTGTTTCAGTTTTAATTTTCTTTCATTGGTGTGACCATTTTCAACTGCTCCCTTTCTGGGAAGAGGTAGCAGACGGACATTTTCATCAAAATCTGCCCCAGGTTGCTTCACAGATAAGGAGGGACCCAGCCACTAAAATCACCAGGCAGAGTGTTGCAAGAGTAGATAGAGAATCACAATTGGCTGCCCTGCTCAAGGGGACACCAGATCTTACTTTCGTTTAGTTGAAAGGCAAGCGTCAGAGTCGGGAGGCTGTACCTTCATGTCCAGTGGCCTCACAGAAGTTCCTTCAGTATCTCTTTTAGATGAAACTCTTTTAGAAGTTCCTTCAGTATCTCTTTTGGTTTCTCACTATAGATAGTTACTTGAACATGTCTGAAGAAAACGTGGTCAAGACAGTGAATAAAAAAAATTCTGGTTTTGGGAAGCAGTCTGACTTAGTTTCAAATATTCTATCCCACTGTTTCTGTCAATGTTCAAACCTTTCCAAGCTCCAACATTTATTGTGGAAAATGTGTGCCTCACCAACTCATGCAAATAAATGTTTCATGTGCCCTACGTGTGTAGAGGGGGCATGGATGTGTGTTTTTGGAGGGAGGGCTAATTTTTCTTTAGACATGGAGAATACGAGGAAATTAGCTTGGCATCAAGAAGGTTACAGCAGGAGACAAGAGTGAAGAGAACTGAGAGAGCCCGGAAATGAGGCTCTGGAGTTCAGATTTTTTTTTTTTTGAGATGGCGTCTTGTACCCCAGGTTGGAGTGCAATGGCAAAATCTCAGCTCACTGCAACCTCCGCCTCCCGGGTTCAAGCGATTCTCCTGCCTCAGCCTCCTGAGTAGCTGGGATTACAGGCATGAGCCACCATGCCTGGCTAATTCTGTAGTTTTAGTACAGATGGGGTTTCTCCATGTTGGTCAGGCTGGTCTCAAACTCCCAACCTCAGGTGATCCACCCTCCTTGGCCTCCCAAAGTTCAAGGATTACAGCCATGAACCACTGCGCCTGGCCTAATTTTTGTATTTTTAGTAGAGACAGGGTTTCACCATGTTGGTCAGGCTGGTCTTGAACTCCTGACCTCGTGATCTGCCCACCTCAGCCTCATGAAGTGCTGGGATTACAGGCATGAGCCACAGGGCCAGGCCTGGAGTTCAGATTTAACACATCCTGTAAATGACATGATGCATCTGATATTTGAAGAGTTTTCCTCAAAGAATGTTACATGCAAGGTGGTTTAGAGTTGTTGTTTCCGGCTATATAGCAAAAGTACTTGGGGAGTTTTAAAAAATACTGATGCCGAAGCTCCACCTAGAATAGTTCATTCAGAATCTCTAGCATAATTGACCTCAGTACTTGAAATATGATTATTATAAATGTTAGTCAACTGCTTTTTTAGGCTCTATGACTGATAGAAATCTTTCACTTTTATATCATCTCCAGTTAATGAGTCCCATAAATTGAAATCTAGTGTTTAAATTTTTACTTCATATTTATTTTTACTGATTGTTTTATTATTATTATTTTTGAGACAGAGTCCGCTTTGTCGCCCAGGCTAGAGTGCAGTGACGCCATCTCGGCTCCCTGCAACCTCCGCCTCCTGGGTTCAAACGATTCTCCTGCCTCAGCCTCCTGAGTAGCTGGGATTACAGGAGCCCACCACCAACCACACCCAGCTAATTTTTGTATTTTTAGTAGACGGGGTTTCGCCATGTTGGCCAGGCTGGTCTCGAACCCCTGACCTCAAGTGATCCACCCGCCTCGGCCCTCTGTCTCAAAACAAAAACAAAAACAATAACAAAACTTTTCTCTTCTACCCGAGATGTTTAAGTTTAAATCACACCATTTGTACAAAAATTCCCTGTCTTGTCCTTAAAAATAATTTGTAATCACTAGCTAGTTTTGAGATCGATTGCCATCTAACCGAATGCCATTTGTTCTCTCTCTCTAGTTTCAACTTAATAACCCTTTCTGCATTTTCTATTCTTTCAAAATTTTTCCGGCCATTTTATTGTTTCTATTTAGTGAAAATTTATTCACTGGTTTCTATGCCTAAGGGCATTTAGGAAGTTGCTTAGGATACAGACGTGATAAAAAGACCAGTGTAAAAACTCTCCACTCCTAGACATTATATTCTAGTCCTCATCTCCTGTCATTTAAGTCCTCAGTGATTCTATGCACTTTTGCTTTTGGTTTGGGCAGATGCTCTGAGTTTAATGTTTCTCTGAGATGAGGACCCCCTATTCAACTCACAAATCCCATAAGGAGGCCTCTGTGCCTTTGCTGGTGCCCCAGACAGGGTGCTGATGCTTACTTATCTTCAAGATTGTGAAGTCAGATTTAATAGTATAGTCGTTTGCCAGAGCTGCTGTAACAGTAGCCACAAACAGTTGGGCTTAAAATACCACAAACAGGAGGGCTTAAATCACAGAAGTTGATTTTCTCACAGTTCTTGAGGCAGGAAGTCCAAGATCAAGGTGTCGTGGAGTTGGTTTCTTCTGATGTCTTGCTCCTTGGCTTGTAGATGGCCTCCTTATTATTGTGTCCTCACATGGTCTTTTCTCCACTATGCACAAATTCCCTATGTCTCTCTCTCTTTTTTTTTTTTTTTTTTTTTTTTGAGACAGAGTTGCACTCTGTCACCCAGGCTGGAGTGCAGTGGTGCAATCTCGGCTCACTGCAACCTTTGCCTCCCGGGTTCAAGCAATTCTCCTGCCTCAGTCTCCTGAATAGCTGGTATTACAGGTGCGCACCACAAAGCCCAGCTAATTTTTTGTATTTTTAGTAGAGATAGGGTTTCGCTATTTTGGTCAGGTTGGTTTTGAACTCCTGGCCTCAAGTGATCCGCGCACCTCGGCCTCTCAAAGTGCTAGGATTACAGGCATAAGCTACTGTGCCCAGTCTCCCCCTGTCTCTTTGTGTCCAAATTTCCTCTTCTTTAGGGACACCAATCAGATTAAATTGGACCCACCCTAAAGGCCTCATTTCAATGTACCTCCTTCAAGGGCCTATCTCCAAATACAGTTATATTTTTAGGTACTAGGGCTAGGGCTTCAGCATAGGAATTTGGGGGAGACACAATTTAGCACATAGCAGAAAATATAAGGCCAGGAAAAAATATTCTGGCATGCTAGATGGACTCATTAACAAATATTAACCAATATAAACCAATTAACAAATATTTCTTTAATATTTGCCTTTTTTTTTTTTTTTTTTTTGAAACAGAGTTTCACTCTTGTTGCCTAGGCTGGAGTGCAGTGGCACGTTCTTGGCTCACTGAAACCTCTGCCTCCTGGGTTCAAGTGATTCTCCTGCCTCATCCTCCCAAGTAGCTGGGATTACAGGTGCGGGCCATCACACCCGGCTTATTTTTTGTATTTTTAGTAGAGATGGGGTTTCACTATGTTGGCCAGGCTGGTCTCGAACTTCTGACCTCAGGTGATCCACCTGCCTTGGCATCTGAAAATGCTGGGGTTACAGGTTGCCTGGTGATTTTTAAGAGGAATGACTGAGCTCTCATGCCAGGTGGGGGGAGGGGACAGAGAAAGTTGAATACTCTGACGATAGCCATGATCCATAGCTCTGAAGCTTAGACTCGAATCTACCCATCCCGCAAGGAAGAAAACAAAGAAATAAAAAAGAAGAAAAGAAATCTCCCAATGTCAGGTCCCACCCTCTTTAGAAGTAATTTCAGCAAAACTTTGTTGCTATTTTGGCATGTCCTCTACTGTAGTAGCTTGTCAAAATACTGTCCCCAAACGTTTTCTATATTTCTAGATTTTACTGTTTAATGTATAATAATAATGTTCTAACATTAAAACGTAACCATAGCAATGCTCCGACTCACTTGATCTTTAAATATATTGTTGAACTCAATTTTGTGACATCTTCAGAATTGTCTTTTTGTATTCATAAATAGCAACAGTGGATAGTTGCCTTGGTTAGTGTTATTATTTCAAGGATTAATCTTTAGGTTACGTTTTCTTCATAAGATGCATTAGATGACTTTTTTTTTTTTTTTTTTGAGACAGAGTCTTGCTCTGTTGCTCAGACTGGAGTGCAGTGGTGCAGTCTCAGCTCACTGCAATCTCCACCTCCTGGCTCAAGAGAGTCTCTCGACTCAGCCTCCTGAGTAGCTGGGATTACAGGCACGCACCACCATGCCTGGCTAATTTTTGTATCCTTTTTAGTAAAGACGGGATTTCCCCATGTTGGCCAGGCTGATCTCCAACTCCTGACCTCAAGTGATCCATCTGGCTTGGCCTCCCAAAGTGCTGGGATTACAGGCATGAGCCACCACACGCAGCCAATTAGATGCCTTCTCATGCTTTTCTGTGTTCTGAAACAGATCATCTATCCGTTGATATAGCATAGCTCTTCAGACTACAGACATTTTAGGCTATAAGTTTTGAATTACATTTTCTATTCCCTTTATGCTTCTTGTTCTAGTTAGGTTTTTTATTTCTAAATAAAAATATGAATTTTTGCAATTTCCCAAATGCGAACTCAACTGAAATTTTCAAGTGTATTAGCAAAATTTATTCATAGCAGCCTCTTACATTTCATTAAGAATTGATTTTTTCTTATTCCCTGTTGAAGTTTGTTTATAAAATATAGTAATAGTAATAACTATATAGAAAGTGTTCACTTTGTAGTAGGCCCTGTGTTAACTTTAACTACACTTTTTAAATCTAAGCCTCATAGTAGTCTTGGATGGATGCGGTGGCTCACGCCTGTAACCCCAGCACTTTGGGAGGCTGAGGCGGGTGGATCACGATGTCAGGAGTTCAAGACCAGCCTGGCCAACATGGTGACACTGTCTCTACTAAAAAGACAAAAATCAGCCGGACGTGGTGGTATACACCTGTAGTCCCAGCTATTTGGGATGCTGAGTCAGGAGAATTGCTTGAACCCAGGTGGTGGAGGTTGCAGTGAACCGAGCTCACACAAGTGCACTCTAGCCTGGATGACAGAGTGAGACTCCATCTCAAAAAAAAAAAAAAAAAAAAAAAGAGATCAATAAATAAAATAAATAAATAATCCTCACAATAGTCTTCACCATTTGCAAATGATCCATTTGACAATAAATGAATTCAGCACTATCATGGAAATATATTTCCAAGGTGACCAGTTTTCTCCATTTCCACCCCACTTCAATCCACCTTCATGTAGCCCTAGGACTATTGTCTCCTCCCCTTGTTTCCTTATTTCCATTCCTGTTCAGCTGTAACACATTCTGTTCATAGCAGTCAAGTGATGCTTACAAATGGAAATCAGGCTAGAGGTGGTAGTTCACACCTATAATTCCAGCATTTTGGGAGGCTGAGGCAGGAGGATCACATGAGGCCAGGAGTTTGAGACCAGCCTGGGCAACATAGCGAGACCCCATCTCTACAAAAATAAAAAAGAATTAGCTGTGCATGATCCTATGTGCCTGTGTTCCAGCTACTTGGGAGGCTGAGGTGGGAAGATTGCTTGACCCAGGGAGTTTGAGGCTGCAATAAGCTATATTTGTACCACTACACTCCAGTGTGGGTGACAGAGTGAGATCCTGTCTCTAAAAAACGTAAAATGAAAATAAAACCTTGATAGTTTGCTCTTTAAAACTCTTCCTACAGGGCCCCTGTGATGCTCACCTGTCTCTAGAAGGGCATGTAATAGCTCTTTCTCCTTCACTTTACTTTGATGCAATGTCAGAACAGCTTCTTTCCATCAAAACTTAAACCTTTGATTTCATTTAAAATCATCTGCTTCAAATTCTAATCTTTCTGATAGTTTAGGTTCTAATTTTTCTGATGTTAATATTGTCACCCAAGTTTCCTGTTCATATTTACCTGGTTTATTTTATTTTTATTTTTATTTATGTATTTGAGATGGAGTCTAGCTCTGTCACCCAGGCTGGAGTGCAGTGGTGCGATCTCAGCTCACTGCAACCTTCGCCTCCTGGGTTCACGCCATTCTCCCGCCTCAGCCTCCCGAGTAGCTGGGATTACAGGGACCCGCCACCATGCCCGGCTCATTTTTTGTATTTCTACTAGAGACGTGGTTTCACCGTGTTAGCCAGGATGGTCTTGATCTCCTGACCTCGTGATCTGCCCGCATCGGCCTCCTAGAGTGCTGGGATTACAGGCGCGAGCCACCGCGCCCAGACTTTATTTTATTTTTTGAGACGGAGTCTTGCTCTCTTCCCCAGGCTGGAGTGCAGTGGCTTGATCTCAGCTCACTGCAACCTCTGCCTCCCAGGTTCAGGCGATTCTCCCGCCTCTGCCTCCCAGGTTCAGGCGATTCTCCCGCCTCAGCCTCCCGAACAGCTGGGGTTACAGATGCCTGCTACCACACCCAGCTAATTTTTTTCTTTTTTTGGAGACAGTCTCACTCTGTCGCCCAGGCTGGAGTGCACTGGCGTGATCTCAGCTCACTGCAACCTCCGCCTCCTGGGTTCAAGCGATTCTCCTGCATCAACCTCCTAAGTAGCTGGGATTACAGACGTCTGCCACCACATCAAACTAATTTTTGTATTTTTAGTAGCTGAGATTATAGGCTCGTGTCACCACGCCTGGCTAATTTTTGTATTTTTAGTAGAGACGGGGTTTCACCATGATGGCCAGGCTCGTCTTGAACCTCTGACCTCAAGTGATCTGCCCATCTCAGCCTCCCAAAGTGCTGGGATTACAGGTGTGAGCCACTGGGCCTGGCACCTGGTTTATTTTTGTGCATGCTTTTATTTTTAATTTTCCTATGCTACTTTCTTAGCCAAAATTTATACTTAATCTAATCAAGCATTAATCTAACAAAGAGTTTAGTGTTCATATAAAATACAGTTTTACAAATCTGTTTTTCTTTAAATTATAAATTTGTTAAGAAAATTATCCAAAGAATGATCCAGAAACAAAAGAATGGCTGTGTGTCTTTTCAATATCATCCTGGAGCATTGTCTCAACCATCTCACTTTACGGTGACTAAAACATCTAGAGGTTTTCCCTTTGTTTTCTGTACTTCTTAGTATTGATTAATACTGTTGTGCTACTTCAGTCTGAAGTTCCATGTTAATCTGTAGATTTTTTTTTTTTTTTTGAGACAGTGTCTCGCTCTGTCGCCCAGGCTGGAGTGCAGTGGTGCGATTGGCTCACTGCAAGCTCTGCCTCCCAGGTTCAGGCCATTCTCCTGCCTTAGCCTCCCGAGTAGCTGGGACTACAGGTGCCCGCCACCACGCTGGGCTAATTTTTTCTATTTTTTTTTTTTAGGAGAGACGGGGTTTCACCGTGTTAGCCAGGATGGTCTTGATCTCCTGACTTCGTGATCTGCCTACCTTGGCCTCCCAAAGTGCTGGGATTACAGGCGTGAGCCACTGTGCCCGGCTGTTAATTTGTAGATTTTTATACAGAAAAGCAGCAAAATATTTCTGTTGAGTAGAAAATATAACTCATTATGTGTCTAACCTAGCAATTTTATGTCAACACTATTTTCTCAAACCTCTATAAACTTTGGCTGGGCACAGTGGGTCACACCTGTAATCTTAGCACTTTGAGAGGCTGAGGCAGGTGGATCACCTTAGGTCAGGAGTTCAAGACAAGGCTGGCCAACATGGCAAAACCCCATCTCTACTAAAGATACAAAAAATTAGCCAGGCATGGTGACATGCCCCTGTAATCCCAGCTACTCTGGAGGCTGAGGCAGGAGAATCTCTTGAACTCAGGAGGTGGAGCCAAGATCATGCCACTGCATTCCAGCCTGAGCAATAGGGTGAAACTGTGCCTCAAAATGAATAAATAAAATAAATAAATAAGTCAGAGATTGTGAATAGGATGTTGGATATACCCAAGTTATGAATTAATTAGGAGCTTGAACCCAGGAGGCAGAGGTTGCAGTGAGCTGAGATCGCACCACTGCACTTTAGACTGAGCGATAGAGTGAAACTGTGTCTCAATCAATCAATCAATCAGAGATTGTGAGTAGGATGTTGGATGTACCCAAGTTATGAATTAATTAGGAGCTTGAACCCAGGTTTGTCTCAGATCCTCAGGGACTGAAGACTTCCAAGTGAATTATGGGTAATGTATAGGTCTATACTACTCCAAATTTACAGTTTTCAGACTTCCCTGGGTTCTCATGGACCTTCCATGTCATTTCTATGTTTAGGTTGAGGTCCCTGGTCTTTTCTCCTCTGTAATTAATTTCACACCCACCCCTATCTCAACTCACACAACTTGATCTTCACTCCCATCTGCTAAGAAATTGAGTCCATAAAAAGTGAACTCCTTTAAACTCTAGATCTTCTACTGCTGCAAGGACAGACATTCCATTCTGGCTCTCTCTCTCCTCCTTTGCTTCTTCCAGTCCTTTGCTCCTTCTGCATTCTGTTACTCTCCTCTCTCCTTTGTCTTCAATCTCTCCCTCTTGCAATAGCCAACTATAAACTGCTCAAGCTTCTCATTCTTAAAAGATCTCTCTGAAATGCAAATTCCCTACTGCCTTATGGCTCTCCTTCAAAAGTAATCTACATTTTCTCTATTTTCTAATTCCTCAACACACTAACGTTTGAACCCTGCTTCTATGACCCTGACCTAAATTTCTATTAAATGTACATAGATAAACTAATATATATTTGTGACTTCCTAATATTGTTTTGTTTTTTAAAGAGGTCAATCTTACTTTAACTCTGTAATGATGCGGTTGACCTTCTGATGATTCTCTACTTCTGTGAAATCCTCTACTGTCTTGACTTTTTAATTAATTTATTTTTTTTTGAGACGGAGTCTCGCTCTGTTGCCCAGGATGGAGTGCAGTGGCACAATCTCGGCTCACTGCAAGCTCCACCTCCCGGGTTCATGCCATTCTCCTGCCTCAGCCTCCCGAGTAGCTGGGACTACAGGTGCCCGCCAACACGCCCAGCTAATTTTTTTGTATTTTTAGTAGAGACGGGGTTTCACCGTGTTAGCCAGGATGGTCTTGATCTCCTGACCTCGTGATCTGCCTGCATTGGCCTCCCAAAGAGTTGGGATTATAGGCGTGAGCCACCGCACCTGGCCCTACTGTCTTGACTTTTATAGGGTCATTCTATTCAAGCTCATTGAGCGTCTGTCACTATGTTTTTGATCTGTATTGCTGGAATCAGTTCCTCTATCTGCCTTGTGAATATTCTCCATTGTGCTAATCTAGGCTTCTCCTTTCATTTTTCATATTCCCTCACATGGCTTTATACACTCTTGTGGTTTTAACCACAATATAGGGTTTTTACTGTAGTTATGCTTTCAAATTGTATACTTCTTTTTTTTTTTTTTTTTTTGAAATGGAGTGTTACTCTGTTACTCCAGTCTGGAGTGCAGTGGTACGATCTTGGCTCACTGCAACTTTCGCCTCCCAGGTTCAAGCGATTCTCCTACATCAGCCTCCCGAGTAGCTGGGATTACAGGCATGTGCCAACACGCCTGCCTAATTTTTTATTTTTAGTAGAGACAGGATTTCACCATGTTGGTCAAGCCCGTCACAAACTCCTGACCTTAGGTGATCCGCCCTCCTCGGCCTCCCCAAGTGCTGAAATTACAGGTATGAGCCATCGTGCCCAGCCCCAATTGTATGTTTCTAATATGACTTTTCTCCTGAACTTTAAACTGTGTATCCAACTTCTCAGCACAGTCATATCTTTTGATTCCACAGGTAATTTAATGTCAATATATTTAAAAATGAATTTACCACCTTTATCCCCACTCTTTGACTTTCACCTGCATTTCTGTTTCAATTCTTGTTTCCATCCATTCATTTGCTCACCTAATTCATAAACATGGAAATCATCCTCAATTCCTCTTCTTCTTAGCCCAAAAATTCAATTGTGCAGGTTATGCACTGAGAAAAAGAGCCTCAGGTTAGGGGGATAAATCAGAGATTGGTGAACTTTTTCTGAAGGGCCAAATACTAACTGCTTTAAGCTTGCTTACCATATGGTTTATGTTGCAACTACCAACTCTCCTGCTGTAATGTAAAAGCAACCATAGATAGCATGTAAACAAATGAGACAGGCTGGGTGCCAATGAAAATTCACGAAAATTAATGTAGTTTACTGTCCCTTGGGTGAGAGTTGGGGGTCACTGAAATTCGGACTATGTCTTACTTGGCTAAACCACAGGCCTAGAGTGGGCCATAAATGGAGCTATTGGGCTAGTGATTTTCTTGCCTTAAGCCCCCAGCCCCAAATTTAATAATCACATCATTTTAATTTCATTTTCCAAGTGTATCTTTAATATATGGCTTCTCCTTTCCAAATTCACTGTCATTACCTAAGTTTAGTCCTTGAACAATATTTTAAAGGCTTCCTTATCTGACTTTATATCTTAAAGTCCTACAAATTTATCTTCCTAAAATTCAAATCAAACCATGTCACCAACTTACAGAAAGGGAAAATTCATATATTCTACACACAGCACATTTCATGTAACTTTCTAGGCTCATCTTTCATCATCCTTTTGATGCAGGATTTTCTGCTCCTCAGCTCAGCGAAATCCAGGATCTTGTCTCATGACCAGGAAGAATTAGGCAGGTGGACATAGTGAAGGGTGAGGATGACGGAATTTATTAAGCAAAAGGGGAGTTCTCTGCAAAGAGAGGGGTTTCACCAGCAGTCTCCCACCTCACAATGGAGCACCAGGACTTTCACACACAAACTGAAAAGGCTAGGCTCCTCCCCAGCATAAGGCATGAATTCCTGGTGGTTCCACCAGTTTTCCTACTATGCATGTGGGTGTGCCCAAGCAAACCATAGGTAGTATCAGAAAAGGCAACATTTGATTGGTTAAAAGGCATTATTCACCCAAGCAAACCATAGGTAGTATCAGAAAAGGCAACATTTGATTGGTTAAAAGGCATTATTCAGAAAGAATCAATCGGGAAAGGGTGAGCCAATAGGGGAAGTTCTCCCTCTGGGTCACGGGTTTCATCTGGGACCAGGAGTCTGGCCTTTCAGCCTTTAGACTGTTTTAGGCTTGAAGGTGGGTTTCACAGGGACCCTTCCCTATCTGCCTAGGCATCTGTCTGCCTCCTGCCTCTATCACTTTCTCTTGAGTTTTATATTTTAGCAACACTGAGTCATCTTTGTCCCAGGAAGCACCTACATCTGTTTATCTGCTGTCCCCTCTACCTTTACTACCTTCCCTTCTTCACATTTATACCCAGAAAAGTCACTTCCCCTCCAAAAATTGGGATCAACTGTCATATTTTTATGAATATTTCACTTTAATTCCTCACAACAGCTGACAGAATTAACTACTTCCTCTTCTTTGCAAGTTATTTGGCTCACACAGATATCAGTAATTAAACATATTTTACTGCATTGGCATATATCTGACTAATGTGTTTTTCTCCCGTACTAGGCAATATGCTCCTTAGTCATCTGTGTATCTGAGGTGAGCACAGGGCCTAACTAGCATATGGTGCATTCTCAATGTTCGTTCAACTGCATTGACTTGAATTCCCCTGAAGACTGAAATGTGAAAATAGCTACTCTCGGAAGCCCCTTTCCAGAGAGGTCTAAAATATTTACATGTTTCTATTTTAAATGCAGAAAGAACTTCCAGATCATTATAGGCCTTGGATGGAAATTGCCAACAAACTTCCTCAATTGATTGATGCTCACCAGCTTCAAGCTCATGTGGACAAGGTATTCTTCTCTTCACCCCCTCATCACATTCTGTTTTCATCATCATACCACTTTTCTTTCTTAGCCTTGTGGAAGTGTGTCAATTGTCCTGGGAAACTGTTCATTACCATTGAACTTATCAGCAAAGCTATATCTTCCTTCCTGAAAAACAGAATGACCCCTTCGTAATCTGATACATGTGTTTTCCTAAGGTTTTCAGAGCCAGCACAAAACAATGCCTGACACATGCCAATAACTCACCAAATGTTTGTTTAAAGAAGAATCTGGGTGGGAATGATAAACTAACTAATGGACAAGGTATCGCCTAAGAAGGTCAGCTTGGAAATTCTCAGGTTCCTCATTCCATGTACGTACTCAAGGCTCTGTTGTTACTGAGGGGGTCTAACTTGATTTTGTCCTAGGTGTTATAGAATAGTTAAATGGAGGGAATTTCTGAATTATAAAATTGGCCATGGGTTCTACAAAACATCCAATAAGCCTGTAAATTCCACACAAGTGTTGATTAGGCTGATACAAAGGTAATTGCAGTTTTTGCCATTACTTTTAATGACAAAAACCACAAACACTTTTGTACCAACCTAATAGCTATGTAACCCTGAAAAAGTTACTCAACTCTGTAATCCCATTTCCTTATTTATAAAATGAGAGAAACTCTGGTCTCACAGTATTGTTATGGGAAGTAAATCACTTTCAAAGTGGCCCTTTTGTAGTTCTTGTCCTATAATAGCATTCAGTATACATTCATTACTTCTCTGTAGTCTCTTCTCCATCTGTCCTAATCTATCAGTTTGGAGTACCACATAATTGCGGAAGTCCATGAAAAGTTTTCCGCTCTCCAAAATTTCCCTTTGCTGATGGATAATATTTAATGTCTAGAATTACAAATTCTTTTTAAAATACTCATTGAATGTTTGCTTTGTGCAAAGCACTAGAACCTTGTAAAAGATGAGTAAGGGACTGGCTTCAATGTCTGTGAAGATAGCAAACTAAACAGAGTAATTTCTTTGCCTGATAGATAAAATGTTGTGTTGACATGACCAAAGAAATCCAAAAATAAGAAAAAAACTATCTGTAAACACAGAAAAATAGAGAAAAGTTCCAATGATGGAATAAAAATTTAAAGGATTTTTTTGAACGTATTAAGCAAATCATGTATAAAATCCAGAAATAAGTTTACAGGACCCATGTCAAGGATTTAACCAAAGCAGAGGGAGATCCCCATGAGTCCCCTTTTCCCATCTCAGAATAGCAGAGAAGAGAAGCAAGGGAAGCCTGGAACAGTTGGCAAGAGGGCAGGTTAGAATTCAGTTTGTGAATTATGAGGTCGTCTGCCGTAGGCATTTACCAGGCTTTATTTGATTTAACTGCCATAAAGGAAGAGAAGGACTTGTTAAATTGGGGCTCCTCTTAGCACAGCATTGAAACCAGTCCCTATTCCTTCTTGGCCTTTTGGCTAAAATTGAGTGTGAAATCTATCACCTAACATTTGTACTGGGTTTAGGCTGGGTGTGGTGGCTCACGCCTGTAATCCTAGCACTTTGGGAGGCCAAGGCTGGCGGATTGCCTGAGCTCAGGAGTTCGAGACCAGCCTGAGAAACATGGTGAAACCATGTCTCTACTAAAAATAGAAAAAATTAGCAGGGTATGGTGGCACATGCCTGTAGTCCCAGCTATTTGGGAGGCTGGGGCAGAAGAATCACTTGAACCCAGGAGACAGAGGTTGCAGTTAGCTGAGATCACACCACTGAACTCTAGCCTGGGCCACAGAGTGAGACTCTGTCTCAAAAAACAAAACAAAACAAACAAACAAATATATATATATTAAAATACAAATTTTTACTGGGTTTAATAGTGTCTTCCTAGAAGTCATGTTCATGCATAATCTGTGAAAGTGGTCTTATTTGGAAATAGGGTGTGTACAGATGTATTCGAGTTAAGCTGAGGTGATACTGGATTAAATTGTATATGATGAGTGTCCTTATAAGAAGAGGAAAAATTAAACACAGGAACATAGACTCAAGGGAAAACATCACGTGAAGATGGAGGTAGAATTGGAATGATGCATTGACAAGCCAAGATGTGCCAAGGATTGCTGGCAGTCACCAGGAGTTAGGAGACAGGCATGGAACAGAATGGAACAAATTCTCCCTCAGAGGCTCCAGAAGAAACCAACCCTATTGATACCTTAATTTGGGACTTCTATGACTTCTATCTTCCATAACTGTGGCAGAGTACATTTCTGCTATTTTAAGTCATGATGTTTGTGGTCATTAGTTATGGCAGCGCATAAAACTAACACAACACTCTTGGTCTCTATCGCTTCTTTTTTTTTTTTTTTTTTTTGAGACAGAGTCTCACTCTGTCTCCCAGGCTGGAATGCAGTGGTGCAATCTTGGCTCACTGCAACCTCCAGCTCCCAGGTTCAAGCAATTCTCCTGCCTCAGCCTCCTGAGTAGCTGGGACTACAGGCACCCGCCACCATGCCCATGTAATTTTTGTATTTGTAGTAGAGACGGGGTTTCACCATATTGGCCAGGCTGGTCTCGAACTCCTAACCTTGTGATCCACCAGCCTCAGCCTCCCAAAGCCCTGGGATTACAGGCCTGAGCCACCATGCACGGCCTCTATCCCTACTCTTAATTGCCTGGAAAATACCTAACAAATGAAGGCCAGTTTTTAGACTTTACCACCAAAGGCTGAAATTGAAACAGGAATTGTTTGTGAGAAGCAAACACAATAGTTTCGAGAGACTGAATCAGTTAGCAATTTCCTGTGAGAGGCAAATGTAATAGTTTCTAGAACCACAGATGGAGCTATAACAAAAACATGTGTTCTCTGGATCCTTTACTTGCTACAGACAACACAATAAGTGAATTTACAGCTTTGATCTTACAGTGCACCTAAGCCAACCACCTTGTCTTAGAATGTCTCAACATACCTATCTGTATCTTGAAACAAAATATATTAATTGCCTTAGACCCATTCACTCACATTTCCTAGGAAGACATGATCAGAGGGAGCTATGCAAGAAGAAATCCAGCAGAACTCTGGAAATACAATAAGAAAATCCATATTAGACACTAATCTTAATAAAACTAACCTTCGTTCATGAATTTGAATAGACAAAATTACCAAATAATATGGAAAAAATGGGCAACTCAAAAAGAAGAGGGTAGCCCACTTGGCATTCAGGACCAATGGCCTCCAATAAATAAGATGATATTAGTGCTTTAAATATTTTATTTAGTGTATCCAGTATATTGCCTTCCTAAATTAAGTGAAAGCTGATATATAAAAAGAACTATTAGAAATAAAAAACCACACACATCCCAGAACTCCTCAATATAAACCTAACAAATTCAGTAAAACATTGATTGCAAAAAATATATATAGTGACTTAGGGACTTCCTTGATAAATTTCATAAAGCATAAAGAAAAATCAAAGAGTGCAAACCATCAGAAAAATACAAATATATAAAAAAGAGAAATACAGGTGATCCAAATTCCTTTTAATGGAATCCCATAAGCAGATGGGTGGAGGAAAAGTAAAACTTCCAACATATAAGCACAAAATTTTTAGACCTTAAGAAATATTTGAGTTTTTTATATCAGAAAGACAGTGTTGGGGTGAGGGTTGGGGGGCACATGTAAATACTCAGATAAAATTGTGAATTTTCTAGGGTAAAGAAATCTGCATATTCATAGAAAACAAAAATGAAAAATAGTTTATTTACAGAGTAAATACATACGACTGTTTACCTGTAATGCTAAATATTAAAAGACAGTTTCTTTTCTTTTTTTTGAGACAGAGTTTCACTCTTGTTGCCCAGGCTGGAGTGCAGTGGTGCTATATCGACTCACTGCAACCTCTGCCTCTGGGTTCAAGCAATTGTCCTGCCTCAGCTTCCCGAGTAGCTGGGATTACAGGCACCCGCCACCACACCCAGCTAATTTTTGTATTTTTATTAGAGACGGGGTTTCACCATGTTGGCCAGGCTGGTCTCAAACTCCTGACCTCAGGTGATCCACCCGCCTTGGCCTCCCAAAGTGCTGGGATTACAGGCGTGAGCCACCGTGCTGGCCTAAAAGACAATTTCATACCTATTTGTATGGCTAATTTTTTAAAAATCTGGCCATATCAAAATACTGAAGAGGACGTATAGCAATAGAGACTTTCATTCATTGCTGGTTGAAATGCAAAATGGTACAGCCAGTTTGAAAACTAGCTTGGCAGATTCTTATAAAATGAAACATAGATTTACCATGCAACTCAGCAATGGCATTCCTAAGCATTTATCCAAGTAAATGGAAAATGTATGTTCCCAGAAAAAAAATCCATATATGAATGTTTATAACAGCTTTATTCATAATCACCAAAAAAAAAAAAAAATCTGGAAGAAAACAGGATATCCTTCAACCGGGGAATGAATAAACCAAATTATAATAATTGTAAATTGTGGGATGGATAGTGGAATAGTATTCAGCGATACAAATGATTGAGCAATTAATTTGTGCAATGACAGGGATGAACCTTAAATACATTTACCTAAATGAAAGATGTCAGGCCTATATTGTATGATTCTTTTCAAATGACTTTTTAGAAAGGGCAAAACTAGAAGGATTAAATATAGCTTTATGGTTACTAGAGACAGGTAAGGAGTGGGTAGTTGACTGCAAAGGTAATATATAGGGGAATGTTTAGCATGATGAAACTGTTTTATATGGCACTCAGGTGATGGATATATGGCTCTAGGCACTGAAAAACCCATGGAATTGTATGTCACAAAGAATGGACTTTCATGTATGCAAATTTTAAAAAATAAACCAGAAAATTGGGAGAATACTAGGATGGAATGCAGACTGTGATAAATAAAACTAACTGGACTCTCAGCAAACTAACACAGGAACAGAACACCAAACACCGCATGTTCTTACTTATAAGTGGGAGTTGAACAATGAGAACACAAGGACACAGAGAGGGGAACATCACACACCGGGGCCTGTTGTGGGGTGGGGGGCTAGGGGAGGGAGAGCATTAGGACAAATACCTAAAGCATGAGGGGCTTAAAACCTAGATGATGGGTTGACAGGCGCAGCAAACCACCATGGCACATGTATACATATGTAACAAACCAGCACATTCTGCACATGTATCCCAGAACTTAAAGCAAATTTTTAAAAAAGTAAAAAAAAAAAAAACAAACAACAACACCTAACTGGACTACAAATGCACTATATAACTTCGATGAAGAGAGTGGGGAGTAGGGAAAGGAACGGACTTAAATTACTCCAGAAAATAGTGTTGTGTTGTGACTAGAATCTATAAGGCTTACGGTAAATGAAACTTTACAGGATCACTATACTCTAATTGGTAAATCAGTTTTTCATGGGGTGCGGGTGAACAGTTGTGAAACTGCTTTACATGTAGTCATACCTTTGCATTTTGCAGATATTTCAATTTTTACAAATTGAAGATTCGTAGCAACCTTGCATCAAGCAAGTCTGTCAACCCCATTTTTCCAATAGTGTGTACGCATTTGGTGTCTGTGTGTCATATTTTGATAATTATAACAATAGTTAAAACTTTTTCTTTACTATTACATCTGTTACAGTGATCTGTGATCAGTGATCTTTAATGTTACTATCATAATCGTTTTGAAGGTGCCATAAACTGTGCCCCTATAAGTCCTGAAACTTAATTGATAAATGTATGTGTTCTGACTGCTCCACTGACCAGCCATTGCCCCATCTCTCTCCCCCTCCTCAGGCCTCCTGATTTCCTGAGACATAATAATATTGAAATTAGGCCAATTAATAATCCTACAATGGCCTCTAAGTGTTCAAGTGAAAGGAGTTGCATGTCTCTCACTTTAAAAATCTAAAACTAGAGGCTGGTCATGGTGGCTCAGGCCTCTAATCCCAGCACTTTGGGAAGCCAAGGCGGGGAGATCACCTGAGTTCAGGACTTCGAGACCAGCCTGGCCAACATGGCGAAACTCTGTCTTGACTAAAAATGCAAAAATTAGCCAGGCATGGTGGTGCACACCTGTAATCCTAGCTACTCAGGAGACTGAGGCAGAACAATCGTTTGAACCCTGGAAATGGAGGTTGCAGTGAGCCTAGATTGTGCGATTGCACTCCAGCCAGGGCAACAAGAGTAAAACTCCTTCTCAAAAAAAAAAAAAAAAATATCTAAAGCTAGAAATGATTAAGCTTGGTGAGAAAGTCATGTCAAAACCAGATAGGCTTAAAGCTGGGCCTCTTTTGCCAAACAGCCAAGCTGGGAGTGCAAAGGAAAAGCTTTTGAAGAAAATTAAAAGTGCTACTCCAGTGAACATACGAATGATAAGAAAGCAAAAGAGCCTTATTGCTGGTATAGAGGAAGTTTGAGTATTTTGGATAGAAGATCAAACCAGCCACAACTTCCCTTAAACCAAAGCCTAATTCAAAGAAAGGCCCTAATTCTCTTCAATTCTACAAAGTCTGAGAGGGCTGAAGAAGCTGTAGTAAAAAAGTTTTAAACCAGCAGAATCTGGTTCATGAAGTATGAGGCTAGAAGCCATCTCCACAACATAAAAGTGCAAGGTGAAGCAGCAAGTGCTGATGGAGAAGCTGCAGCTAATTATCCAGAAGATCCAGCTAAAATCATCAATGAAGGTGGCTACATTTATTTTTTATTTTTGTTATTTATTAATTTATTTATTTTGAGACAAAGTCTTGCTCTGTCCCCCAGGCTGGAGTGTGGTGGCATGATGTTGGCTCACTGCAACCTCCACCTCCTAGGTTCAAGCAATTCTCCTGCCTCAGCCTTCCCAGTACCTGGGATTACAGGCATCTGCCACAACGCCTGACTAATTTTTGTATCTTTGGTAGAGACGGGGTTTCACCACATTGGCCAGGCTGGTCTTGAACTCCTGACCTCAGGTGATCCACCCGCCTTGGCCTCCCAAAGAGCTGGATTACAGGCATGAGCCACCACGCCTGGCCAGTGGCTACATTTAAAAATAGGTGTTCAATGCAGACAAAACCATCTTTTATTGGAAGAAGATTCCAACCAGGACTTTTTTTTTTTTTTTTTTTTTGAGACAGAGTCTCACTCTGTCGCCAGGCTGGAGTGCAGTGATGCGATCTCAGCTCACTGCAATCTCTGCCTCCCGGGTTCAAGTGTTTCCCCTGCCTCAGCCTCCTGAGTAGCTGGGACTACAGGCACGTGCCACCATGCCCAGCTAATTTTTGCAGTTTTAGTAGAGACGGGGTTTCACCATGTTGGCCAAGATGGTCTCTATCTCTGACCTCGTGATCCACCCCCCTTGGCCTCCCAAAGTGCTGGGATTACAGGTGTGAGCCACTGCGCCCGGCCCAGGACTTTCATAGTTAGAAAAAAGTCAATGCCTAGCTTGAAAGGACAGGCTGACTCTCTTGTTAGGGGCTAGTGCAGCTGGTGACTTTAAGTTGAAGCCAGTGCTCATTTACCATTCCTGAAATCTTAGGGCCCTTACCAGCTATGCTAAATCTACTCTGCCTGTGCTCTGTAAACGGACAATAAGGCCTGGATGATGGCATATCTATTTACAGCATGCTTTACTGAATACTTTAAGCTCACTGTTGCGACCTACTGCTCAGAAAAAAATATTCCTTTCAAAATATTACTGCTTATTAACAATGCCTCTGGTCACCCAAGAGCTCTACTGGAGATATACAGGAAATAAATGTTGTTTTCATGTCTGCTAACACATTTGTTCTGCAACCTATGGATCAAGGGGTCATTTTGGCTTTCAAGTCTTATTATTTAAGAACTATACTTTGTAAGGCTATTCCTGACACAGATAATGATCCCTCTGAAGAATCTGGGCAAAGTCAAATGGAAACCTGGAAAGGATTCACTATTCTAGATACTATTAAAAGCATTCATGATTCATGGAGGACGTCAAAATAAAAACATTAATAGGAGTTTGCAAGAAGTCAACCCTCATGGATGACTTTGAGGGGTTCAAGACTTGAGCAGAGGAAGTCACTGGAGATGTCGCAGAAATAGTATGAGAACTAAAATTAGAAGTGGAATCTGATTTTATAACTGAGTTGCTGCAATCTTACGATTGAACTTTTCTTTTCTTTTTTTTTTGAGACAGAGTTTCGTTCTTATTGCCCAAGCTGGAGTGCAGTGGCGCAATCTTGGCTCACTGCAGGCTCTGCCTCCCTGGTTCAAGCAAGTCTCCTGCCTCAGCCTCCCGAGTTCCTAGGATTATAGGTGCCTGCCACCATGCCCACCTAATTTTTTGTATTTTTAGTAGAGATGGGGTTTTTCCATGTTGGCCAGGCTGGTCTCAAACTCCTGGCATCAGGTGATCCACCCACCTTGGCCTCCCAAAGTGCTGGGATTACAGGCGTGGGCCAACACCCCGGCTGCATGATTGAACTTTAAGAGATAAGTTGCTTCTTATGGAGCAAAGAAAGTAGTTGCACAACACAGAATTTACTCGTGGTGAAAATACTGTGTTTGAGCTGCTGTTGAAATGTTGCTGAACATTGTTGAAATGATAAAAAAAAATTAGAATGTTCCATAAACATAGTTGATAAAGCATCAGCAGGGTTTGAGAGGATTAACTGCAATTTTAAAAGAAGTTCTACTGGGTGCCGAGCGTGGTGGCTCACGCCAGCACTTTGGGAAGCCGAGGCAGGCGGATCACTTGAGGTTGAGTTTGAGACCAGCTTGGCCAACATGATGAAATACCACTACCTCTACTAAAAATACAAAAATTAGCTGGTCATGGTGGCAGGCTCCTGTGATCCCAGCTACTTGGGAGGCTGAAGCAGGAGAATTGCTTTAACCTGGGAGGCAGAGGTTGCAGTGAGTCAAGATCTCGCCACTGCACTCCAGCCCGGGTAACAGAGCAAGACTCCATCTCAAAAAAAAAAAAAAAAAAAAAAAAAAGTTCTACTGGGGAAAAAATGCTAACAAACAGATTGCATGCATGCAATGGATAAATCTCTTGTGAAAGGAAGAGTCAATTGATGTGGCAAACCGCCTTGTTTTCTTAAGCCACCCCAACCTTCAGCAACCAACATCCTGAACAGTAAGTAGCCATCAGCATCAAAGCAGGGCTCTCCACCAGCAAAGAGATTATGACTCACTGAAGGCTCAGATGATCATTAGCATATTTTAGCAATAAAGTACTTTATAATTAAGGTATAAAGTACTTTATAATGTACATTGTTTTTCTAGACATAATGCTATTGCACACTTTATAGTGTGAACATAACTTTTACATGCACTGGGAAGCCAAGAAATGTGTGTGATTTGCTTTATTGGGATAGTCACTTTATTGTGGTGGTCTGGAATTGAGCCCTGACTATCTCCAGGGTATGCCTGTACATACTGGGGTTGAACAATAAGTAAATAGATGATGGATGATGTTTCACTGTGAGTGAGGGAAGTTATAGATCAGCAAGGGGTAGGAGGGAAAGCTAGAATTAATAAGTGCCACTGGATTAGAGTTGGAGACATCAGTATGAAGTCATGTTTTGTTTAATATTTATAAATATATAAGAATGTATAATACTACTTACATATGCCTATATAATGAGTTATATGTATTTATATATACACACACATGCTTCCTAGATCTATCCACTGCAAGGATCTAGAATTAGTGACATCCCAGTAGCAATGAGCAAACCCACTGCCCAGATAAATACCCTTCTCCAATAACAGGAGCCTGGTCTTCTTGAAGAAACAGCTGATAATTTCCTTTCCTTAGGAAAGGAAACTGTAAGTATGTAAGAAATACTGTGAAACAATGAAATCAGTAAATTTTATGGTCATTATAATCATTGACAATGTGACTGTGAAATAAGAAAATAATTTATAAAATATTATAATAGCATTCTAATTGTGCATTGTGTGTAGGTATATATACTTGTGACCAAGTTGTGTTAAAATGATACAGCTAAACTCCATATTTCTTTTTAACAAAACTGGGGACATAGTGGAGTGAGAGCTGTAAAACGAAAATCATGGGTTTTCTTGTGTTTCGTTTTCTTCTTTTTTTTTTTTCTGAGATGGAGTCTTGCTCTGTCTCCTAGGCTGGGGTGTAGTGGCACAATCTCGGCTCACTGCAACCTCCACTTCCCGGGTTCAAGCGATTCTCCTGCCTCAGCCTCCCGAGTAGTTGGTATTACAGGCTCCTGCCACCACGCCCAGCTAATTTTTTATATTTTTGGTAGAGACTGGGTTTCACCAAAATCAGGCTGGTCTTGAATTCCTGACCTCAAGTGATCCACCTGCCTTGGCCTCTCAAAGTGCTGGGATTACAGGTGTGAGCCACTGTGCCCAGCCAAAATAATGTTTGTATTGGTGTGCTATGCCAGATTATAAAACAAATGAACCAGAAAAATAATATACAGTTAACAGCAAAGTAAGATTTTTCCTATCAGTTTTCATGACATGTTATAAAACCATAGAAATTCTGACCAGATGGCATCAGGGCAGCAATAAACAAGGGAACCAAAAACTTAATAGAGGACCTACATACAGACCCATGTGTGTATGGAATACATACTAAACATATGACAGGGTGAAATGTTGGGAACACGATGGTAAAAACATGAATAGTAATCCATACATAGAGTTGGCACATAGCAAAATGATTAACTGGCTCTGCTCTTTTCACCACAAACAAAAATAAATTCATTCAAGATGGATACAAACTTAAATGTCAAAATCAAAAATGTTTCATCTGTTGGAAGAAAATGTAGGAGAGTATCTTTATGTACTGGGATAAAGGAAGAATTTTCTAGGGCCCGGCACGGTGGCTCACGCCTGTAATCCCAGCACTTTGGGAGGCCGAGGTGGGTGGATCACCTGAGATCAGGAGTTTGAGATCATCCTGGCCAACATGGTGAAACTCCATCTCTACTGAAAATACACAAAATTGGCTGGGCACTGTGGCTCACACCTGAAATCCCAGTACTTTGGGAGGCCCATGTGGGCAGATCGATCACAAAGTCAAGAGATCTAGACCATCCTGGCCAATATGGTGAAAACTCATCTCTACTAAAAATACAAAAATTAGCTGGGCGTGGTGGCACGCACCTGTAGTCCCATCTACTTGGGAGGCTGAGGCAGGAGAATAGCTTGAACCCGGGAGGCAGAGGTTGCAGTGAACTGAGATTGCACGACGGCACTCCAGCCTGGTGACCTGGTGACAGAGCGAGACTCCGTCTAAAAACAAAACAAAACAAAACAAAAGCACAAAATTAGCTGGGTGTGGTGGCATGAGCCTGTAATCTCAGCTACTTGGGAGGCTGAGGCAGGAGAATCACTTGAACCCAGGAGGCAGAGGTTGCAGTGAGCCGAGATCGTGCCATCATGCCACTGTACTCCAGCCTGGGAAACAGAGAAAGACTCCGTCTCAAAAAAAAAATAAAGATTTTTCTAATATGGCACAACATTGGAGTTTTTTTTTTTGTTTTTTTTTTTTGTGACGGAGTCTCACTCTGTCGCCCAGGCTGGAGTGCATTGGCGTGATCTTGGCTCACTGAAAGCTCCACCTCCTGGGTTCACGCCATTCAACATTGGAGTATTTTTATGACATACTTGATATCCTTAAAACAGGACCTCTGTTCATCAAAACAGGCCAAAAGACAATGAAAGCCAAGCTACAAACTGAGAGAAGATATTGTCACACATATAAATGAAAAGAAGATTTGTATCCTGAATATACAAAATCTTGTAAATTGATTGGAAAAACAACCAAATAAAAAACAATGTTCAACAGACATTTTGTGGAATAGAAGACACAAGTTCCCAATATATCATCTGAAAAATGCAAGCTATCATTAATAGTCAAGAAAATGAAAGTTAAAACCATAATGGGATAGCATTTTATAACCATACAACTGAAAAATGCTTAAAGTCTGGCATGAACAGGTATTGGCAGGAATATAAAACACCTGAATCTTTTATTCACTGTGGGTACAACCTCTCTCAAAAACTGCTTGTCATTATCTGGCAATGTTGAAAATATAAATCCTATTAAGAACTTCCTTCTTGTCTATATAAATACCTTAGAGCTTCCTAGGCCTGTGTACCCTGAAAGGTATGAAAGTATCGTTTATCATAGCAAAAAAACATAAAATAACTGTGAAAATAAATAAACTGCAGATGCATCCAGTAATGATGAATGTCAAAGCCATAATGGTGATGAGAAAAGGAAATCATAGAATATCCTGTATTCAGTATAATTCTATTATGTTAAGTTCAAAAGCATTCAAACTAAATAACCAATATATTTTGAGATGGTGTCTCACTTTGTCCTCCAGGATGGAGTGCAGTGGGACCATCCTGGCTCACTGAAACCTCCACCTCCCAGGTTCAGGCTATTCCCCTGCCTCTGCCTCCCAAGTAGCTGGGACTACAGGTGTGCACCACCACACCTGGCTAATTTTTGTATTTTTATAGAGATGGGATTTCACCATGTTGGCCGCTTGTCTCAAACTCCTGACCTCAAGTGATCTGCCCGTCTCAGCCTCCCAAAATGCTGAGATTACAGGTGTGAGTCACTGTGCCTGGCCAATAATATATTGTTCAGTGATCATACATATATGAATTTTGAAGGATATATAAATAGCGAGGAAATAACAAATACAAAATTCAACAAATAGATACTCTCAAGGAGCAAGCAGGATATTACAATCAATGAGAGGTACACAGAGGGTTGCAAAAATTTTGGTCAAGTTCTATTTCTTAAGCTGAGTGATGAGTAAATAAGTGTTTACTTATGTCTACTCTTTAGGTTGTAAATAGATATTACATGTGTTTATATTCACGGTGTACAAATTCATGAAATGCTTCTAATAAATAGGAAGTTATAAGATGCATTTCAAAGTGTTCAGCAGAAAATAGTGCAAACATGTTGCCCTGAATCATGTTGCAGATTCTAAAGAAATGTTCACAATGGTTCCGAGAAGCTCCTCAAACTGCATTTTTGCTTTTAGAGGGAAAATCACATATTTGGCCCTCCCAAACTGAGGCCAGAGACTGTCAAAATGTTAGCTGAGTAGCATTAAGAAAAGGGCTGAAGGTAGAGTACCTTTCCATTTTGATGGAAACCCACAAATTAGTATTTCTGTTTTTAGTCCGATATTATTTCTATTAATTCATAGACTTTTAATACACCTGTCATCAGGGACAAATAATTTTGTGCTCATGTCCTCAAAGTCATTTACAATTCAGAACAAATTGACTTAGAAATAAAATGTGATTAATATTTTTTATTTATTTGTGAGAAAAGTATTAATAATTTTCTAATAATGTATCTTTCAAATGTGTCTAGACGTAATAAAAATAATTATATAACACTCAAAATAAATTATTAAACAACAATGAACTAAAAAAAATTTTAGAACATTTATATGAAAGATTAAGATCCATAATACAAAATGTATTCTATGAAATCAGTAAGATGAATGATTGATGGGGAAAGATGGGCAAATAATATAAGTAGTTAAGACAGTGAAAGATATTTGAATTGATGATAAACAGGCAAAAATGCTCAATCTCAAGAATAAAACAAAAATGCCAATGAAAACAATGAACTACCTGGTTTCGGCTAAGAGAGTGTCAATAAATTTAAAATGTACTTAATAAATAACTGCTGTTATAATGCTCACCTGGTTCTTGTTAAAAAGCAACATCTCAAGGCTGGGCATAAGTAAGCCTAGCACTTTGGGAGGCCAAGGCGGGAGGATTGTTCCAACCCAGAAGTTTGAGTTTGAGACTAACCTGGGCAACATAGTGAGACCCCCATCCCTACAAACAATTTTAAAATTAGCCAGATGCAGTGGCACATGCCTGTAGTCCCAGGTACTCAGGAGGCTGAGGCAGGAGGATTGCTTGAGCCCAGAAGTTCAAAGCTGCAGTGAGCTATGATTGCTGTACTGCACTCCAGCCAGGGTAACAGAGCAAGATCCTGTTTCTAAAACAAAACAAAACGAAACAAAACAAGTAACATCTCAACAGTACTCCCTCCTTCCAGCTGTGCCTCCCCTGCAAGCCTAGGGCACATTCTAGTTGTGATTCTGAAAGCCAATTTTATTTTTATTTTTAATTTTTGTGGGCACATAGTCGGTGTATACATTTATGGGGTACATGAGATGTTTTGATACAGGCATGCAACATGTAATAATCACATCAGAGTAAACGGAGTGTTTGTCACCTCAAGCATTTATCCTTTCTTTGTGTTACAAACAATCCAATTACACTTTCAGTTATTTTTAAATGTACAATGTTATTGTAGCCTCCTGTTGTGCTATCAAACACTAGCTCTTATTCATTCTATCTAGCTGTATTTTAGAACCCCTGGGGATGGTGAATGAGAGCTCATTTTTGGGAGGAAGAAGTGCGCAGTCTGGCCATGGGGAGGACAGCGGGTGAAGGACCAGCCTGAGGATACCCCAACCTCAACCCGGGCCTGCGCTGGAGGAGCCCCAGCTCTGTGCCCACGTGGCGGTGCCTGGAGATTAAAAGGACAACAAAAACACCCCCTGCCGCCCTCCTTTCTGGCGCTTCGGACCCGGGAGGGGACCACCCGGGAAGATCCAGATCAGTCTGTGTCTAGAGCTGGGGAGTGGGCTGGGGCGAGGGGAAGAGGCGAGCAGAGGGGACGCGCCTGGTAGCCGAATTCAGAGGCCGCTGCTGTCAGGCAGGGCAGCCCCGGGCAGCGCGGAGAAACTGCTGATACTTGTTTACCAAGTGTTGCTTTCAACCATGATACCGCCTTTACGCGTCACAGTGATGCTGTGTCTTCCCCATTATGGCAACAGGGCTATAGGCATGGAGGGCGGGGGTGGAGGGGGTGTGAAAAGCCCCAGGCAGCGTCAGGGGTTGTGCTCCTGCTCCTGTTTGATAGAGAGAGGAACACCCACCGCACAGGGCTGTTGCAGGGTCAGCGATAGCAAGCAGGCCACAGTGTTTGGATAAGACAGGCTTGTAAAAGTTGCCATGCAAGACTCCTAGGAAATAAGTCCGCTCAGTCCTGGGAGTTAAGTATCCTACAACATTCCAGCCAAGCAGTGGCTTCAGGGATGGAGACGGGAGGCTGCCACAGCCATGGGGACAAACTGTGGGCTCGGGTGGGCGGTTAGGTTCTTCCTGAGCAAAGTCGTGTGGACCACCTCCTATACTACAGGGTCCTGGGTCTGGGGATAAATGGGTGTGTGTGCGGGCTCTTTGTACCTTCATTAAAATATAACCCATTGCCTTCCACCCAAAGGTCCCTTCACATCCCAGGTCCCCGGCCCCCGTTACCTCCCCTGTCCCGGTTCCCATCCCTCCTCTGACGGCATTTGGACTTTCATGAACAGATGCCCCTGCTGAGCTGCCAGTTCCTGAAGGGTCACCGGGAGCAGCGCCTGGCCCACCTGGTCCTGAGCTTCCTCACCATGGGTTATGTCTGGCAGGAAGGAGAGGCGCAGCCTGCAGAGGTGAGGGCCAGAGAGCAGCTTCTCCTGTTACCCGGCAGGTTACCTGCGCCTGGAGTAACGTGCTCCCTGCTTGGTGCTACCCTGTTTTCCTGGAAAATGGGTACTTTCTTCTTCTCGATGGGCATCAGTTTAAGCAACGATGAAGGGCTCATTTATTATTTATTATTATTATTTTTTTATTTTATTTTGAGCCAGTCTCACTCTGTCACTCAGGCTGGAGGGCAGTGGGGTGATCTTGGCTCACTGCAACCTCCCCTTCCAGGTTCAAGCAATTCTCCTGCCTCAGCCTTTCTTGTAGCTGAGACTACAGGCACCCACCACCACACCTGGCTAATTTTTGTATTTTTAGTAGAGATGGGTTTCACCATGTTGCCCAGGCTGGTCTCGAACTCTTGACCTCAGGTAATCTGCCTGCCTGGGCTTCCCACAGTGCTGGGATTATAGGCGTGAGCCACTGCGTTCAGCCTGAAGGGCCATTTAAATGAAGGATTTTTTTATTTTAATTTTTCTGACTAAGAGCTAATTTGTTTTTTAAACTGGTAGCTATTTCTTCCTTTTATAAGCTTTTGAATGTTTGTTTGTTTGTTTTTGGCACTCTCTTCCAAGAATGTTTGAAGACCTGCATTTGAAGGCAGATTGCCTTTTTGCTTTAAAACAGGGTTGCACCATGTTGCCCAGGCTGGAGTGCAGTGGTGCAATCATAGCTCACTGCAGCCTCAACTCCTCCCAGGCTCAAGCAACCCTCCCACCTCAGCCTCCTGAGAAGCTGGGGCTACCAGCATGTACCGCCACACCCAGCTAATGTTAAAAATTTTTTGTAGAGATGAGGGTCTTGCTGTTTTGCCCAGGCTGATCTTAAACTCCTGGCCTCAAGTGATCCTCCTGCCTTTGCCTCCTGTGCTGGGATTACAGGCGTGAGCCACCATGCCGGGCCTGAAGACAGACTCTGAGAATTCATAAAAACCTCACAGCATTTTGTACTCTTATGTATATAAATTATCTAGGTTGCTCTTCATAATCCTGTAAAGTAACAAGAGCCATACCGGCCCATTTTACAACTGAAAAGCACAGACACTTATTTCCTTAATCAAGGTCAGACAGCAAATTAGTGGAAAAGCCAAGGCCAGAACCCAGGTCTTCTGATTTTACTAGTGCAGCCTTCTTTCCCCAGGGGACACATTGACATTTACAACACTCATCTTTATTTTTTTTTTAATACTGCTTTCTATCCAGCCAATTATTAGTCTGTCTTTTAATAATTCATCCAAATCTCTTCTGAATCATTGCATAACTTTGTACAGTTTCCACCCACAGTGTCTTTTACTTTTATTTTTGGAAGTAACTGTTTTTAAAAGTTACTGTTATTTTTAAAAGTGTGCCTTCCCCAGAAATCAGGGAGTTACCCATGTCCTAGAACTCCACGGTGAAGAGAACAGCCTGTGCCCATCGTGTTTGCCTGATTGATCCTACCTCTTGTCTCTCGGGGAAACACAGGAGACTCAGGGAAGAGGAAAAGTGTAGAGTCATTGCAGCCTTGTTATTTGTCAATGCATCTCTTTT
Organism: Homo sapiens; assembly: GCF_000001405.40. Lineage (NCBI taxonomy): Eukaryota > Metazoa > Chordata > Mammalia > Primates > Hominidae > Homo > Homo sapiens. The sequence goes on from NC_000008.11 coordinate 39,980,747, forward strand.
CTTTTTCTTTTTCTTTTTTTGATACAGAGTTTCACTCTTGTCGCCCAGGCTAGAGTGCAGTGGCGTGATCTCGGCTCACTGCAACCTCGGCTTCCTGGGTCCAAGGGATTCTCCTGACTCAGTCTCCTGAGTAGCTGGGATTACAGGCACCTGCCGCCACGGCCAGCTAATTTTTTTTGTATTTTTAGTAGAGACGGGTTTCACCACGTTGGCCAGGCTGATCTCGAACTCCTGACCTCAGGTGATCCACCCACCTGAGCCTCCCAAAGTGCTGTGATTACAGGCATGGGCCCCAGCACCCGGCCAGTGCATTGCATTTTTTTTTTTTTTTTCGAGACGGAGTCTCACTCTGTCACCCAGGCTGGAGTGCAGTGGCACGATCTTGGCTCACTGCAAGCTCCGCCTCCCAGGTTCACGCCAGTCTCCTATCTCAGCCTCCCAAGTAACTGGGACTACAGGCGCCCACCACAACGCCTGGCTAATTTTTATATTTTTAGTAAAGACGGCGTTTCACCATGTTAGCCAGGATGGTCTCGATCTCTTGACCTCGTGATCTGCCCGCCTTCGCCTCCCAAAGTGCTGGGATTACAGGCGTGAGCCACCGTGCCCGGCGTGCATTTTTAAAAGTGTGTCTGATGCTGAAAAGTTTGAAGTCTAGGCACGTCCCAGTGGGTCCTCTTTATACCATCCCCTCTGCAAACCATTATCCTAAATTGGGGTTTGGGGGAGAGAAGAGTGACAGTGGAAAGAAGTCTCCACCTCCCAGCTGTGCCCTGGTAGTTCCAGGGGACCCGGAGGCTCCCCACACCCACCACCCCGCCTCAGATCACCTTTCACTTTCTTTGTTTCTCCTCCCTTGACTTTTCAGCTCAGAAAGTACCTGGCTCTCCAATGCCTTCTGAGGAAAGTTTACCCGAGGTTCACATTGCAAGACTCATTAAAGCTCTTTAGTGTTTTCCACCCGAGAAAAAATTCAAGGGAAAAATGAAGACAAAAGCAGGGCATTCTTAATGGATATTTTATCTTAAGGAGAAATGAAAATGGAGATGGAAGAGGGGGCACAAGGATGGGGTTTGAATCTAGACTCGTTCAGCCTTTACCTCCGATAGAGAACCTCATACAGCTTTTCTGGACTTCTGGCTGATAAAGAGCCGTGGAGGGTTCCTTGGATAAAAAAGGTTGAAGGGGGTCTGTCCTGTGGTGGCTTACTTGAAGGTATTACTGGGTTTGACTTATGGAGTAAGAGACGGAGTCAGTTTCCCCACAGGCTGAGGCAGTCTGTCCTCATGCTTTTCTAGGGCACTGTGGTCTCCCAGGCTCATACCTAGGTGCACACACAGGTTTCTGCATCTAGCTTTGTATCTCTATGAGTCGGTCAATCAATAAATCTATCTATCATCTGTCTACTGATCTATCATCTATCTATCTAGCTAGCTATCATCTCTCTATCATCTATCTATGTATCTATCATCTCTCTCTATATATGTGTGTATATATATATATATATGTATATATATATTTCTATCCTTCCATCTACTTACCTATCTATCAAAATTTTTTTCCGTTGATAATATTCTCGGGCCCCAGTTTATGTTTAATTGTTTTGGTAATGCCTTTCTTTGCACAGTCAGTTTACAGAGGTTATTTTATATTCTATATGTATGTGTGGTCCAGCGTTGTAATTTTCACATATATTGCACCGTGTACTCATAAGCAGTATTTCCACTGGGTCATTAACAGAAAGATATGTGTGCGGCATATGAATGTGCATCACTCAGGTAATTCAAGCTTGGTTCCCAGATCATTTCTGTACCACAGGATTGCCGAAATAAAAGACAACCATGGTTATTTCCTCTGCTGCAAGCTTTCTAGAATATGCTATTTGTCTGGATTTATATCTGAAAGGTCCTGCCAAGGAATCTTGCCCTTCCATTTGTCGAAGTCTCCAGGAACTTGGGGCTCCCTCCTATCCTGGTCCACTCAGACTTGGTGCTGACGAACTGGACCAAAAAAGATCCAGACGGGTAAGGAAGGAAGAGAATGCTTTGAATTTCCATAACTTTCCCCCAGGAAACACCCAGGCTTTTTTTTATAATTAGGGAAGTTCATATTTATGGTCTGCCGTATGGTTCCAAAGAAGGGGTGAGCTTGACCAAAAATTCAAATATCACAGGCCCCAGAAGTTTCCTCTTAATCCATTCTGAACACATTGGCTCAGACCATTTTGTCTTGTTTGTTTCCACATGACGTGTGAATTTCTCAACCTGACCTTCAAGCTCCTGCAAAATCAGCTTTTATTTGTTCTTTCTCTTCAAACTGTTTATTCCCTAAGATGCCCTCCATTCATATCAGGTTAAAACCAGTTGGCTTTGATAAGTAATCATTATATAATGATCAGAAGAGAATGATTATGGATGAATTCAGAGCAGATGCTCCAGGTGGGTTGGATTGAGAATTTGATTAATAATTCCATCTATTCCACCAAAGTCACATCATTCCTTTGACAGTTGGGCTGGGAATAGGGGCATTTGTCTACAGAAGGAATAGCATGAGATTTTAACAAACAAGAAATTCAACAAACAGAATTAGACAGATGATCTGAGATGTTAAATTTTCCTTTCACCTTAATTTTTGCAGCCAAATTTATTTCAGCTCTAGATGAAAGAGACAGCACTTTCTTTTGTGGCTGACTACAACAGCTGAAGATTCACTGAGGTTTGATATGAGGAAGAACTTCCTCAGCCATGGGATTGCCAGAGGCGATGATGGGAATCTACTTAAAAGGGTTACATATTTAGTAGACAGCCTAGATTTTAAGACTAATTTATGTGCCCCGGCCGGGCCCGGTGGCTCACCCCTGTAATCCCGGCACTTTGGGAGGCTGAGGCAGGTGGATCATCTGAGGTCAGGAGTTGAAGACCAGCCTGGCCAACATGGTGAAACCCCGTCTCTACTAAAAATACAAAAAAATTAGCCGGGCATGGTGGCACATACCTGTAATGCCAGCTGCTCGGGAGGCTGAGGCAGGAGAATTGCTTGAACGAAGGAAGTAGAGGTTGCAGTGAGCGAAATCATGCCATTGCACTCCAGCCTAGGTGACAAACTCTGTCTCAAAAGAAAAAAAAATTATGTGCCCCATTGGAAGAAGTGAGATTCGGCCATCTCATCTCTCTCGGGAGCTCTGAGCCCTGGAGTTTTATGTTTTCTGCAATTATGAATTGTGATCCTTGATTAATTATGCTTTAATAATAAAATGGGTGACTACTGAAAGCTGCTGAATCTGGGTAAGAATTTGGATGAAAAAAATAATATATGTGCGTAATTTATTCTGTTCAAGGTACTGAATATTGAATAAGCTGGATTTATTACTCAAAGAGAAAGACAGAATAAGAGAAGGTTGAAGGGAAAAATGACTGTACTAGAATGGTAGTCAAAAATGCAACAACAGGCAGGTGCAGCGGCTCATGCCTATAATCCCAGCACATTGGGAGGCCCAGGTGGGCAGGTCACCTGAGATCAGGAGTTTGAGACCAGCGTGGCCAACATGGCCAAACCCCCTCTCTACTAAAAATACAAAAATTAGCCAGGTGTGGCAGTGGGTGCCTGCAATCCCAGCTACTCAGGAGGCTGAGGCAGGAGAATCACTTGAACCTGGGAGGCAGAGGTTGCAGTAAGCTGAGACTGCACCACTGCACTCCAGCCTGGGTGACAGAGTGAGATCCTATCTCAAAAACAAACAAAACAAAACAAAACAATAACAAAAAAGCTATTAATAGCTTCCTAGGGAGTAAGAGTGAAGGGCTAGTTTAATTCCAGAGATGCGGACACAGTCCTGGGTCTCACCAATTATTCTGCTTGGTAATTACCTTTTGAAGCCTTTTAATATGCCTAACACAGAGCTAAGTGCTATGAAGAAATGAAAGAAATAGAAGCAAAGTACTCCCCATGTGGTTAAATAACAAGACACTACATGACAAATGTCAAAGAGTGACTCAAACAATATGTCCTTTAGAATTTCAGAGAAATGACATCAATGCAGGCTTTACAAGTCAGTAAAAATCTTGGTGATGAGGCAGAACTTGATGTAAGGCAAATCCTAAAAGTTGAGTAGGAATCAACTAGCTAGAATAAAATGTGGGGTTGTGGTAAATACAAAAATGTAAGATGAGTGAAATAACTTATTTATTTATTTATTTATTTTCAGAGACGGAGTCTCCCTCTGTCTCCCAGGCTGGAGTGCAGTGGCATGATCTCGGCTCACTGCAACCTCTGCCTCCTGGGTTTGAGCAATTCTCCTGCCTCAGCCTCCTGAGTAGCTGGGATTGCAGGCACCTACCACCACACCCGACTAATTTTTGTATTTTTAGAGAGATGGGGTTTTACCACGTTGGCCAGTCTGGTATCGAATCCTCGACCTCATAATCCACCTGCCTCAGCCTTCCAAAGTGCTAGGATTACAGGCATGAGCCACTGTGCCCAGCCTAATAATATATTAAGATGGCCACAGGCCAAATATTCTGGGGCTGGAATGTGAGTGGAAATGTCGCTCACCCTTTATCACATAGCACCCCATAGTCCAGCCACAACTTGCAGAATTCAAAGTAAGTGTGGATGTGTGTGTGCCTGCAGTGCCTTGCACACAAGTGTGCATGCCTGTGGACATGTGACCCTAGAAGTTATTAATATATCTGGTTTACAAACTGAATTGTTCTTTTATTTTTTTTCTCTCTTGGTGGTCATCAATAACTGAAATTGGGCTAGATTCCTGGAAATTGGGTAAGTTCTCAGAAATCATTTACGCACTTTAGAATCCAGGCCAAATTTAAAATCTTACAATAAAACAAAGAACAAAGCATGCTAAATTATATGTATAATATAATATCAACCATATAAAATGCATAAAAAATATACTAGAAGGAAATGTGCCTAAAATTCACAGTCTAAAATTTAACAGTGATTGCCTCTTCCTTGTATAGATAAGGGATTTTTTTTTACTGTATTTTCCAGTCTGTACATAATAAAACAAGTAATGTGCAATGCAAACAAAACAAAATGAAACTTTATCAAATTTCAGTAACTCCTTGAAGTTTAATTTTTTTTTTGAGACTGAGTCTTAGTCTGTTGCCCAGGTTGGAGTGCAGTGGTGTGATCTCGGCTCACTGCAACCTCTGCCTCTGGGTTCAAGGGATTCTCCTGCCTCAGCCTCCCGAGTACCTGAGATTACAGGCACCCACCACCACACCTGGCTAATTTTTGTATTTTTAGTTGAGACAGCGTTTCACTATATTGGCCAGGCAGGTCTTGAACTCCTGACCTCAGGTGATCCACCCGCCTTGGCCTCCCAAAGTGCTGGGATTGCAGGCGTGAGCCACTGCACCCAGTTGAAGTTTAATAGTGTGAAAAAAATATTTCTCATCTCACTATATCTTCTATGGGAGGCCAGATTGCAGATTGTCTACAGAAAAATCCCTTCAAAAGACCTTGTTATTACATAGACTGGAGCTCATGGGGCAGGTCTGGTCCACACATCCTTAGGCTCCGCTTCTCCTGGAAAACAAAAATAGCCTCTGATCCAGTGTTGCCTCTCCCATCACCAAACCTCAGCTTCTATCGCCAAACTCATCAAATAAGAGTGTCCAGTAGAAAAACTGGGCAGATGGGGGCACAGAAGGTGAAGACATCATTTCCCAAGCTAATGTTGCTGCTGGAACAATGTAAGTCTTGACTTTGTCTTGGTTTGGTTTGGTTTGACATTGGTTTGTTTTTCATCTTTGTCTCATGCTTAAAATGTGAAGGGCAAATATGATCCTTAGAGTTAAGGTTTTAGGTTTTGTAGATGTTTTACTCCATTTAAATGACAGCAGATCATTTAGAAATGATTCCTCTGTAACAGCCTTCCAGATCCCATTCGATTGTACAGCATTGAGATAGATAGATAGATAGATAGATAGATAGATAGATAGATAGATAGACGGAATTTGGCCCTGTGTTCCCACCCATATCTCATGTCAAATTGTAACCCCCACATGTCAGGAGAGGGATCCAGTGGGAGGTGACAGGATCATGGGGTTGGATTTCCCCAATGCTATTCTCATGATAGTGAGTTCTCACAATATCTCATTATTATTATTATTATTATTATTATTGCAACAGAGTCTCACTCTATCTCCCAGGCTGGAGTGCAGTGGTGTCATCTCGGCTCTCTGCAACCTCTTGCCTCAGTCTCTTGCGTAGCTGGGATTACAGGCATGCCCCGCCATGCCCAGCTAATTTTTGTATTTTTAGTAGAGACGGAGTTTCACCATGTTGGCCAGGCTGATCTCGAACTCCTGACCTCAGGTAATCTGCCTACCTCGCTCTCCCAAAGTGCTGGAATTACAGGCGTGAGCCACTGTGCCTGGCCAGTTCTCACAAGATCTGATGGTTTAAAAGTGTGGCACTTCCCCCACCTCCTGCCGCCATGTAAGATGCTTGCTTACCCTTCCACCATGATTGAAAAGTTTCATGAGGCCTCCTAGCCATGCTTCCTGGTAAGCCTAAGGATCTCTGAGTCAATTACACCTCGTTTCTTTATAAATTACCCAGTCTCAGGTATTTCTTTATAGCAGTGTAAGAATGAACTAATACACACATAAACAGATTAGAGGCAGCACTGGCCTGAGTTGTGAAACTCTTCCCAGCCTGGTCCTGCGATTAGCTGGCTATATGACCTTGGACAAGCTGCTTTGCTTCTCTGGGCCATGGTTTCATACCTGCAAAAAAAAGAGCATGGACTTGGCTGTTGCCTGGGTCTCTCTAGCCCTGTGGAGAATCAGCTACATCTCTTACTAGGAACTTCTCATTCAGCCAGTTATTCCACTGCGGAGATGGTCCAGGACCATTAGGGCCATGCTAGACATTGGGAGGCTGCCTGTCAGGTGAACATGAAATTGAACTTATCTGTTCTCTTTCCTCCCTGAATGTTGCTGAAGGTAGATGCCCATCCTCAGGGCTGTCTTACGGAGAGGAGAAAGTTGTGCAGTGATTCCACCCTGCAGTTATCTAACTCGGCAGGGAACTCTGGGCAGTGAGTACTCACGGTACAGTCTCCACACCTCTAATCATGTGCTCCTCTCCTTCCCAAGGAACCTGGAGACCATCATCTCATTTCCTGGGGGAGAGAGCCTGCATGGTTTTATACTGGTGACTGCTTTGGTAGAGAAAGAAGCAGTGCCTGGGATAAAGGTATCTTCTCACTTGATAGCACCTTTTCTTTTTAAATGAGCTTGAGCTTTACTTCCCACTCAGTGCCTTTCCTGCAGTGGATTTCTCAACACAAATGAACATAGACCTTGTCCTGCTTAGTTCAAGTCTGAGAGAAGAGATCTAAGCTCTAGGCCACCATATTTGCTCCCTTTTCTCAATTCCTATAAAACTCGGAATGGACCTTTTGTCCATTCAACAAACAGGCATTGGTTTGGGCAATGGGAAATTGGATCGAACAAGACAGACATTTTCCCAGCCCTGACAGAAGCTTATGATGGATACAGTGGATGAAGATGGATTAACGTGGATTACAGGTGTGAGCCACTGCACCGGGCCTCAAACTGGAAATTCTTCAGGAGTCAGACAGGTATCAGGAAGGCTGGATAGAAGACAAAAGACAGTGATGCAGCTTGTGATCAACTACAGCGTTAATGCCTTGCCTAAAAATATTTCAGTTAGATTTCTGCCTTCGCTCTGTCGCTCAGGCCAGAGTGCAATGGCGTGGTTTTAGCTCACTGCAATCTCCACCTCCCAGGTTCAAGCAATTCTCCTCCCTCAGCCTCCTAAGTAGTGCACGCCACCACGCCTGGCTAATTTTTGTATTTTTAGTAGAGACAGGGTTTCACCATGTTGGTCAGGCTGGCCTCGAACTCCTGACCTCGTGATCTGCTTGCCTCAGCCTCCCAAAGTGCTGGGATTACAGGTGTGAGCCACCCTGCCCAGCCAACACTACCTCCCTTGATAAGCATATGTTGAGCACCTACTGGTCCTCAATAGGGTGACCCATTTCTGCTATATTATAGCGCTTTCTTTCTCTCTCAGTAGTTAAACTCCATGGTTACTTTAGTTCTCATCCATGTGTTTAGTCCATTAGAAGATACAGAGTCAAATATCGGCCTTCCAAGTGTAGTTCAGATGAAGTAGAGACTCAAGGAAGACAAGGAAGTCTTCCCAGCAGAGGGGATTCTAGAGCTGGGGGCTCTGTAGAATCTGTCTGTGTATTAGTCCATTTTCACACTGTTATAAACATACTACCTGAGACTGGGTAATTTATAAAGGAAAGAAGTTTAATTGACTCATAGTTCTGCATGGATGGGGAGGCCTCAGGAAACTTACAGCCATGGAGGAAAGTGAAGGGGAAGCAAGAACCTCTTCACGAGGCAGCAGGAGAGAGAGCAAAGGGGGGAGCTGCCAAACACTTTTATACAATCAGATTTTGTGAAAACTCTCCCTCGTATCATGAGAACAGTATGGGAGAGCCCACCCCCATAATTCAATCACCTCCCACCAGGTCCCTCCATCAGCCTGTGGGGATTACCATCCAAGATGAGATTTGGGTGGGGACACAGATTTCAACACAGATTTAAATCTGACTTTATATGAGAGCTTCGGAGCAAGGATGCCCCAGTTGGAGATGCAGTAGAACTGATCATAACGTGACAAATCCGAGAGAAGAAGAGTAAAATAATAGTACTCAGGCCCTTGGGAGGTGCAAGAAGTAACAGCCAGATGAAATTCCAGAAACACTTACCTAGGGGTCTGTCTGGGAGGTCCCCAGGGAGCTTCTGGCTGTCAGGCCAACCCCACAGTGGATCTAGCTTAGGACGTTCCCAGGAAGCTCTGACAAACTGTCCGGTCCTCCCCTGGGTTCCAACAGTATGAGGCTTACTCTGCCTGCATGGACTTTAAGGGAGTGCTAATAAGTTGTGTACATGCATCTCATCCCTAGGCTCTTGTTCAGGCCACGAATGCTATCTTGCAGCCCAACCAGGAGGCCCTGCTCCAAGCCCTGCAGCGACTGAGACTGTCTATTCAGGACATCACCAAAACCTTAGGACAGATGCATGGTAAGATGCTTCCGAAGCTCCTGAAGGATCCCCCAGGGGTCCTGGGCTCTGCTTAGGGGAAGAGGGCCTGGGGACCAGGCATGTCCTGAAGGGGGTGATAATACATTCATCCACCAGATGACGCTGGTGGACTATCTTTGTTTTAGGTTAAACACATATTATCTTGGAGAGCTATTGTCACAGCTTTGTATTCTCCCTCTCCTTTATATTCTCCCGTGATTAAGATGGTTTCCCTTCTGCAGTGGCCAGATATTTCTTAGGCATGTTGAGGTCTTGCCTGAAGCTTGAGAGGAGGGGATGGGATGCACAGTAATGTTGGTCGCGCGTGCCCCATCCTGCAGTGTTAGGTACTGCAGAGCAGGTTGTCTACACTCTGTAATGCCCCTTTTATTCTAACCCCCTGTGTTGGTTCCTGAGATGTCTGACCTTGGTTTTAAGCCTTGTCTAATGGATGGCCTGTATTCCCTTTCTGTAGCTAGGGCAGGCTGATTTGTCAAAGGTAGGAAAGTTGTCAGAATCAAAATGGAGTCACTTGTGTTGAATAAAAATTTTTAAACCTTGACAAATAGAGCTGGGGAAGGCTACAAAGAGAGAGCTCCCGTGTATAAATGCCTGATAACAAAATCTTTTCCAAAGGACTGAAAAAATCACCACCTTGCACAAAGGCCATCACAACCTTACATACACAAAAAAATACTTACACAACGACATCTGCCCAGCAACTGCCTTTCCAACATTGGCCTTGTGCCACCCTTTTTATTGATGCTCATAGCCAAGGTTAATGATCTCAAAACAGTTACATAATTGTCCTCATTTTTCCTTTAAAAACCTTTGTCTTCCTTTATCTTTCTGAATACCCACATGGTTTATTATGGCACATGTATTCCCATTGCAATGCCCTATTCCAGAATAAATATCAGTTTCCATTAGGGAGCCTCTCCCTGTTAATCTGCTTAACACAGGCATGGTCAGTTACGGGGCCCAACCTTCCTGGACCGGTTACATCTTATTCTGGTTACTGCATTCAGTTTCCAACATCTGGGAGGCTCTTCAAATTCTTCTCTCAGAGGAATCTGAAGAATGTATGTGTTTAGGAGGATGTGAGAGAGGGGTGTGGTTTCTTAACAAGAGAATATCAGAGTCTAAGTATCATTTTCCCTGAATCTTGCTTCCCTGCAGGAAAGAAAGATTCTGGGAAAAGAGAGTGTTTACAAGAAGCAGGACTGGAGGGAGGGAGAAAGACGCTAGGTACTGCCAAGCTTTATTATCTTGTATTAAAAAAGTAAATATAATTTGTCATCCCAGCCTCTCAGCACTAGTAGAAATCTATCTGAAGTCACAGGATTAGGTATTATCCACTTCCTGGTTTTATAGTTTATATTTGTATTTTCTCTATTTCCTTGAATTTTAATTTTAAAGCCCTCATGATCACATCAGTAGGTCTTCTGCCAAACAGCTCCCTTAAGTTGTATGGTGGCTTTGCCAAGCTGAAATGAGATGAGATGTGTTTTAGCTTTGCCAAGAAAGCCTGAGTCCATCACTTAGGATAGCAAGGCTATTAGGGAGATAGTGCAGGTGTCTTCAGATCACATGGATGAGCAAAAGGAAGCAATTTTGGAAGATTATGAGAAACCTTCCAACAGGTCCCAGTGTACATAGCAGTAAGATGGTGCATGCAGTGTCTAACTGTCACAGGCTTTCCTAGGGCTCACTTTCAGACTCACTTCTTTTTTTTTTTTTTTTTTTTTGTGAGATGGAGTCTCACTCTGTCACTCAGGCTGGAGTGCAGTGGCACGATCTTGGCTCACTGCAAGCTCTGCCTCCCGGGTTCAAGCGATTCTCTTGCCTCAGTCTCCCTAGTAGCTGGGATTATAGGCATGCACCACCATGCCCAGCTAATTTTTGTATTTTTAGTAGAGATGGGGTTTCGCCATGTTGGCCAGGCTGGTCTCGAACTCCTGACCTCAGGTGATCTGCCTACCTTGGCCTCCCAAAGTGCTGGGATTACAGCCGTGAGCCACTGCGCCCAGCTCAGACTCACTTTTTAGGCCCAGGCCAACCTGCTGTGTTCTCCTGCTCAGCTTCTGCAGGAGGTCTCATCGTCTAAGGAGGTCCCAGGGCTACCGCCCTTGTTTTCTCAAAAGGCACATTTTCCCACACAGACATAATTTCGTTTCAGTGTTTTACTCCTAGTCACATTCATCTATATGGACAAATAGCTGAATGGATTGGACTGTGTTTTCTAAAGATGGCCCCATGCCATCCTGCGCGCTCCTCCACAGCGTGGCCTGGGCATTCCTTTCGACCAGGGGTGGACTCTGTGCCCCTACTTGTGATGTACGTGTTGCCAATAGAATGTAGTATAGGGGATAGCACAGACTTCTGAGGCAAGACTAGAAGAGGTGATGCAGGTTTAACCTTGTGTCCTGAGCCACTAGGTAAAAAGTCCACCTACCCTGAGATCACTCTGCTGTGCAAACGACACAGGCAAACCACATCAAAGAGCCATGTGGGTTCTCCAGTTGGCTTCTGCCCAGGAGTGAAGGTGCCCTCAGATGGTTCTAGGCTCCCATCCCAACTTATGTCCTGTCTTGAAGTCTTCCCAACTGAGGCACCAGCCACTGTGGAGCAGAGTCAAGCCATTGCCATCTTGTTCTGCCCAGATTCCCCATCAACAGAATATAGTGGTTTTTTCACACCTCTATGTTTGGAGTGGTTTCTATGCAGCAATAGTAACCACAAGAAATAAAGTTATAAAAATAGTAACAAACACTAGAAACTGCAAGATTTAAGGAATCACCTGAATGCTCCAGTCATTGTCTCTGGTTTGTAATGATAAACTTTCTTCTGCGTGATAAATAGAGCTTGGCTGGACTTTTTCCCTCTGCTTCCATTCCCCAAAATGGAGCGTACCAAACAATTGCTTCTTTCAGAGCCCAGCTTTAGCAAGAGTCATGAGCTCTAATCCCTTCATCCATAAATACTTCCTTTCCAGGCACGTAGAGCCCTTCACACTCAGGGCTGAGTAGAAAATGCCTGTTGCAGACTGCAGTGGCGTTTTGGAGAGCCACCCTCCTGGTACCTGAGTCACTAGTCCTTTGCCCAGCTTTTCTCAGTTTTGTAAAGCGCTCACTTCTGAGTGGAAGACAGAACCAGCCCGGTCTATTTTCATAATCTGCCCCCATAAGGCAGAAGTCCACACGGTACTGGAAACATAACCATATCTATGTCAGTCTGCCACTGCCTGCCGCCTGTCAACCGTGCGTGTCTGCATCCAGTCCTTCTTTGGAGCTGCTTTCCAGCGACTCAGCCAGATCTGAGCTTTCTGACTCATTGGAAGGTTAAACTATTTTCAGACTTTCAAGTGTTGAGATTATTAAGACATGTGTTTTTTTTTTTCTTCTTTTTTTGGCATGCTTACTGATCGCCCCTGTTCTCTAGGAAGTAATGTTCTTCTTGGAAAAGGTGAAGGATATTTTTCTCCCCAAAAAGCCATGGAAATGTTTGCCTTTATTTACTTCCAAATTAACAGAATTTCCAGCTTTTGCTTGACCCATCGGCGCATTGGCAGCGTTAAGAATTTTTTCTTTTAGCAGTAATGAGGAGTCGAAGGGTTTCTTCCTAACCATTTAGTGTATGCATTTAAATCAGGTTTCTTTTTGAGTAAATTGGGGCTAAGCTGTAGTGTGAACTTCTGCTACTGTTCCTTTCTCATTAGTTCACTTGATTTCATGGAAGGAATTTTCCATCTCAGCCTGTGAACTTATTTTGTCTAAACTCAATTGGAAAGTAATTAACACTGAGATTCTTCTTTAATAAATTCTATATGATAATAAAATCATACAAACATCTCTTTATTTTTCTTTTTGACCTAGAAAAGATGTTCACAGGCCAGACCTGGTGGCTGAAGCCTGTAATCCCAGCACACTGAGAGGAAGAGGCGGGTGGATCACATGAGGTCAGTCCGAGGGCAGGGTAGCCAACGTGGTGAAACCCCATCTCTAGTAAAAACACAAAAATTAGCTGGGCATGGTGGCACATGCCTGCAATCCCAGCTACTCAGGAGGCTGAGGCAGGAGAATCACTTGAACCTGGGAGATGGAAGTTGCAGTGAGCCTAGATCCTGCCACTGCACTCCAGCCTGGGCGACAGAGTGAGACTCTGTCCCCAAAAAAATAAATAAATAAAAGATGTTCACAATATATTGTTAAGTGAAAAAAGCAGGCTACATAACTTGCATAATATGAGTGCATTTTAATAAAAATATACATATTTAGCAAAATAAAAGGACAAATGGTATTTATTAAAATATTTACGTTGATTATTTCAACACAGAGGATGATAGTTGATTTTGCTTAATTTCTTCCCTCCTTCTTTTCAATTTGAATTTTCTATAATGAAGATTGTTTCTTTTTCTTTCTTTCTTTTTTTTTTTTGAGATGGAGTTTCGCTCTTGTTGCCCAGGCTGGGGTGCGATGGCGCCATCTCGGTTCACCACAACCTCTGCGTCCCAGGTTTAAGTGATTCTTCTGCCTCAGCCTCCCTAGTAGCTGGGATTATAGGCGTGTGCCACCACACCCGGCTGATTTTGTATTTTTAGTAGAGACGGGCTTTCTCCATGTTGGTCAGGCTGGTCTCGAACTCCTGACCTTAGGTGATCTGCCCACCTCAGCCTCCCAAAGTGCTGGGATTACAGGCATGAGCCACCGCGCCTGGACTGATTATTTTTTAAATAGGGTTAGAAAGTGAGGAAGTTACTAAACTCCGATTAGCCCAAATATGCCCCAGTGGGTCCTTCTGGCAGAGTAAATGTCTCGGTTCAGCCTGAATCTGGGAAATTGTTCCTACGGTTCAGCCTGAATCTGGGAAATTGTTCCTACCTTATAAACTGGAGTATCCTTCAGAAATGACATTTACTCAAACTTCCTTTTAGGCAGACTGCATAATAGCAATTTTTAATATTAACCATTTAAAAAAAACCTTCAGATTAATTAACACCAAAAGAATAATTGGGAAAATACAACTCCTCACTTTAAAAAAGAAACAACCAAAGTAAATACTAAAAAACTATATGATGTTATATTATCTAAGCTTAGTTTACTGCAAAGATCAAGAGCACACTACTAGTTGACGGCCTCTATTCACACTGTTCATAGCCCTCGCTCGCTTCTCCAGCCATTCACTCACTCATGCAAAAGGTCTGTACACACAATGATGCCTGATGGTATAATAGGAACCTTAACATTTCAATTAAAAGGCAAAATGAGGACACTTACCATCAGCCTATAAAATTATTCTTATTATTCTTCTTCTTCTTCTCCTCCTCCTCCTCCTCTTCTTCCTTCTTCTTCTTCTTCTTCTTCTCCTTCTCCTTCTCCTTCTCCTTCTCCTTCTCCTTCTCCTTCTCCTTCTCCTTCTTCTTCTTCCTCTTCTTCTTCTTCTTCTTCTTCTTTTTTTTTTGAGATGGAGTCTTGCTCTGTTGCCCAGGCTGGAGTGCAGTGGTGTGATCTCGGCTCACTGCAACCTCTGCCTCCCAGGTTCAAGCTATTCTCCTGCCTCAGCCTCCCAAGTAACTGGGATTACAGGTGCATGCCACCACGCCCGGATAATTTTTTGTATTTTTACTAGGGATGGGGTTTCACCATGTTGGCCAGGCTAGTCTCTAACTCCTGACCTCAAGTGATCCACCTGCCTCGGCCTCCCAAAGTGCTGGGTGTGGGCGGCAAGCCACCCAGGTGCCAAGGCAAGAGACAGAGGGCACGAGCTGTTCCAGTATAATGAGGAAAATATATAGAATAAGAATAGTTATACTAGAAATAGATTATAGATATGATTACATATGAATATCATTCTTCATTAGTTTGTAGCACTACTCTTTATTCCAGTATTATAATAATCTTTGTTCTACAATTATAACCTAGGAAAAACCAGGCCATACAGAGATAGGAGCTAAAGGGACAGGGTGAGAAGTGACCAGAAGAGTGTGAGCCTTCTGTTATGCCCGGACAGGGCCACTAGAGGGCTCCTTGGTCTAGCGGTAACGCCCGCGTCTGGGAAGATGCCTGTCACCTAACGGACCGTGGTCTAGCGGTAGCGTCAGTGCCTAGAAAAGGCACTCTTTTTAAATATACTTTTTATTTTTGTTTAATCTTCCCTGATTTCCTATAGATCTGAGATATGTCATGCTTATTTTCATTGCTATCTAAAAATCTCAATAAACTTTATACCTAAGAGTAAAAAAAAAAAAAAAGAAAAGAAAAGGCGCTCGTTACTTAGCCGACCGGGAAAGGGAGTCTCCCTTTCCCCGGGGGAGTTAGAGAAGACTCTGCTCCACCACCTCTTGTGGAGGGCCTGACATGAGTCAGGCCTGCCTGCAGTCATCTGGAGGCCTAACCGTCTCCCTGTGATGCTGTGCTTCAGCGGTCACGCTCCTAGTCCTGAACACCTGGCTCCGCCTTTTAGATAGCAGTAGCAGAATTAGTGAAAGTACTAAAAGTCTTTGAAATGCAGAAGTAATGGCGTAAGCTGTCACGTCTCTCTCTCCGCCTCAGCTGCCAAACAGAGAAGGGTCCCCTGTCCAGTGGACACGTGACTTGGGTGACCTTACCTGTCATTGGAGACGACTCATACTCCTTACCCTGCCCCTTGCCTTGTATCTAATAAATAACAGCTCAATCTGGCATTTGGGGCCACTACTGGTCTCCGCATCTTGGTGGTAGTGGTCCCCCGGGCCCAGCCGTCTTTTATTCTATCTCTTTGTCTTGTGTCTTTATTTCTACCATCTCTTGTCTCCGCACACGAGGAGAAAAACCCACAGACCCTGTAGGGCTGGCCCCTACAGCTGGGAATTACAGGCATGAGCCACCGCATCCAGCCAGCCTAAAATTCTTCTGAAGGATAATAATATAGTACTTGAAGACACGGTTTGAAAAAAATCATACTAAATGAAAGGGCACCATTTTACAAGCACTAGAACTACATTAAACTTAAATGAATTCCAACACTCTTAATAATGTAACTCAAAAACAAGTCTAGTGTTAACAAAAGCTCCAATAACTAAAACTACATTAACAGGCACAATGAACATTGTAAACGCCGCTAATTGGCACCAAGTTTAATAGGGCAGACAATATTTTCTTCTGCATTCACACTTACTCAGTTACACTGTTGAAAAATGCTGCTGCTCAAGCTATGAATGCTTTACAAAAGAAATCATTTTAATAAATACAGTAAATGCTAAAACTCTAGCTAAACTATTATGCAAGATATACAACCAAGACAAATACAAATTCATAATACAAGCAACTTGCATTCAAAATGAACTCTACCACTATATTTTATTAAAAGGGCAGACTTTATGAATTAACCCAGCTGCTTCCTGAATTACAAAAGTGGCATGACTCAATATGAAAATAAGAAACTGTCTACAAATTTCTGACAGTAATAAATTGTAATATACAATACATGCAGGAGTCTTACGGAAGAATAAACTCTCCTAGGAAACAAAAATATTTTATACTTTTAAAATCCAAAGTAAAAAAAAAAGAAATCATTGCCAGATGCGGTGGCTCATGCCTGTAATCCAAGCACTTTGGGAGGCCAAGGCAGGATCGCTTGAGCCCAGGAGTTTGAGACCAGCCTGGGCAACATAGCAAAACCCCATCTCTACAAAAAAATACAAAAATTAGATGGTAATGGTGGTGAGCGCCTGTGGTTCCAGCTACCCAGGAGGCTGAGGTGGGAGGATGCACCTCAAGGCTGCAATGAGCCAAGGTCACACCATTGTACTGAAGCCTGGGGACAGAGTGAGACCCTGTCTCAATAAGTAAATAAATAAATATCTTTTATGAAAAAGATTCTCTAGTCAGAATTAACACCTCAACTAGCCAAACATCAGGAAGTTACATTACAGCTACTTAATACACAAAGGGACACATTTTCACCAGTCGTTGTCTTCTGATATTTCTATTCCAGAAACACACACTCTCACTTCCCTACACTCCCCATCCCATCATTTCTTCAGAGCATGGAAACAGAATTTGTTGAACACCAGAAATCTCTTGCTATGGTGGTACATAAGTCATAACATTTGTTGCTGCCCAGCAGCAGGTATGAAGCCGGCTGGTGACTGGCTAGCAAATGCCTATTCTGTAAGCTCCTCACTTAGCCCATCTGTAGCTCTGACTTCTCCACCAATTCCCTTCTCTCCTTTCACAGCCTTTCTGAGTTTCTGAGGGATAATTTCAGAGGTTCCATATAACTGTCAAAGCCTATGGTAGACATGGCAAAGTGAAAATCCTCTCCACTGGCCATTTCTGTTTCTCTTGGGGGCATCTTTCACTTGCCTCAGGTGTTATAAAGCTGATGAACACACGTACACGTTGTTTAACACTTTCTTGGGCATTTCCCATTTGAGATATGGCATGTTTCATTATCCTAGTGACATGTGCAATCAGAAAATGTATATTTTGTTCTCTGCAACTTTCTTTTGAAAAATGTATATTTGAACAAAATATACATTTTTTGTATCTTCATGACCATTCATGCTGTCCTCACTGTCATCATGAGGCTCTATATAACATAATGACTCCTCCAGGGCAGTCTTCGGAAATTCCCAGTGCAGAAGCACGTGTCATACAGCAGTCCCCATTCATCTCCAGTGCAGCTCTGGCTGGCTCCCATGTCTGATCAGCTGTTTGGTTGGACAGAAAATGACTGCAAGGGAATCAGTTCCAGTGTGAGCTCTGTTTGCAGAACTCAGACTCCCCTCCCTCCCATGTTAATGCTTTTTTTCTTCTTCTTTTTTTTTTTTTTTTTTTTTTGACAGAGTCTCATTCTGTCACCCAGGCTGGAGTGCAATGCTATGATCTCGGCTCACTACAACCTGTGCCTCCCCGGTTCAAGCAATTCTCGTGCCTCAACTTCCCGAGTAGCTGAGATTACAGGTGCACACCACCACACCCCACTAATTTTTTTGTATTTTTAGTAGAGACGGGGTTTTGCCATGTTGCCAAGGCTGGTGTCAAACTCCTGAGCTCAGGAAATCCACCTTCCTCAGCCTCCCAAAGTGCTAGGATTACAGGCGTGAGCCACCATGCCCAGCCCCATGTTAATGCTTCTAAAGTTTGCCCTCACTTCTTTAGAAATTCCTTCAGTACATCCTTTAAGACTTCCTCTAGTGAGTGTCTGCTGGTGGTAAACTCTCCCCTCTAAAAGTTGCTTTATTTCTCCTCAATTCCTGAAGGATATTTTTGCTAGCAGCTATATTCTTTTAGATGTTGAACATATCGGTACAAAAGCTTCTGGTTTCCATGGTTGCTATTGAGATGTTAGCTGTCGGTTTATCTTTCTCCCCTGACTATGTGTACCTGTTTCTCTGTATCTGTCTACTTTTTGGGTTGCTCAATTTATTGGCCTTGGGCTTCATTCTGCTGCTGCTTTTTTTTTTTTTTTTTTTTTGAGATGGAGTCTTCCTCTGTTGCCCAGGCTGGAGTGCAGTGGTGCAATCTTGGCTCAATGCAACCTCTGCCTCTCGGTTCAAGCGATTCTCCTGCCTCAGCCTACCGAGTAGCTGGGATTACAGGCACCTGCCAACACGCCAGGCTAATTTTTGTATTTTTAGTAGAAATAGGATTTCACTATGTTGGCCAGGCTGGTCTCAAACTCTTGACTTCAGGTGATCCACCCACCTCAGTCTCCCAAAGTGCTAAGATTACAGGCCTGAGCCACCACGCCTGGCCACAATTTTTAAACTTTTTATTTTTACAGGCACCTGCCAACATGCACAACTAATTTTTGTATTTTTAGTAGAAACAGGATTTCACTGTGTTGGCCAGGCTGGTCTCAAACTCTTGACCTCAGGTCATCCACCACCTTGGTCTCCCAAAGTGCTAGGATTACAGGCGGGAGCCACCATGCCTGGCCAAAATTGTTAAACTTTTTATTTTCTTCCTCAAGAGGATGAGAAGAAAGGTCAATTGTAAGCTTTAGAAGTCTTGCCCAATAGCCAATCTGAGAATATTCTCCGTAAACATTCACCAGAGGCAGCCAGTGACCATGGGATACTTTTGGTGAGAGGAATTGATTGCTGGGGTCAGGAATGGGAGGAAAGCATACTTCTCATTAGATACCTTGTTGAACTTCGTAAATTGTGTGCCAAATGCATGTCTTACCTAGACTTCATAAATTAATTTCTTTAAAAATAATCAAAGACAATTTTTTAAAGACTTATTTAATTTAAGGTGATTATAAAACATCCAGTATACTTTCACTATTAAAAAAGTAAGTATTCCTGTCTGGGCTTGGTGGATCACACCTGTAATCCCAGCACTCTGGGAGGCTGAGGTGGTCGGATCATGAGGTCAAGAGATTGAGACCATCCTGGCCAATATGATGAAACCATGTCTCTCCTAAAAATACAAAAACTAGCTGGGCGTAGTGGCGTGCCTGTAGTCCTAGTTACTCAGGAAGCTGAGGCAGGAGAATCGCTTGAACCCAGGAGGCGGAGGTTGCAGTGAACTGAGATCGTGCCACTGCACTCCAGTGTGGCAACAGAGTGAGACTCCATCTTCAAAAAAAAAAAAAAGTATTCCTAAACAGCATATTATCATGATATATTATTTTGTTTTGTAGGGTTTTGAACCTTGTCTAAAAAGAATTAAAATGTATAAATTTCTTCCTGCAATTTCCCTATTTCACTAAGGGTCATTCACATTGGTCATATAGACATAGCACATTTTCACCACTATATAGCAGCATTTTGTACAAATAGACTACAATTTACTTATTCTGCACTTATTTCTGTTTGTTTGTTTTGCTATGAAAAGCAATGTCATTACATATATTCATGCCCATAGCTACAAGTTTACATATTTCAGGTTTTCTGTAGGGTGGACACCAGGGAGTTGAATTGTTCAACAGGACTTTACATTCATCTTTAGTTTTATTGGCCAACACCAAATTGTTCTTCACAATGTTTGAACTAAGTTGAAATTCCACCTCCCCATCACATTTAGTTTTGTCAACTTCATTTCTTCATTCATTAATTCATTCATTCAGTCTTTTGTTTATTTGTTTATTGCCAGTCTGATAGGCGTATAGTGGTGCTTCATCATGGTTTTACTTTGCATTTCTCTGATTTTCTTTTTAAATTTTTAAAAAATTATTTTTATGTAGAAACAAGGTCTCGCTACATGGCCCAGGCTGGTCTTGAACTCCTGGCTTCAAATGATCCTCCCACATTGGCCTTTCAAAGTACCGAGATTGATTATAGGCGTGTGCCACTGTGGCCAGCTGATTTCCCTGATTTCTGATGAGTTAACAATCTCTTCTTTCTCTCTCTCTCTCTCTGTGTATACAGGTACTCACCATTCGTGCCTATTTTCTGTAAAATATGTGGCTTTCCTCATTTTTTTTTTTTTTTTTTTTTTTTGAGGCAGAGTCTCGCTCTGTTGCAGGCTAGAGTGCAGTGGTGCGATCTTGGCTCACCACAACCTCCACTTCCTGGGTTCGAGCAATTCTCCTGCCTCAGCCTTCAGAGTAGCTGGGACTACAGGCGTGCACCACCATGCCCAGCTAATTTTTGTATTTTTAGTAGAGATTGGGTTTCACTATGTTGGCCAGACTGGTCTCAAACTCCTGACTTTGTGATCTGCCCACCTCAGCCTCCCAAAGTGCTGGGATTACAGGAGTGAGCCACTGCGCCCAGCCATCTTTCCTCATTTTTATACTAATTAGGCTTTTATCTTACTTGTTTTTTTTAATGTTTTTTGTACACTCTGAAGGCTGATTTTTGTTAATTGTATGTGTTGCATTTTTTATGGTTTGTCTTATGCCTTTTGAAAGTAAAAGTTCTTAATTTAAATATAGCCAACCTGTAAATCATTTGTGAAAGTCTGTGGTTTAAGAGGTCTTGAATAAGAAATTATCCCATCATCATAAGTCATAAATACTTTTTTGTTGTTGTTGAGACAGAATCTCATTTTGTTGTCCAGGCTGGAGTGCAGTGGGTTGATCTCAGCTCACTGCAACCTCTGCCTCCTGGGTTCAGCAATTCTCCTGCCTCAGCCTCCCAAGTAGCTGTGATAATAAGCATGTGCCACCACACCAGTCTAATTTTTGTATTTTTAGTGGAGACAGGATTTCATCATGTTGGCCAGGCTGGTCTCAAACTCCTGACTTCAAGTGATCCACCTGTCTCAGCCTCCCAAAGTGCTGGGATTATAGGTGTGAACCACCATGCCTGGCCCATAAATACATTTTTATGTATTTTCTTCTAAAGTTGTTTTGTCTTTCACTTTTTAGTTTTTAATTCACATATAATTACTACTTGCTACTTATAATTATCTGTAAGTAGTATGAGATGAGAAATAAATTCTATTTCCCTCCTATGGATAAGCACAAACCTGCAGTATTAGCACAGTCTTATGTCAGATTTTCTAAAATGAATGGGTGTGTTTTCTAGGCTCTCTGTTCTGTTTCATTATCTGTCTTTTCCTGCAACGATATCATCTGCCTTAAAAACTCTAGCCTTGTGGTATTCCTCATTTTCAAGCAGAGCAAACCCCGTCACCTTGCTTTTCTCCTCCAGCATCGCTTGTGCTATCCTGGACTAAGACCTTCATATAGACTGTTAGAATCATCTAGCCAAGTTCCATTTTAAAAATCTATGTTGGAGCTGGGCGCGGTGGCTCACGCCTGTAATCCCAGCACTTTGGGAGGCTGAGGAGGGCAGATCACTTGAGGTCAGGAGTTGGAGACCAGCCTGATGAAACCCCGTCTCTACTAAAAATACAAAAATTAGCTGGACGTTGGGCACTTGAATTCTAGCTACTCAGGAGGCTGAGGCAGGAGAATCGCTTGAACCTGGCAGGCGGGGGGTGCAGTGAGCCGCGATCATGCCACTGTACTCCAGCCTGGGTGACAGAGTGAGGCTCCATCTCCAAAAATAAATAAATAAATAAAATAAAATATCTATGTTGGAAATTTTGTACAAATTTTATTAAATGTCTACATTAATTTGGAGAAAAATGACTTGATTTTGATTATCTATTCAATATTTCTGTATTATGAATAAGGCAAAAAGAGAGGCAGAGAATAGCATAAAATAATAACTAAAATTCCTGGGTAAACCACCTCAAATCATTTCTTCATATGGCTCAATATTCTTTTGTGACATGGCCTGAAATATATCCAGACAGAGAACTCTTCTCTTCAATACATTTCTTCTTTTAGGTATTCATATTGAGTTTTCCTGTCCATGAACATGGTATAAGAGAGTATATCCCTTCGGGAGGCCAAGGTGGGTGGATCACCTGAGGTCAGGAGTTTGAGACGAGCCTGGCCAACATGGTAAAGTCCCATCTCTACTAAAAACCCAAGAATTATCCAGGTGTGGTGACACATGCCTGTAGTCCCAGCTACTCAGGATGCTGAAGCAGGAGAATTGCTTGAACCAAGGAGGCGGAGGTTGCAATGAGCCAAGGTCATGCCATTGCACTCCAGCCTGGGTGAAGAGCGAGACTCCATCTCAAAAAAAAAAAAAAAAAAAAAAAGAAAACGAGAATATATCCTTTCATTTACTAGTTTTTCTTCAATTTCTTTCAAGATAAAGGGCTTACCTATCTTCTGCTTTATTCATAGTTACTTGATATTTTTGTTTCTAATAAATATGGTGTCTGTCTATTTACCTGCCTCTTACCTGTTCATTTCCAGTTTCAAAAATGATGTTGATATTTGAATATTAACCTTAAATCTAGCACCTTGGTAAACACTATTATTCATTCTAATAATTATCAGTAGATTATATGTGTTTTTTATTTATAAATCATATTGTTTGAGTAGCATGCTTTGCTTCTTCATTTATAAAATTTACAACTTTTATTTCTTTTTAATAATTTTTTTCTTATTCTCCTGGCTAGGACTTCTAACACAGTATTGAGTGGAAGTGCTGATCCTTGTTTAGTTTCACATTTGAAAAAAGATTGCTTTTACTATTTCACTGTTAAGTATAATATGCACCATAGGCTTTCTGTGGATTCCTTTTATCCATTTAAGAACATCTCTTATTCCTAATTAGCTGAAGTTTTCTGCATGTTTGTTTTCATCATGAGTGGATTTTTTTACATCTATTGAAATCATTTTACATAGAAGATATTTCACACCTATTGAAATGGTCATTTCACTTTTCCTTCTTTAATATGTTAAGTTGGGCAAAATATTAAAGTATCACCTGTCATTCTGCTTCAGCAAAAAGTAGTAGTGTCTTAGCAGTATTGGTGAAAAGACAGCATCAAATAAAAAAGATGTAGAAGTAGGACCCAGTAAAAATCTAGCGCATGGGGCATTGTCACATGTAAGCAGACAGAATGTGACACCACCAAGGAGCATCTGAAGGGCTGGAGGCTGAAGGAAGACATGAGTCACCCAGGCTCATGGACACTTCAGAGAAATTAGGGAGCAGGAAGAAGAAATAGGATCAAAGACTACGTATGTTGGTTGGAAAAGGAAGCTGATGGTATGGAGATGTTATTATTTAGGTCTCACATAAAAGATGTAGATAAATAGGTAGATAGGTAGATAGATGATAGATAGAGAGATAGATAGATAAATACATAGATAGATAGATGATAAATAGATGTTGTTATTTAGGCCTCACATAAAGATGTAGACAGATTAGACAGACAGATGATAGATAGATAGATAGATAGATAGATAGATAGATAGATAGACGATAGATAGATAGATAGATAATCTCAGAAACAGAGACACAGTGATCTCAGTAAGATAGGCATATGCCAGGTGACAGAATTCAGAGGGGTCCCACTACGTGAAAACAATAGAACAACCTTCGAAAAGAAATTTAGTACAAATAAGAGGGCAGGCTTCCTTACATACAAGTTAGTAAACTGGAAGAATCAGTTATCCTCAAACATTGGAATAGATCAAAAATAGTTGTTTATATTAATGAAGGTAGCTAAACATGAAGCTAAGTGAACCTGTCTCTGACCTAGTGTGGCAATCCCTGGGCAAGGGACACTTGCTCCGCTCTTGTATCCTTCACTGAATATTCAGACTTTCAGTTAAGCATCGGTGAATTTAGTTTTCATCTCTTGTGAAAACCTTGAGAGAGGTAATTCTCTCTGCTTTTCTTCTTTTCCCTTCCTTCATTTTCTCAAACATTGCCTGTTTAAAATACGAAATTTTAAAAGATGGCCTTGTTCTCTTTTTTGTTGTTATTATTAAGTACAGAGAAAGGAAGAACCACAAATAGCAAAGGGCAACATATGGAATAGTTTAGAAGTTCCGGGAGCACCCATGAGGGCAACTGCAGAAGAGAACATTCTATCCCCCGTTGCTGCAGCTTTCATTCCAGGTCTCCATGCATATCAGATAGGGAAGGAACTCCGGGACAGCAGCAGGGCCCATGCACATGTAACCAATTGCTTTCTTTGCCTGTAGTAAAGTTCACATTTTGATTGCTTCTCCAGATTATGTAGATCCAGACATATTTTATGCAGGCATCCGGATCTTTCTCTCTGGGTAAGTATAGTTCAGTTGTTTTCCTGTGTGAAGTCTCTGTAGCATTGACTGAATGTATAAGGGGACGAAGAGACAGAAGCTTCCTAGCGTAAGAAACATACCAAGTGACTCTTGCTAGGGATCCACTCTCAGGTAAAAGAAGTGGGATACCATCTGCACAACAAATAACACTGAGGGCTAAGTATTTCAGTTAAGAGTGTTTGTTCCTAGGCAGTTCAGATCCATTTATATTCACTTTTCTTAGAATCCTAGCTCAATGACAGAAGAAGAAAAACACAGTATGTCACTCACACAGTTCTATCACTTACATCTACTTTTTCTTCTTGTTATTAAGGCATGTAGAAGGCTGGGGAGTGTAGTATAGAGTTGGATAGCATCGAAGCTTTCTTCTAAAGTTCCTGGAAGAGCTACACTGTGGTTTGAACGAATGTGTCCCTCCAAAATTCATATGTTAAAACCTAATTGTGATGGTGAGGTATTCGAAGGTGGGTTCTCTGGGAGGTGATTATGTCTCCTCTGAGAGGAGAAGACAATCCCCTGAGTGGAACTAATGCCCTTATAAAGGGGCTGGAGGGAGTTCACTTGGCCCTTTTTGCTCCTTTTTTCTTCCATTCCTTGTCCCTTCCACTATGTGAGGACACGGGAGTTGAGGCATTACCTTGGACGTGGAGACCAGGCCCTCACCAGACACTGAACTTGCCAGCACCTTGATCTTGGACTTCCCAGCCTCCAGAACTGTGAGAAATACATTTCTGTTATGGGTAGTCCCCAACTCAATACAGTTTGACTTACCATTTTTTGACTTTATGTTGGTGCAAAAGCATACATATTCAGTAGAAACTACTTTGAGTACCCATACAACCATTCTGTTTTTCACATTTGGTACAGTATTTAATAAATTCCATAACATATTCAACATGTTGACATAAATAAGCTTTGCGTTAGGTGATTTTGCCCAACTGTGGGCTAATGTAAGTGTTCTGAGCACATTTAAGGGCAGCTAGGCTAAGCTAAGGTGTTTGGTAGGTCAGATGTATTAAATGCATTTTTTGTCTTATGATATTTTCAACTTACATTGGGTTTATCAGGATGTAACCCACTGTGAATTAAGGAATATCTGTATTTACAAATTACCCAGTCTAATGTATTTTGTTGTAGCAACAGGAACAAACTAAAACACTACCCCAAACCATTTTTTTCATATTTTCTGAGTACTCTTCTTTTGTCACATGGCTTGAAATTTCTTCACATAGAGAACTCTACTATTATTTTATTTTATTTTATTTTATTTTATTTTTTGAGACAGAGTCTTGCTCTTTTCACCCAGGCTGGAGTGCAGTGGTGCCATCTTGGCTCACGGCAACCTCTGCCTCCTGGATTCAAACTACTCTCCTGCCTCAGCCTCCCGAGTAGCTGCGATTACAGGTGGCTGCCACCAAGCCTGGCTAATTCTTGTATTTTTAGTAGAGACGGAGTATTGCCATGTTAGTCAGGCTGGTCTCGAACTCCTGACCTCAGGTGATCTGCCCACCTTGGCCTCCCAAAATGTTGGGATTACAGGCTTGAGCCACCACGTCTGGCTGATAACTCTACTTTTAGATACTCTCTTTGCTTAAACAAATTAGCCATTCCTTCCTTGACATGTTTTAATCAGATTGCCTTCCTATTAACTTCGGAAATTAAGAGTTTCTGCTATGTTTTTGTTTAATTTTTAAACAGTGAAAAATGAAAGGTGGAGGCAATGGCTGGATGAGGTGAATATGTCAAATAGATATCATCTAGTGGGCCATCTTATTAACTAGGAGACACCTGAAGTGCTATCAATAGAAATAATCTGAAGCTGTGTCTGGATACAGCAAGAGACATGCAAATGCTAAAAATCTACTATATTACATTGGTGCAAGGACAGAGTAGCAACACATACTAAGTATTTTCTCCAGATTGGGTGTGTTTGACGTGTGAAGCACTTCAAACAGAGTCCAGCCTGGGAGGGAGTGGGGATGGAATCCTCCTTGTAGAGGGTACAGAGTGGAAGCAAGAAGGTTTCCAAGATTGAGAGTAATGGGTGTATGGTTTATGGGGGAAAGGGAAAACAAAAAGAAGGGTGCAGAAATGGAGCTGGGAGTGTGTTTTAGTATTTAGGCTTTCTCTGTATACCTTTGATAGGATTAGAAAAAGAAAAATGGACCATTTTTAAAAATTTCATGCTACCACATAGCAGGCTTATACTATAGATGCAGAAACAGACTGGGATTTAGGAAGCACCCCAATTCTGGAAAATCCCTTTTTGCTTCACATTGCTCTCTAAATCTGTATGTTTTCCCTTGTTACGTAACAATTTACCACAAATTTAGCAGCTTAAAACAATATGCATTCATTGTTTCACAATTCTGTAAGTCGGAATCATAGGCAAGCTCAACTGACTTTTCCATTTAGGGTCGCAAAAGGCCGAAGTCAATTTATCTATTGGGCTGGGCTCTTAACTGAAGATCTGGGGAAGAATTCCCTTCAAAACTCATTTAGGTTGTTGTCAGAATTCAGTGTTTTGTGGTTCTAGAACTGAGATCTGTTTCCTTGTTGGCTGTCAGACAGGAGCTGCTCTCAGCTTCTTGAGGCATCCAGTATTCCTTATCATGTGTTTTTTTTTTTCCATCTCAGCACTGGCACTTTTTTTTTTTTTTTTTTTGAGACAGAGTCTTGCTTTGTCACCCAGGCTGGGGTGCAGTGGCACGATCTCGGCTCACCACAACCTCCATCTCCCGGGTTCAAGTGATTCTCCTGCCTCAGCCTCCCGAGTAGCTGGGATTACAGGCACCCGCCACCAGCCCGGCTGATTTTTGTATTTTTCATAGAGATGTGGTCTCACCATGTTGGCCAGGCTGGTCTTGAACTCCTGACCTCAAGTGATCCTCCCACTTCAGCCTCCCAAAGTGCTGAGATTACAGGCATGAGCCATCATGCCCAGCCAGCACTGACAATTCTAATCCTTCTAGCACTTTGATTCCTTCTCACCTCTCCTTCTGCCTCTAGCCAGAGAAAACTCTCTGATTTTAAAGGTCTTATGTGATTAGATTCAGCTTACCTAGGTAATTCAGGATAACTCCCTATGTCAAGGTCAACTGATTAATAACCTTAATTACACCTGCAAAGTCCCCTTTGCCATAATATATCATACTGACAGACATGCTATAGCATAATACTAATAGTTCTAAGAATTATGATAAGAATCTTGGAAAACCATTTTTAGAATTATACCTACCACAGTATCCTTCAAGGGATAAATTGATTCTACTTCTTCTCTATGTCAGAAGCATCTGATGAGGATGAACTATATATTCTGAAATCCCCATGATTAGATGTGTACTAGAAGGTGATTTTACTTTCATTAAAATAAATTCGGAGTCATTGACACATTTTATCTTTGATTTACATAAATGCCTCCGCTCTGTTTCTTACCCTCAAAATATTTCCCATGTAGCTAAGTGGCCAGTACCGAATCCTACATGCATTAATAAGTGTAGATGGACAAAAATATCTGGATTACTGAGAATTCCCATTAGCATTGTCTAGAAAAATGTAAATTTGCTTTTTTGTTCTTGATTTATCCTATTTTTGATTTATTATTTATATTTATTTATTTATTTATTTATTTTTAGATGGAGGTCTCGCTTTGTCGCCCAGGCTGGAGCGCAATGGCGCAATCTTGGCTCACTGCAACCTCTGCCTCCCAGGTTCAAGCTTTCCTCCTGCCTCAGCCTCCCAAGTAGCTGGGACTACAGGCACCTGCCACAGTGCCCGGCTAATTTTTGTATTTTCAGTAGAGACAGGGTTTTGCCCTGTGGGCCAGGCTGTTCTTGAACTCCTGACCTCAGGTGATCTGCCCACCTTGGTCCCCCAAAGTGCTGGGATTACAGGCATGAGCCACCACACCTGGCCTTTTTGCTTACTTTTTAAAAACATTTTTATTTAGGAGAATGGAGATATTTCATATGTAGATGACACATATTCATTCCCTTTAGTTCCCACACACATTCAATTTCTTGAGGAAGTTAGCCTTTGCAAAAAAAAAAAAATGATCTCATTTTTTTTTCCCCACTAAAACTTCTCATTTTCTTGGGGTTGCTAGAAAGTTGCTACAAGAAAGGCTAAAAATAATTGTGCCTACAGATATTTGAAAGGAAAATAGTTCCTCTTTTTTCACAGTAGCAGCTTGGACCTGAGAATGTATGGGAGCAATAATTGGGCTGCTCAAAGAAACACAATTTCCCTTCCTCAGACTAGAATTACCAACCTAGAGAACATGAGTTTTTAAAGTAGATGTGCTTCTTTTATCTTTTTGGACTTGTATGCTGGTGTTTTCTCTGTCACCTTCACTGTGGAAATCCTCTTGAGGGTGAGGCACTGAAAGCAGATTGATTAATGTCTCTTGGCCATTTGAGACATTGGATGGCTCTTTTAAGTTGGCCACGTTCTTTCAAGAACTATGCTTGGGCTACATATTCTGGATATATAATACATACTTGTAGGATGTTATTTTTAAATCATTCATTTATCACATATTTAGTGAGTGCCTACCCCATGTCAGTTCTAGGTGCTGGAAATAGAGCAGTAAAACCAACCCTCAACTTGGCCCCTCTGGAGCTTACATTTCAATGCGGTGGGTGGGGGGATGGACAATTAATACACAAGTAAATCTAATAAAAGCGTCATACAATATACATTACAATGGTAAGCACAATGAAGAAATGGAAAGCTGGATAGAGAGTATTAGAGACTGTCGAATGTAGTGGCCAAATTTTCCTGTTTATTGTGGTCCAAGAGTGCCACAGCCCTCTATGACATTTGAGCAGACACCTGGAGGAAGTGAGGGAGTGAGCCGCCAAGAAGGAATGGCAAGTGCAATAACCCTGAGGTGGGAGCGTGTTGGTCGTGGTGGAAGAGCTGCAGGAAGCCAGCAGGGCCGCAACACTCAGGGGAGAATAAGAAAGAGTGAGGTGACAGTAGAGACCGGATCATGTAGAGCTTTGTCAGCTTCTTTTCTGAGTGAGATGGACAACACGGACACGTTTTGAAAAGAATAACAATGTGATCTGCCTTCAGTTGCAAATCATCTCTGTATTGACTGAGTAGGAAATAAACTCCAAGAATAAAGACGGAAACAGGGAAAATATTTAAGAAGCGATCATTACAATCCAGGGTGGTGGCTTGTACTAGGGTACAAGGGCTAAAGGTGTTGAGAAATGGTCAGATTCTGGATATATACTGAAATCAAAGTTGATGGAAAGATATGAGTCAAAGATAATTTGCAGGTTTTGGGGTCCTGGTTCACTGAAAGAACAGAGACATCATTTACTCCAATGAGGAAGACTATAGGAGGAACAGGTTTAGCAAAGAAGAAAGGAAATCAGGAGATCAGTTTGGGGACACGGTCATATCAAGTAGGCAGTTGGATGTATGGGTCTGGAATATAGGGGAGTGGTCTAGCTATCAGTGTAAATAGCTTTTTACATTTGTAAATAGTCAGGATATAGGCTTTTCTTTTTCTTTTTGTGAGACACAGTCTTGCTCTTTCGCCCAAACTGGAGTGCAATGGCACAATCTCAGCTCACTGCAACCTCTGCCTCTGGGTTCAAGCGATACTCCTGCCTCAGCCTCCCGAGTAGCTGGGACTACAGGTGTGCACCACCATACCAGGCTAATTTTTGTGTTTTTAATGGAAATGGGGTTTCACCATGTTGACCAGGCTGGTGTCAAACTCCTGACCTCAATCGATCTCCCCGCCTGGGCCTCCCAAAGTGCTGGGATTACAGGCATGAGCCACCCCATCCAGCTGGGATATAGTTGTTTTCTAAATCTATGAGGCTAGAGAAGACCATTTGGGAATTGAGAGCAGTGAGCAGTCCACGGACTGACCCTTTGAGAGTGCAACATTTAGCAGTACTCAAGATGGGAAGGAGCTAGTGAAAAAGCCCCAAATGACTACATAAGACCATCAACCAGATTACAAAGAAAGACCCGAACATGTGTGCCCATATATCACCCAACAGCAGTTATGTCTTTCATGTTTCTTCCCCATAAAATGTTGTTCATCAACTTTATTAGACTAGGGTCTTAACATTGGACAAATCACAAAACCTCTCTGGAGCCTATTTTATTTTTCAACAGCTGTAGGAAGCAAATACAAATTGGAAATCTAAGGCTCAGAAAGATTTGTACAAAGTTACACAGTAATGAAAGGGGAGCCGGGATTCCCACTCACTCTAAAGAATATGATAAAATGGCTAGTATTCACTGAATGCTTAACATGTTCCAGGCCCTGGGCAGGTATTATTTTAATTAGTTCTCACAATAATCCAATAAGGGAGATACTAATTTACTCAGATGAGAAAGCTGAGGCTCAGAGAGGTTAATGAACTAAGCCAAGGCTCACTGTTAATAAATAGCAAAGGTAAAATTAAATTCCATATCTGCTTGAGATAGAGGCCTTGCTCCTAATAGCTGCAGCCTGTCAGGGCCTGGCAGCAGTAACCTCTCCTTTCCTCTTCCCACCATTCCCCTGCACTGCTTTCTGTACCGCATCTCTTTTCAGAGTGATGTTGCCCCAATTGCGGAGGCCACTGTGCTGTTTATCCAGTGAAAGCTGTAGCACAGCCAACCCAAAGCGTCCCCAGTGAAAACAACCTGGCTCCTTACAGCACTTCCAGCCTCAGAGCAGTATTTGAAAAATATCATGAACAGCAAACACAGCAGTCTGTCTGTGGCTTTTATATGTGTATATGGTGTGTGTGTATGTCCCTTCTCTTGAGCAAAATAACTTTTAGAATTATAGAAAAAAAATGTGCAACATCAATGTGGATCTGCTGTTTAAACTCATAACAGAGAAAGTAGCTTGTTTCTGGCTATAGGAGGAAAAGACGATATTCCTTAGTAAAAATGGAAATCCACATATGGGGTTCTTGTAAAAATGAAGATAGAAAATTGCAAGTTTGGGGATCAAGTTCTGGTTCTATCATCCTTTAACAGTATGACCCTGGAACCTTAATTGCTTTGAGTCTTTGTTACTTTATCTATGAAATGAAGTATTTAAAAAAACTCCAAAAATCTGTCCTGATGTACACACAAGAGGTCAAATGAGAAAATGAATGTGAAGATGCTTTATAAACTATACAGCATGGTAGGTGCAAATGTGACATGAACTTGTTTTGGACACATTATAAAGTCACCCCCACAAACTGTGATTGTTCAAGACTATGCAAAGTCAGACACAGGAAAATAAGTAAAACAGATGGAGGCATAAAGAGGGGGAACTCAGAGAAAACAGTGAAGAACAGGAATCAGGAAGACAAAGGAGAGGAAAGGTGGGGAGGAGAGGAGAAGGAAAGGGGGAAGGGAATGGAGGAGAGGAGAACAGCTGCTTCACAGAGCATGGCCGGCAGCCCAGTCCCAGCCTTTCTGCATGTCCCTGACTTCAGCCTCTGGCGAGGCACAGGCTTACTCTGTGCTTCCTGCTGTTACTCTTCTTATCCATCCTTATTATCAATACCTGTGGTCAACAAAGTATTTGATAAAGGCATCCTCAAAGTCAGGTAACATCTGTACGTTATAGATTACAAAGTTGAGTAATATCCAGAATTGGTAGTTTAACGTGATGACTTCTTAACAATTATCACTGTTTCAGGGAAGGGCAAAGGTGTGTGTGTGTGTGTGTTCATCTGTGTGTATCTGTGTATGTAATTGTGGGTGTTTGTGTATATTTGTGAGGCTCTTTACTTGGCGGAGTTAAAAAGTATCTGCTCATCAAGGTTGAGATTAGCAAAGGAAGTGAAGATTTTTCCAGAGCCCCTAAAATGTGCCTTTTGACCAACACTGAGGACATCTTTATAACTGAGTATGTGCAATAAATATGTCTTGGGACCTGTGCCACAAATTCCTCTCTAAATAGCCTTTACCTCTCTGGAATAACCCTTTAGATGAGGAAGAAAAGGGCTGTGATTTTATAGCTTGTTATGAAGCTGGAGTGAAGATGATGCTTCAGTACTTACCCTACAAAGATACCCCCAATCCCTCACCCTAAAATTACCATTGAAATCATGTTCCCTTTCTCATTCACTCTCAGTTTCCATGTCAGAAAATATACCATTACCTCCCTGCACCCCTTTCATCTCTCTCACTTTTCTCTTGCTTAGATGGAAAGACAACCCAGCAATGCCTGCAGGGCTGATGTATGAAGGAGTTTCCCAAGAGCCCCTGAAATACTCCGGCGGGAGTGCAGCTCAGAGCACAGTGCTTCATGCCTTTGATGAGTTCTTAGGCATTCGTCATAGCAAGGAAAGTGGTAAGTCAGACATTTTGTTTTCCCTTGAGAGTAGAGGGAGGAAGAGGAGAGGTGTTTTTTTTTTTTCCAATTGATAAAACCAAATATAAATTAAAATGTCATGAAGTTTATACTTCTCTAAGTCAGCCAAGAAACTGCATGACTGCCAATGTTTTTGTGTCAAGCCAATTAATATTGGAATATCAGATGTCAGCTTGATCTTGGGTTTTACTTCCAAATCTTAAAATGTTGCTCTGTTTCCAACTGTTCACTATCACTTTGGTTTGGATCTTTAGACACTAGCTTCCTTTTTCTGAAATGGGGGAGAGATGTGGAGTTTGAAGGCTATGAGTCTGGGCCAGCTGGAAACAGGTCTGGGATCTTCCAAGAAAGTCCTTCCCCACAAAATGGTGCAACTTCTAGCCAAATCTATTTATACCAGCAGAGGGATCTATCACCCTGGAAGCTTGAAATTGTTCATTTTCTTACCTGCCAGGATCAAGTTAAGTTTTTAACAGTTGCAAAAAGACACTTCATACTATGGAGTTTTCAAGTTGGATTAGAAGAAAAAGAATCACCAGAACTTAGTGTCGTAGATTCAAGTCACTTCTCTAAAACTGTCATAATTTTTCACGGATTTTGGCATTTGGTGACATTAATGGTTGATTTACTTACCATGCATAATATTAAACCCATAACGAATTTCCTATAAATATCTATTGATTTGATTTTTAAATCACTTGGCTTCAAGAGGCTATTACTAAAACAGTGACTCATTCTTTATCTTTTTTGCCTTCACGGGCTTTATATAACTTTCTCCTTTTCTTGTGCTCCCTCCAAAACAAAGCACTGAGAAAACAAAATTCACCAGAGTATTCAGCTAGTCAGTTCAAGGGTTTGTGTTCTACATTTGAAGATATTCCTTATAGCAGCTACCAACGGGATACTTTGTTTACATTTGTTGTGTAGTAAATATTTATATATTGGCAAACAAATCTAGTTCCAACTCTGTCATCTGAGATGTTCTTACTTTGTTTCCTCTTCTCCATCTCCTGTCAACTGTTAGAAATATACATTTGAGTACGTGAAGTCTGCAAACAAAAGGGCCAAGGTAGATTTGAGTTAGAACACCAGCAACAGTTTCTGGTGCATTCTTGTCTGAAAAAGCAGAGAAGATTGGGCACCGTGGGTCATGCCTGTAATCCCAAAATTTTGGAAGTCTGAGGCAGGTGGATCGCTTGAGCCCAGGAGTTCAAGACAAGCCTGGGCAACATAGCAAGAACCCGTCTCTACTAAAAGGAATACAAAAAAATATTAGCTGGGTGTGGTGGCGCACACCTGTAGTTTCAGCTACTCAGAAGACTGAGGTGGGAGGATCACTTGAACTCAGGGGCAGAGGTGGCAGTAAGCTGAGATCACACCACTGCACTCCAGCCTGGGCAACAGAGCAAGATCTCATCTAGAGAAAAAAAAAATAAAAAAGAAGAAGAAGCAGACGAGCTCTGCTATATTTCCATGTGGAGCTATGACGTTATGCTGTATTGTTTCTTTCAGGTGACTTTCTGTACAGAATGAGGGATTACATGCCTCCTTCCCATAAGGCCTTCATAGAAGACATCCACTCAGCACCTTCCCTGAGGGACTACATCCTGTCATCTGGACAGGACCACTTGCTGACAGCTTATAACCAGTGTGTGCAGGCCCTGGCAGAGCTGCGGAGCTATCACATCACCATGGTCACCAAATACCTCATCACAGCTGCAGCCAAGGCAAAGCATGGGAAGCCAAACCATCTCCCAGGGCCTCCTCAGGCTTTAAAAGACAGGGGCACAGGTGGAACCGCAGTTATGAGCTTTCTTAAGAGTGTCAGGGATAAGACCTTGGAGTCAATCCTTCACCCACGTGGTTAGGAGGCTGCCCTCTCCCCAGCAATGCAGAGCCCCCATGGAGGGCAGGTGGGCCTGGAGAATGAGGGTCAGGGTTCTGCCTGGGATCATCCAGGAAGGATCTCAGCCCTATTCATGTTTCTGCTCTACAGAGCACTATATTCTCCTTGTTGAGAGCTGTTGGCTTCACAAAGGAGAGTTGATGTGGCCAAGCCTTTCCCTCCCTACCTGATCACTGCTTAACGGCATGTATAATGGATACTTCCTCATGCAGAACCCCCAGAGGAGTGACTGTATGCCATTCTCTTTGCCAAGTAATAGAAAACCAATCTAAATGTCAAAAATCAGATAAAATTGCCTGGGGATACATTACTTGTTGATTTTCTTAAAAAACAAATTCACTTAACAATTCATTAAGTTCATACTGAGCACTGCCTCCAAGATTAAAACCAGGATTTCTGTGGTCCCAGACCAGCCCTCTTCTCCCTGAATGTGTTGAGTTGGTGGCAGGAGGTTGGAAATGCTCCAGTGGAGATGGGAAGATAGAGGATGCTGACAATAAGGACTTGGAAGTCACTAGTGTGAAAATGAGCAGTTAATGATATGGGAACGGATGAGACTTTCCACGTGGTACCTAGATTTGCAAATTCTATTGTAATGCCTTTATTTTTAGAAGAATTATTCTCTCTTCTTACTCTGAAAATCTGTATTTGTAAAATGAATGAATGGATCCTATATAAGTAAATAAGAAAACTGGGAATAAGTAGTAAATCAATGTGTTTAGTGTGCAAATAAATGTAAATGCTTTTATTGACTTAGTTTCTTTTTTTATATATATACTTTAAGTTCTAGGGTACATGTGCACAACGTGCAGGTTTGTTACATATGTATACATGTGCCATGACGGTGTGCTGCACCCATTAACTCGTCACTTACATTAGGTATATCTCCTAATTCTATCCTTCCCCCCTCCCCCCACCCCACCACAGGTCCTGGTGTATGACATTCCCCTTCCTGTGTCTAAGTGTTCTCATTGTTCAATTCCCATGTATGAGTGAGAACATGTGGTGTTTGGTTTTTTGTCCTTGCAATAGTTTGCTGAGAATGATGGTTTCCAGCTTCATCCATGTCCCTACAAAGGACATGAACTCATCCTTTTTTATGGCTACATAGTATTCCATGGTGTATATGTGCCACATTTTCTTAATCCAGTCTATCACTGATGGGCATTTGGGTTGGTTCCAAGTCTTTGCTATTGTGAATAGTGCCACAATAAACATACATGTGCATGTGTCTTTATAGCAGCATGATTTATAATCCTTTGGGTATATACCCAGTAATGGGATGGCTGGGTCAAATGGTATTTCTAGTTCTAGATCCTTGAGGAATCACCACACTGTCTTCCACAATGGATGAACTAGTTTACAGTCCCACCAACAGTGTAAAAGTGTTCCTATTTCTCCACATCCTCTCCAGCACCTGTTGTTTCCTGACTTTTTAAAGATCACCATTCTAACTGGTGTGAGATAGTATCTCATTGTGGTTTTGATTTGCATTTCTCTGATGGCCAGTGATGATGAGCATTTTTTCATGTGTCTTTTGGCTGCATAAATGTCTTCTCTTGAGAAATGTCTGTTCATATCCTTTGCCCACTTGTTGATGGGGTTGTTTGTTTTTTTCTTGTAAATTTGTTTAAGTTCTTTGTAGATTCTGGATATTAGG
The DNA here is from genome assembly GCF_000001405.40 of Homo sapiens. Lineage (NCBI taxonomy): Eukaryota > Metazoa > Chordata > Mammalia > Primates > Hominidae > Homo > Homo sapiens. The sequence continues at coordinate 40,017,301 of NC_000008.11, forward strand.
CCTTTGTCAGATGGGTAGATTGCAAAAATTTTCTCCCATTCTGTAGGTTACCTCTTCACTCTGATGGTAGTTTCTTTTACTGTGCAGAAGCTCTTTAATTAGATCCCATTTGTCAATTTTGGCTTTTGTTGCCATTGCTTTTGGTGTTTTAGACACGAAGTTCTTGCCCATGCCTATGTCCTGATTGGTACTGCCTAGGTTTTCTTCTAGGGTTTTTATGGTTTTAGGTCTAAAATTTAAGTATTTAATCCAACTTGAATTAATTTTTGTATAAGGTGTAAGGAAGGGATCCAGTTTCAGCTTTCTACATATGGCTAGCCAGTTTCCCCAGCACCATTTATTTATTAAATAGGGAATCCTTTCCCCATTTCTTGTTTTTGTCAGGTTTGTCAAAGATCAGATGGTTGTAGGTGTTTGGTATTATTTCTGAGGGCTCTGTTCTGTTCCATTGGTCCATATCTCTATTTTGGTACCAGTACCATGCTGTTTTGGTTACTGTAGCCTTGTAGTATAGTTTGAAGTAAGGTAGTATGATGCCTCCAGCTTTGTTCTTTTTGCTTAGGATTGTCTTGGCTATGCGGGCTCTTTTTTGGTTCCATATGAACTTTAAAGTAATTTTTCCAATTCTGTGAAGAAAGTCATTGGTAGTTTGATGGGGATGGCATTGAATCTATAAATTACCTTGCGCAGAATGGCCATTTCCACGATATTGATTCTTCCTATCCATGAGCATGGAATGTTCTTCCATTTGTTTGTGTCCTCTTTTATTTCATTGAGCAGTGGTTTGTAGTTCTCCTTGAAGAGGTCCTTCACATCCCTTGTAAGTTGGATTCCTAGGTATTTTATTCTCTTTGAAGCAATTGTGAATGGGAGTTCACTCATGATTTGGCTCTCTGTTTGTCTGTTATTGATGTATAGGAATGCTTGTGATTTTTGCACATTGATTTTATATCCTGAGACTTTGCTGAAGTTGCTTATCAGCTTAAGGAGATTTTGGGCTGAGACGATGGGGTTTTTTAAATATATAATCACGTCATCTGCCAACAGGGATAATTTGACTTCCTGTTTTCCTAATTGAATACCCTTTATTTCTTTCTCCTGCCTGATTGCCCTGGCCAGAACTTCCAACACTATGTTGAATAGGAGTGGTGAGAGAGGGCATCCCTGTCTTGTGGCAGTTTTCAAAGGGAATGCTTCCAGTTTTTGCCCATTCAGTATGATATTGGCTGTGGGTTTGTCATAAATAGCTCTTATTATTTTGAGATATGTCCCATCAATACCTAGTTTATTGAGAGTTTTTAGCATGAAGTGCTGTTGAATTTTGTCAAAGACCTTTTCTGCATGTACTGAGATAATCATATGGTTTTTGTCTTTGGTTCTGTTTATATGATGGATTGCGTTTATTGATTTGCATATGTTGAACCAGCCTTGCATCCCAGGGATGAAGCCCACTTGATCATGGTGGATAAGCTTTTTGATGTGCTACTGGATTCGGTTTGCCAGTATTTTGTTGAGGATTTTTGCATCAATATTCATCAGGGATATTGACCTAAAATTCTCTTTTTTGTTGTGTCTCTGCCAGGCTTTGGTGTCAGGATGATGCTGGCCTCATAAAATGAGTTAGGGAGGATTCCCTGTTTTTCCATTGACTGCAATAGTTTCAGAAGGAATGGTACCAGCTCCTCCTTGTACCTCTGGTAGAATTCGGCTGTGAATCCATCTGGTTCTGGACTTTTTTTGGTTGGTAGGCTATTAATTATTGCCTCAGTTTCAGAGCCTGTTATTGGTGTATTCAGGGATTCAACTTTATCCTGGTTTAGTCTTGGGAGGGTGTATGTGTCCAGGAATTTATCCATTTCTTCTAGATTTTCTAGTTTATTTGCATAGAGGTGTTTATAGTATTCTCTGATGGTAGTTTGTATTTCTGTGGGATCGGTGGTGATATCCCCTTTATCATTTTTTATTGCATCTATTTGATTCTTTCTTTTCTTTTGTATTAGTCTTGCTAGTGGTCTATCAATTTTGTTGATCTTTTCAAAAAAACACCTTCTGGATTCATTGATTTTTTGAAGGGTTTTTTTGTGTCTCTATCTCCTTCAGTTCTGCTCTGATCTTAGTTATTTCTTGCTTCTGCTAGCTTTTGAATGTGTTTGCTCTTGCTTCTCTAGTTCTTTTAATTGTGATATTAGGGTGTCAATTTTAGATTTTTCTTGCTTTCTCTTGTGAGCATTTAGTGCTATAAGTTTCCCTCTACACACTGCTTTAAATGTGTCCCAGAGATTCTGGTATGTTGTGTCTTTGTTCTCATTGGTTTCAAAGAACATCTTTATTTCTGCCTTCATTTCGTTATGTACCCAGTAGTCATTCAGGAGCAGGTTGTTCAGTTTCCATGTAGTAGAGTGGTTTTGAATGAGTTTCTTAATCCTGAGTTGTAGTTTGATTGCACTGTGGTCTGAGAGACAGTTTGTTGTAATTTCTGTTCTTTTACATTTGCTGAGGAGTGCTTTACTTCCAACTATGTGGTCAATTTTTGAATAAGTGCAATGTGGTGCTGAGAAGAATGTATATGCTGTTGATTTGGGGTGGAGAGTTCTGTAAATGTCTATTAGGTCTGCTTGGTGCTGAGCTGAGTTCAATTCCTGGATATCCTTGTTAACTTTCTGTCTCGTTGATCTGTCTAATGTTGACAGTGGGGTGTTAAAATCTCCCATTATTATTGTGTGGGAGTCTAAGTCTCTTTGTGGGTCTCTAAGGACTTGCTTTATGAATCTGGGTGCTCCTGTATTGGGTGCATATATATTTAGGATAGTTAGCTCTTCTTGCTGAATTGATCACTTTACCATTATGTAATGGCCTTCTTTGTCTCCTTTGATCTTCGTTGGTTTAAAGTCTGTTTTATCAGAGACTAGGATTGCAACCCTTGCTTTATTTGTTTTCCATTTGCTTGGTAGATCTTCCTCCATCCCTTTATTTTCAGCCTATGTGTGTCTCTGCATGTGAGATGGGTCTTCTGAATACAGCACACAGATGGGTCTTGACTCTTTATCCACTTTGCCAGTCTGTGTCTTTTAATTGGAGCATTTAGCTTATTTACACTTAAGGTTAATATTGTTATGTGTGAATTTGATCCTGTCACTATGATGTTAGCTGGTTATTTTGATCATTAATTGATGCAGTTTCTTCCTAGCATCGATGGTCTTTACAATTTGACATGTTTTTGCAGTGGCTGGTACCCGATTTTTCCTTTCCATGTTTAGTGCTTCCTTCAGGAGCTCTTGTAAGGCAGGCCTGGTGGTGAGAAAATCTCTCAGCATTTGCTTTTCTGTAAAGGATTTTATTTCTCCTTCACTTATGAAGCTTAGTTTGGCTGGATAGGAAATTCTGTGTTGAAAATTCTTTTCTTTAAGAATGTTGAATATTGGCCCCCACTCTATTCTGGCTTGTAGAGTTTCTGCCGAGAGATCAGCTGTTAGTCTGATGGGCTTCCCTTTGTGGGTAACCTGACCTTTCTCTCTGGCTGCCCTTAACATTTTTTCCTTCATTTCAACCTTGGTGAATCTGACCATTATGTGTCTTGGAGTTACTCTTCTTGAGGAGTATCTTTGTGGCATTCTCTGTATTTCCTGAATTTGAATGTTGGCCTGCCTTTCTAGGTTGGGGATGTTCTCCTGGATAATATCCTGCAGAGTGTTTTCCAACTTGGTTCCATTCTCCCCGTCAATTTCAGGTACACCAATGAGACGTAGATTTGGTCTTTTCACATAGTCCCATATTTCTTGGAGGCTTTGTTAGTTTCTTTTTACTCTTTTTTCTCTAAACTTCTCTTCTCACTTCATTTCATTCATTTGATCTTCAATCACTGATACCCTTTCTTCCAGTTGATCGAATCAGCTACTGAAGCTTGTGCATGTGTCACGTAGTTCTTGTGCCATGGTTTTCAGCTCCATCAGGTCATTTAAGGACTTCTCTACACTGGTTATTCTAGTTAGCCATTCGTCTACTCTTTTTTCAAGGTTTTTAGCTTCTTTGCAATGGGTTTGAACATCCTCCTTTAGCTCGGAGAAGTTTGATTGTCTGAAGCCTTCTTCTCTCAACTCATCAAAGTCATTCTCCATCCAGCTTTGTTCCGTTGCTGGTGAGGAGCTGCGTTCCTTTGGAGGAGGAGAGGCACTCTGATTTTTAGAATTTTCAGCTTTTCTGCTCTCGTTTCTCCCCATCTTTGTGGTTTTATCTACCTTTGGTCTTTGATGATGGTGACATACAGATGGGGTTTTGGTGTGGATGTCCTTTCTGTTTGTTAGTTTTCCTTCTAACAGTCAGGACCCTCAGCTGCAGATCTGTTGGAGTTTGCTGGAGGTTCAATACAGACCCTGTTTGCCTGAGTACCACCAGTGGAGGCTGCAGAACAGTGAATATTGCTGAACAGCAAATGTTGCTGCCTGATTGTTCCTCTGGAAGCTTCATCTCAGAGGGGTACCTGGCCGTGTGAGGTGTCAGTCTGCCCCTACTGGGGGGTGCCTCCCAGTTAGGCTACTCGGGGGTCAGGGACCCACTTGAGGAGGCAGTCTGTCTGTTTTCAGATCTCAAACTCCATGCTGGGAGAACCACTACTCTCTTCAAAGCTGTCAGACAGGGACATTTAAGTCTGCAGAGGTTTCTGCTGCCTTTTGTTCAGCTATGCCCTGCCTCCACTGGTGGAGTCTACAGAGGCAGGCAGGCAGGCCTTCTTGAGCTGCGGTGGGCTCCACCCAGTTTGAGCTTCCCGGCCACTTTGTTTACCTACTCAAGCCTCAGCAATGGTGGGCACCCCTCCCCCAGACTCACTGCCACCTTGCAGTTCAATCTCAGACTGCTGTGCTAGCAATGAGAGAAGCTCTGTGGGCATGGGACCCTCCAAGCCAGGTGCAGAATATAATCTCCTGGTGTGCCGTTTGCTAAGACTGTTGGAAAAGTGCAGTATTAGGGTAGGAATGACCCGATTTTCCAGGTGCTGCCTGTCACAGCTTCCCTTGGCTAGGAAAGGGAATTCCCTGACCCCTTGCTCTTCCTGGGTGAGACGATGCCTCGCCCTGCTTTGGCTCACACTTGGTGGGCTGCACCCACTGTCCTGCACCCACTGTCTGACAAGCCCCAGTGAGATGAACCTTGTTCCTCAGTTGGAAATGCAGAAATCACCTTTCTTTTGTGTCGCTCACGCTGGGAGCTATAGAATGGAGCTGTTCCTATTCGGCCATCTTGGAACCTCCCTATTGACTTGGTTTCTATCTCAAGAGCTCATTCTACCTGGCAGCAGAAAATCAGAAAATTTTAATCAGGCCAATTTATTTATTATTTATTTATTTATTTATTTTTGAGACAGAGTCTTCCTTTGTCACCTAGGCTGAAGTGCAGTAAAACCACAAAGATGGGGAGAAACCAGAGCAGAAAAGCTGAAAATTCTAAAAGTCAGAGTGCCTCTTCTCCTCCAAAGGAACGCAGCTCCTCGCCAGCAACGGAACAAAGCTGGACAGAGAATGACTACCTCCTGGGTTCAAGCGATTCTCCTACCTCAGCCTCCTGAGTAGGTGGGATTACAGGTGCCCACCACCATGCCAGAGTAATTTTTCTTTTTTTTTTGCATTTTTAGTAGAGATGGGTTTCACCATGTTGGCCAGGCTGGTCTTGAACTCCCAACCTCAAGTGATCCACCCACCATGGCCTCCCAAAGTGCTGGGATTACAGGCATGAGCCATTGCACCTGGCCAATCAGACCAATTTAGAATAAAATAAATTCCATTAATTGAAGGTTGCACCTCACGCTCCACGCTGTGCCCACACATATACCTGGAATAGTTTCTAAATTCCAGGGGACTGATCTAGTATCTTGATCACTGAGCAGACTCTGCCCAAGTTCACATGTGCTAAGAAGTCCCTCTCCTCACGTGGACACTGGTCAAGTGGAACCTGTGGCTTGTGTCATCATGTCTTGAAGCCCTTCACATTCTTCAGCCCTCAAGGTCCTATCACAGTACCTGGAAAAATATCTGACTACTTCCCACATGACCTAGGAATATTTGGAGACTGTTATAACCACAACAACCATCTCCTGTCTCCAGTGCCATTGGGGAAAGAGAATTTTGCAGCCTTGTGAACTCTCGGAGGCCCTTGGTAGGAAGCCATGAACCAGTGTCTTCCAGCTGGGGCACGGGGAGGGCTGTTCCTGTCCTATCTCCACAGAGCTTGGTCTGGCAAAGATGAGGTAGGCAGGAAAGACCAAGAGCTTCTTCTCAGAGACACTTACGGATGCTCTTCTCTGCTGCTGACACTGCCCTCTCTTTTCTAACCCATAAAGGGGAACCTTTTTCTAGTCTGGATGGGCCAAGGAAAACGCCTGGCTCTGATAGTGTCCTCTCTGCCTGTTGTTCAGGTCACAGTCTCAGCTCAAAGACTTAGCCTGCCATAACTCAGAACGCCTTTTCTCTACACATGCTGTCCTTGTGTTTGAAAAGTCTATTTTGAACCTCAAAAAGTGAGCATGAATATATTTATTGTTCTTTGATTTGCTCTGGGATCAGTAAACTCAGACTGTCTTAACTGCCTGGGCTGTGTGTGCCATGGTCCAGGGATGTGGACAGGTGGCAGGAGAGGACAGAAGCACATTGGTGAATAATCCAAAGCATTATTCTTCCCCACTGTCACTCTCAGGTATAAAGCACATGACCTTTAGAATAAGACCTATCTTTGAATTCTGACTTTCCTGTTTTTAAAACAATATGTTTTTTGACCAATTTCAGAAAGTCACTAATTCTCAGATTCCTGTTTCTTATAAAATCGAGATGATCAGATGGGTCTCAAGGTAGATACAAATAAGAGAAGTGATAATGCCTGTCACGAAGGGAAAATGTCAACAAAAGTTTATTTGATTATGAGGTGGGGCTCAGAGCATAGGTTGTGTAGATGTCAGTCAAGAGAGAACATTATATTCCTCCAGCTTCTTGAATCCATAGCAGTAAAATGACTGTTTCTCATTTGGATATGTGGGGAGGTAGAAACTGACAAAACTACGGGCTTCAAGAGCTGAAAAACCAGGCCAGGTGCGGTGGCTCATGCCTGTAATCCCAGCACTTTGGGAGGCCGAAGTGGGCAGATCACCTAAGGTTGGGAGTTCGAGACCAGCCTGACCAACATGGAGAAACCCCATGTGTACTAAAATTACAAAATTAGCCAGGCATGGTGGTGCTTGCCTGTAATCCCAGCCAGTCGGGAGGCTGAGGTAGGAGAATCGCTTGAACCTGGGAGGTGGAGGTGGAGGTGAGCCAAGATCGTGCCATTGCACTCCAGCCTGGGCAACAAGAGTGAAACTCCGTCTCAAAAAAAAAAAAAAAAAAAGAGCTGAAAAATCTGGGTTTGTATTCCAGCTTTGTCACTGACAGACATGTTTCCTAAACTTTCAGGGCCACAGTTTACTCATTTATAAAAAAGGTGATTTCATAATTACTGTATGGAGCTAAATGGTGGTTATCACATTACCATTCCCCCTGTTTGATCCTTGAACCGGAGAGAATCATGCCTAGGGGTTCCTAAGAACCAGAACAGAAATTGGAACTGGTGTCTAGTTGGTGAAGAAAAGGGATAATATGACACCCAATCAAGCAAGCAAAGTGAGAGAAGGTCTGGATTTGTCTTGAAATCATGTAGACATGTAGTGAGTGATGACAAGGACCCTTGAGAATTTAAGAAAGGATGCCACGGTCACTTTAGCTTTTAAACCTAGACCTGTACTAAATGGGGACCTATTTTGTGCCTTAGTGTTACAGGCTTAACGTGTAATCATCTTAATTGGTTTACTTTTAAAGGATTCAAGTGCACTCAAAAAGACCACAAAACTTGATACAGAATTTTCAATAAATATTGAATAAATGGAAAACTGGATAAATTAAATGGGGGGTGGGAAGAGAAGCGTACAAAATTTTATCTTTCAAAGCCTTCAGAATATGTTGTGTTGGCTTGTTGTCATTAAGCCTTATACATGAGGATGAAATAAAAGCAAATGTTTTTATTTTATTTGCTAATGAACAACAATGAACCAATTAACCTAGTTCATATGTAAGGTATGATTTTCTGGAGCAAAGAGTTCCATTTTCAGCTTGATGTATAATGGTCGAGGTAAAGCTTCCACTACAGAAGAGAACACAGTTTTCTCAAGATTCCTAGGGATGAAGCGTATGCATACCAGTGAAAAAATGACTATCTCATGTAGAAATATTATTAGGACAATGTAGGGGTGTGACTGTTGAGCTTGAAGAAATGGCAGAGCTGGTGTTCAAACCAAATGTAGACATTTACTTATAATACAAGATGTACAAGCTGTTTACCTTGCTTAACTTTTTTTTTTTTGAGACAGAGTTTCGCTCTTATTGCCCAGGCTGGAGTGCAATGGCGTGATCTCGGTTCACTGGAACCTCCGCCTCCTGGGTTCAAGTGATTCTCCTGCCTCAGCCTCTACAGTAGCTGGTACTACAGGCATAAGCCACCATGCCTGGCTAATTTTGTATTTTTAGTAAAGATGGAGTTTCTCCATGTTGGTCAGGCTGTTGTGGGACTCCCAACCTCAGGTGATCTGCCCACCTCAGCCTCCCAAAGTGCTGGGATTACCGTCAGCCACCGTGCCTGGCCTGCTTAACATTTTTGAGTCATAATAGTCACATTTTACCTGAAGATCATAGCTACTTTGCAGTGTTTTTGCGAAAAGTCAAGCTCATATATATTGTTAAAGAGTAGGCCCTGAGTGAATGGTTGTACTGTGATGATGCTGCATGTTCCCTGAAGATCCTCCTGGTCTGGATAAGAAGACATGTCTAGGGAAGAAGAAGCAGTAGGAGTAGGAAGTGTGTGCTCTCCCACCCTGTGAGTTCTGAGGTGAGTGGAGAAGAGGGAGGAAAACATGCAGTCGATAAGTGCTGCAGAGGCCAAGCACGGTGGCTCACACCTGTAATCCCAGCACTTGGGAGGCCGAGGCGGGCGGGTCACCTGAGATCAGAAGTTCGAGACCAGCCTGTCCAACATGGCGAAACCCCGTCTCTATAAAAAATACAAAAATTAGCTGGGCGTGGTGGCTCACGCCTGTAATCCCAGCTGCTTGGGAGGCTGAGGAACGAGAATCACTTGAACCGGGGAGGTGGAGGTTGCACTGCACTCCAGCCTGGGTGACAGAGTGAGACTCTGTCTCAAAAAAAAAAAAAAAAAAAAAGAAGAAGAAGAAGTGTTGCAGAAACCCTTGGAGCATCTGTGGAGTCGTGTGTGCATGTACATGGAAGTAAGAAGCAAATTATGACTAAGGATAAAGAGACTGAAAAACTGGGCCAGGTTCAAATCCTGGGACAGACACACTTTGGTCTGGGACTTGTACGTATTTTTTTATTTTTTTATTTTTTTTGTTCTGTTTTGTTTGAGACGGAGTTTTACTCTTGTTGCCCAGGGGAGTACAGTGGCGCATTCTTGGCTCACTGCAACCTCCACCTCTTGGGTTCAAGTGATTCTTCTCCCTCAGCCTCTGGAGTAGCTGGAATTACAGGCATGTGCCACTACATCTGGCACCCAGCTAATGTTTTTGTATTTTTACTAGAGATGGGGTTTCAGCATGTTGGCCAGGCTGGTCTCAAACTCCTGACTTCAAGTGATCTGCCCGCCTCGACCTCCCAAAGTGCCGGGATTACAGGCGTAAGCCACCGTGCCTGGCCTGTAAGTTTTGTTTCACAATAAGCACAAGAAGGACGGTGCCATGAGATTACACTTTAGGTTCACCCAGATAAAGTAAAAACCAATGGTAGTGTCTAACACATCATGGTTTCTCAACAATTGTAGAATAAATCCATACCCAGATTGAATGGAATAGAGGGGAGGTCTACAAGCTCTTGCCCTCAAAGATGGTTTTCTTCAGGATACTCATCCTTATTGCCAGGGGCCCAGTGGAGGTGAGGAAAATGCTTGTTTTCTTCTATCTTAAGGAGCCTGCATCTTCAATTATTTTAAGTCAGTCCTGCAAATGGATGGAGTAGGTACCATTCATGTGTTCAATGGGAAGCTTTGCCAAATTTATGCTGACATATAGATCTCTCCTTCAGTAATCTGATAAATATTTGAGATTTCTTAATTAAAGCCTAACATCAGGGTTCTCCAGATAAACTGAACACTACACACACACACACACACACACACACACACGTGTGTGTGTATGTGTGTCTGGTCCTTTGGTATCAGTAGAAGATTGATTCCAGGACCCCTGCAGATACCAAAATCAGTGGATGCTCAAGTCTTTTATATATAAAACTGTAATATTTGCATGTAACCTACACATACCCTTCGGCATATTTTAAATCACCTCCAGATTACTAATAATACCTATGTAAGTAGTTACTAATAATCCCATGTAAATAGTTAAGGTGTGTTTTTCAATTTGTATCATTTCTATTGTCATATTATTATTTTTAATTGTTTCATTTTTCTGAAGTGTTCATCTGTGGTTGGTTAAATCTACAGATGTCAGACATGAAACCCACAGATATTGGGGGGTCCAACTCTGTGTGTGTGTGTGTGTGTGTGTGTGTATGCATGTGTGTGTAGATAGAGAGAGAGAGTGAGAGAGAGAATGGAGGCTAGAAATTCCAAAAACTACAGGATTGGCTGACAAGCTGGAGTCCCAGGGAATAGCTTTGTTGAAGGCTATGTCTGAAGACCATCTGCAAGCAGAATTCCTAATTCTTTGTCTTAATTTTTTTATTTTTAATTTTTGTGGGTACATAGTAGGTATATATATCTAGGAGGTACATGAAATGTTTTGATACAGGCATGAAATGTGAAAATAGCACATAATGGAGAATGGGGCTGCCATCTCCTCAAGCGTTTATCCTTTGAGTTACAAACAATCCAATTACACTCTTTATTTTAAAATTTAAAATTTACAGGCCAAGAGCGGTGGCTCATGCCTGTAATCCCAGCACTTTGGGAGGCTGAGGCAGGCAGATCACGAGGTCAGGAGATTGAGACCATTCTGGCCAACGTGGTAAAACCCCGTCTCTACTAAAATACAAAAAATTAGTCGGGCGTGGTGGCATGCTCCTGTAGTCCCAGCTACTTGGGAGGCTGAGGCAGGGGAATCGCTTGAACGCAGGAGGCGCAGGTTGCAGTGAGCTGAGACCATGCCACTGCACTCCAGCCTGGTGACAGAGCAAGATTCCGTCTCAAAAAAAAAAAAAAATTACAATTAAATTATTATTGAGTGTAGTCACCCTGTTGTGCTATCAAATAGTAGCTTTTATTCATTCTTTCTATTTTTTTGTACCCATTAACCATCTCCACCTGCCCCCAGCCTGCAACCACCCTTCCCAGCCTCTGGTAACCATCATCCTACTCTCCGTGTCATGGGTTCAATTGTTTTAATTTTTAGATCTCACAAATAAGTGAGAACATGCAGTGTTTGTCTTTCTCTGCCTGGCTTATTTCACTTAACATAATGATCTCCAGTTCCATCCATGTTGTTGCAAATGACAGGATTTCATTCTTTTTGTGGCTGAATAGCACTCCATTCTAGATATATAACACGTTTTCATTATCCATTCATATGTTAATGGAAACTTAGATTGCTTCCAAATCTTAGCTTTCGTAAACAGTGCCGCAACAAACATAGTAGTGCAGAAATTTCTTTGATAGACTGATTTCCTTTCTTATGGGTGTATACCCAGCAGTGGGATTGCTGAATCATATGCTAACTTAATTTTTAGTTTTAGATTTTTAAAGAATCTCCAAACTGTTCTCCATAGTGGTTTTGGACTAATATACATTCCCATCAAGAGTGTAGAAGTATTCCCTTTTTTCCACATCCTTGCCAGCATTTGTTGTTGCCTGTCTTTTGGATATAAGCCACTTTAACTGAGATGCGATGATATCTCACTGTAGTTTTGATGAACATTTCTTTGATGACCAATGGATGCTGAGCACCTTTTCACATGCCTGTTTGCCATCTGTATATCTTCTTTTGAAAAATCTCTATTCAGATCTTTTACCCATTTTTCCAGATTAGATTTTTTTTCCTATTGAGTTGTCTGAGCTCCTTACATATTCTGGTTATTCATCTTTTGTGAATGGGTAGTTTGCAAATATTTTCTCCCATTCTGTGGGTTGTCTCTTCACTTCATTGATTGTTTTCTTTGCTGTGCAGAAGCTTTTAAACTTGGTGTGATCGCATTTATCTATTTTCACTTTGGTTGCCTACGCTTGTGGGATATTACTCAAAAAGATTTTGCCCAGAGCAATGTTCTGAAGATTTCCCCCCAATGTTTTCTTGTAGGAGTTTCATCATTTGGGGTCTTAGATTTAAGTATATAATTCATTTTGATTTGATTTTTGTATATGTTGATAGGAGTCTAGTTTCATTTTTCTGCATATGGATATTCAGTTTTCTCAGCACCATTTATTGAAGAGTTTGTGTTTTCCTCAGTGTACCTTTGGCACCTTTGTCAAAAATGAGTTCACAGTAGGTGTGTGGATTTGTTTTCAGGTTCTTTATTCTGTTCCATTGATCCTTGTGTCTGTTTTTATGCCAGTACCATGCTGTTTTGGTTACTGTAGCTCTGTAGTATAACATTTATAGTATAATTAGAAGCCAGGTAATGTGATTCCTCCAGTTTTGTTCTTTTTGTGCAACACTGCTTTGGCCATTTGAGGTCTTTTGTGGTTCCATATACATTTTGTGATTGTTTTTGTATTTCTGTGAAGAATGTCATTGGTATTTTGATAGGGATTGCATTGAATCTATAGGTTATGTTGGGTAATATGGACACCTTAACAATATTGATTATTCTAATCCACGACCGTGAAATATTTTTCCATTTTTTGGTGTCCTCATAATTTCTTTCCTCAGTGTCTTATAACTTTTATTATAGCAATCTTTTACTTCTTTGCTTAGGTTGATTCCTAAGTATTTATTTTTAGGTATGGCTATTGTAAATGGGGTTACTTTTTAAAATTTCTTTTTCACATTGTTCGCTGTTGGCATATAGAAAACAATTGCTAATTCCTTCTTGCTCAGAGGAGGTCAGTCTTTGGTCTATCAGGCCTTCAACTGATTAGAAGAGGCCCACCCACATTATGGAGAGCCATTTGCTTTACTCAAAGTCCATCAGTTTAAACGTTAATCTCCTTTAAGAAAAATGTCCCCACAGAAACATCCTGAACGTTTGACCAAATAGCTGGGCACCGTGACTCAGCCAATTGACCTAAAATTAATCATCACTGGGGTCCGTAAGAAGAACCTGAATTAGGATAAGCTATGGCATCTGACACACTCTCCCTACAGCCTCTCCCAAAGAAAAAGAGTCCTCCTTTCATAATGATGGAGAGGAGGTCAAAAATGGTGAAGAGTGTAGCTGTCCCCTAAGAGACGCCCAGAAGGAAGGCAGCAATGGATTGGATAGAAGCTTCTGAGAGAGAAGTGGGGAACTCCACGCAGACGAACCTTACTTAGTTTACAACTAAAGGCTTTCTAAGCTGGGTAATGCCTGTGGAGCAAAACCATTGCCTCTCATAATAAAAACTAAAACTCAGGCTGAGCGCGGTGGCTCATGCCTGTAATCCCAGCACTTTGGGAGGCTGAGTCGGGTGGATCACGAGGTCCAGAGTTGAAGACCAGCCTGGACAATATGGTAAAACCTCGTTTCTACTAAAAATACAAAAATTAGCCGGGCATGGTGGCAGGCGCCTGTAATCCCAGCTACTCAGGAGGCTGAGGCAGAATTGCTTGAACCCGGGAGGCGGAGGTTGCAGTGAGCTGAGATCATGCCACTGCACTCCAGCCTGGGTGACTGAGCAAGACTCCGTCTCAAAGAAAAAATAAAAAAAGTAAAACTCAATGCTCTGAAGTACGGAATGTAGGGTGACTCTTTACCTAGGAAGAGGTGACCACGCCTTATATTCCTAAAGCTAGTACACAAGACACCTTCACCTTGGCTGCTGCCACCACTCACCACTGCTGAGGACAAGGGGACACTGATTCCCTTTAATGTTATGCCTGAGTCCAGCTAGGATCCCTGTAGTAATTTTTTTTTTTTTTGAGACAGAGTCTTGCTCTGTTGCCCAGGCTGGATTGCAGTGGCACAATCTCAGCTCACTGCAACCTCTGTCTCCCGGGTTCAGGTGATTCTCCTGCCTCAGCCTCCTGAGTAGCTGGGATTACAGGCATGAGCCACCATACCTGGCTAATTTTTGTATTTTTAGTAGAGACGGGTTTCACCATGTTGGCCAGGCTGGTCTCAAACTCCTGAGCTCAAGTGATCTGCCCACCTCAGCCTCTCAAAGTGCTGGGAATACAGGGATGAGCCACCATGCCAGGCTGATTTCTGTAGTAATTCTAAGGAGAATTTAATAAAAACTCGGGGTGACTTTAAAGGCAAGCAAACAAAAAACACTACAGAAATAACAGCTTGATAACATGTAATGCTCACTCTGTGGTGCTCTCAGGCTCAATACTATCCTGATCTCTGGGCTGACTTTAGGTGATGGGACCTGTCAAACTGGAACCCAAATACCTCACAGCTTACAGAGCAGAAAGTCAAGACAGTGAGGCTCATAGACCGAGTTCTTCTTCCCTTGCTGTTACTTTGAAATTCATTCTTTGTTTTTGCATTTTGGTGTCTCCAAAACAGGGTTAAGTGAAACAAAATTAATCAAAAAGGAGAAATGAAGGAGGAAAATGACAGGAAGAGAGAGAGAGGAAGGAAGGAAAGAAAGGAGGAAGGAAGGAAGAAAGGAAGGGAGGGAGGGAGGAAGGGGGGAGGGAAGGAGAGAGGGAAGAGAGAGGGAAAGATGAAAGGAAGAGAAAGAAAAAAGGAAAAAGAAAAAAGAAACAAAGAAAAGAAAAGAAAGGAAGTAAATGTACAAAGAATAAAAAAGAGAAGGAAAGAAATTCTTAAAAACTGTGAGATCCTATTCAATTTAAGATCTGGAATACAAAACTTTTTGTACCTACAAGTCATTCATTGCTTCCACAGCAATGAATTTTACCCACCAAATTTTGTCTTCTGCACAGATGTCCTATTTGCTTTGCTAATGGAAGAAATACTCTTCTTTTTCTTTGTTCACTTAACAGTTAACTTAATAAAGGAGTTGGATATTATTGCTTTCTGAAATGCAATTGCTAGTTAATTTTTGCAGTTTAGCATCTGCTTCACAGTAACATTAAAAAACTGAGTTCTTGAGTGTAAGCATCATCAAAAATAAATGCTTTTGTTTTGCAAAGTAATTTCCTTTGTAAACTCACAAATCTTTTGGACCACATGCTTCTGTGACAGCTGTAGAGGTATCAGACCAGACTCTATTACGCATTTGCCTTTAATTGTCCATAAGCACCTTTCTTCCTTCCTAACAGCACCATTAAGAGATTTTACCTATATTCTGTGTCAGAAATCATTTGCAGTGGGCCATGGGACCCTGCCGTGGACATTCAAAGGTTATATCTCTCTTCACAAAGCAGAGTCCTGGGGCTAACGGGACTTGCCCTTAGAATGACCAGGCTTTTTGAGAACCAACTGAGCACACAGCCATGACATAATATAATCATATAATAAATAATTATGCACATGTTCATGTACTTTATTATTATATATATAATTTATATATATATTATATATATATTTGAGATCGAGTCTTGCTCTGTCTCCCAGACTGGAGTGCGGTCGTGCGATCTCAGCTTACTGCAAGCTCTGCCTCCCAAGTTCACGCCCTTCTCCTGCCTCAGCCTCACGAGTAGCTGGGACTACAGGTGGCCGCCACCACACCCGGCTAATTTTGTTTTTGTATTTTTTGAGATGGAGTCTCATTCTGTTGCCTAGGCTGGAGTGCAGTGGTGAGATTTTGGCTCACTGCAGCCTCCACCTCCTGGGTTCAAGCGATTCTCCCGCCTCCGCCTCCCAAGTATCTGGAATTACAGCCACATGCCACCAAGCCTAGGTAATTTTTGTAATTTAGTAGAGATGCGGGGGGGGGGTTTCACCATGTTGTCCGGGCTGGTCTCAAACTCCTGACCTCAAGTGATTCGCCCACCTCAGCCTCCCAAAGTGCTGGGATTACAGGTGTCACCGCACCCAGCCATATTATTAAAATACAAATATAACTACCTATTTGAAATTATACTCTGCAATACTTAATTTCTATTATATGAATGTTTTTATTTAAAAATAGCAGCCAAGGTGGGAGGATCACTTGAGTTCAAAACCAACTTGAACAACATAGTAAGAACCCATCTCTACAAAAAATTAAAAAATTAAAAATTTAGCCTAGGCACAGTGGCGTGTGTCTGTAGTCCTAGCTACTTGGGAGGCTGAGGCAGGAGGATCGCTTGAGCCCAGGAGTTCCAGGCTGCAGTGAGCTCAGTGGGTTTGCTCTTGACTGTGCCATTGGTATTTATTTGCCAGTGAGTGTGTGGGGAGGAGGTGCCTCTTTGGAGGTGTGGAGATGGATCTTGGCCAGGTGGACTGGGATGTCTACATGCAGGACGGAGCAGCCCCTGGACGTGTGCAACAGACCAGGCTTGGGAAGAGTAAAGCTGGACCTGAGACCTACTAGCTCCACGTCTTCATGTCTGACATGGAATTCCAAGGAGCCTGTGAATTTTAATCTGAATATGGGCTTCCAGGTCATTATGAAGGTAAGATGATAGGGCATCTTTTTTTTCAATAATTTGCTAGATTGATTTATAATCTTCAAATATGTGTAAAGATGCTATGTTGATATCCATTTTACCCCAGGCCCTGGCAAACATTATGGCCGGGGAATGGCTGGTTACGAGTCTTTTGTTTGAAAGGTTTAATCTTTGCTTGTAGATCTAGCCACTTACCACGAGGTGGCAATAGCAACCTGCACAACGAATGCCAAGCTCCAAGCAAGGTGTGGATTCTCCACTGATTTCCTGGGCCGAAGAATTTTCCTATGTTTTAGAAATATTGTGATGAAGTTTCATTTTTATGTGATGAAAATGTTTTAAAATTGATTGTCGTGATGGTTGCACAACTCTGTGAACGGACTAGGAGCCATTGGATTGTACACTTTAAATAGGTGAATTGTATAATATGTAAATTATATCTCAATAAAGCTGTTATATATATATGTATATATAAATATATATACATCTGTGTGTGTGTGTGTATATAGTTATCTCACCCAAGATCCTGCCTCCAGAAAGACCCACATTAAATAGATCCTGATGGATCTCCCTGGTTCAAAAATAAATGGTATTTTGTTTATTTCTAAAAGTGAATAGTATTGTAAATGGTAGACCTATGGATATTTCTCTTTTTATATATTTCTTTATTTAAAAATAGAAATGCCCATGAATGTTACTTTCTTTTAAAGTTGGAGAGGAATCCTTTATCCTACTCTGTGGTCAGTGTTATCTGAGGATCTTTGCTATCAAAGAAGCTGAAATGGAGCCAAATTGTGAAAAGAAGATTAGTGACAGGACTAACAATTGCAAAGAAAGATCACATAAATAGTCAAACAGGAAAAGCCAAATCACTGCCTTGGGCCTTGAAAGAGATTAGTTGGGTTTTTGTCTACAAGAAAAGATAAATATTGTTGGAATTAAATCTCTCTCTCCTCACTGCCCCCAACCCACCCCCACTGCACCGCACTTGGCCACGTGTGACTCCTGAGGAATACCTGCAATTGTAAGACCAGGAGTATATCAGGTTCATGCAAATAGACAGTCCACTGGAACATGTCCTAGTTAGGCAATCACTGAAATTATATTGCAACTCTGGAGGGGAAATGTTGATGGGACTGAAGCACCACAATGTGATATCTACCTAATCTGCTCATCTTCATCTAGTCCGACCTTTTAAAATACAAATCAAGCATAAAATAAATCAAACTTCAAGAGTTATTTATCATTTCTCTTATCCATTCATATCCAATGATTAATAGGGATGCTGAGGCCAGGTGTGGTGGCTCACGCCTGTAATCCCAGCACTTTGGGAGGCCTAGGCAGGTGGATCACCTGAGGTCAAGAGTTCGAGACCAGCCTGACCAACATGGTGAAACCCCGTCTCTACTAATAGTACAAAAAAAAAAAAGCTCATGGTGTAGCACGCCTGTAATCCCAGCTACTTGGGAGGCTGAGGCAGGAGAATCGCTTGAACTCAGGAGGCGGAAGTTGCAGTGAGCTGAGATCGTGCCATTGCACTCCAGCTTGGGCTACGAGAGCAAAACTCCATCTCCAAAAAAACAAAATAAAATAAATAATAATAAAAAATAAGGATGCTGATCAGAGCATTAAAAGTTCTCATTTGAAGCAAATGAAAACAATAAATCTAGACTATACATTGCTCAATCCCCTGTAGACCTCATAATAAACATGCATTTGGATTAGTGATTGAAGTACAGAGTATTTTCCACACAAGTCTGCTTACAACAGCCTTCCTTTCCGTGACACTTGCTGGGTACAAATTCCAGTTCCTCAAATGGACACATTTGTAACATCTCTGTGTGTAAATTTTAGTGTAATAACAACATCCACACAATAGAGTATGAATATGAGTTGATGAATGTAAAGCATTTAGATTAGTGTCTGTATATAAAGCAAACATGTAACAGGTTGCTACTCTTGTTGTTGCTATGATTAATTGCTAGGAATTTTTAGACTCACTGTCAAACAGTGTGGAAGAAAACTTGCTTTCTTAAATCCAGGATATAGAGTCATTGAAACATTTCACTCATTTTTGTCCTCTCAGGCTTCACCTGGAAGGGAACTTTATGATCCAAGAACCTCAAAGGAAGGCCTTTGGAAAAAGTAAGAAATGGTATTGCATTCTTACCTTTTCAAGACAACATTTTTCTTTTCTTTCTTTTTTTTTTTTTTTTGAGGCAGAGTTTCACTCTTGTCACCCAGTCTGGAATGCAATGTTGCGATCTCGGTTCACTGCAACCTCTGCCTCCTTGTTTCAAGAGATTCTCCTGTCTCAGCCTCCCCAGTAGCTGCGATTACAGGTGCCTGCCACCACGCCAAGCTAATTTTTGTATTTTTTTTTTGTAGAGATGGGGTTTCACCATGTTGGTCAGGCTGGTCTCGAACTCCTGACCTCAGGTGATCTGACTGCCTCACCCTCCCAAAGTGCTCGGAATATAGGCATGAGCCAATGTGCCCAGCCTCAAGGAAGTATTTTTCTACCATTGTTTGATTACTATCATGTTCCCTACAGAAGACCTTTTCCAATCCCACTCCTAAATTCCAAATGATATAAAATATCTGCTTTTCAAATAAAGCTAAAATGATGTCTGTTTTGTTGTGGGACATTGCAAAACTCTTTGAGAGAACTGGAGATACTATAGAATTTGGACAAATTAGAACTGGAATTTACAGAGCTAAAAGTTCATGAGACCCTTGGCAGGGTGGAGCTAGTTTTCTGGGTGAGGAAATGTGATACCCCACCTCCTGACAGGATGGGGTAACCTGTAAAGTACGAGGAGTTTGGCTCTTGCTGTGTCGCCAAGCCTACAATTTGGTGACGTCTCTTCTATTAGAGCAATGTTATATTTTAGAGAATCAAATTGTTACAAATCTCAAGGATAGAAGTTTGTTTCTCTCCAGTATTTTAAAATATCCAGGAGTGAGCTTGGGTGTGTTGGCTCATGCCTGTAATCACAGCACTTTGGGAGGCTGAGGCGGGTGGATCACCTGAGGTCAGGAGTTTGAGACTAGCCTGGCCAATATGGTTTAACCCCATCTCTACTAAAAATACAAAAATTGGCCGGGCGCAGTGGCTCATGCCTGTAATCCTAGCACTTTGGGAGGCCAAGGCAGGTGGATTGCCTGAGCTCATGAGTTCAAGACCAGCCTGGGCAACACGGTGAAACCCCATCTCTATTAAAATACAAAAAATTAGCCAGGTGTGGTGGTGTGCACCTGTAGTCCCAGCTATTCAGGAGGCTGAGGTAGGAGAATCGCTTGAACCTGGGAGGTGGAGGCTGCAATGAGCTGAGATCACGCCACTGCACTCCAGCCTGGGCAACAGAGTGAGACTCCACCTCTAAAAACAAACAAACAAACAAACAAACAAACAAACGAACGAACAAACAAAAACAAAAATTAGCTGGCTGAGGTGGCATGTGCCTGTAATCCCAGCTACTTGGGAGGCTGAGGCAGGATAATCACTTGAACCCGGGAGGCAGAGGTTGCGGTGAGTTGAGATCCTGCCACTGCACTCCAGCCTGGGTGACTGAGCGATACTCTGTCTCAAACAACAACAACAACAGCAACAACAACAAATATCCAGGAGTGGAATGGTGGCTCCATAGTGTCACTAATGACTCAAGTTGCTATCTCTCTGCTCTGATATCCTCAGGAGGGTTCTTCTATCCATGGCTTGACATGGCTACTGAAGCTCCAGCCTTTACATCTGCCTTCCAGGTCATTGGAAAAAATAGGGGAAAGAAAACAACCTTCTTCCTTTGAAGAGGCTTCCAGGGAGCCCCCTGGATATCGTTTTCTTTCAATTGACTGTAACTTAGTCTCATAGTCTTCCTAGCTACAGTGGATACTGGTAAATTCAATTCCTTAACAGTATAGCCGTGCACCCACAAAAATTGGGATTCTGTTCAAAAGAGGAGAGATGGGGGTGAATGCATGTTGATGTAGGCAACAAAATCCATTTATCTGTCTTAAATAGTCCAGTTTTATCAGCGCCCTTCCTGTTCCTCAACACTTTTTCTCAGAAAGGAATCTAAAACTCACTCCATTGTGTAAGAGACTGATAAAGGATAAAAGCATTAGCACTACCTAAGGAATTTGCATCTTAATGGGCTTAAAGACTGAATACAATTATTACATTTTACTAGTAAAATTTCAAGGGAGAGAAAAGGAAGAGAAGGGAGTAAAGGCAGCATTTGATAGGAACAGCGTAAAATCGCAGCACATACACAACTCAGCTTTTGCCTTAGGCCAGTCAGTTTGCATTAAAAGTTGTAACGTTATCTTCAACTTACAGCTCCATTGATACAAAAAGAGTCCTGCTTACATGAAATAGCTGCTCTCGGATTGGAAGAAATTCTATGTGTTCTCAGAGTCAAGAGTCAATTCTCTAAATGGATTGCAGTCTCTAAATTTACAGCAGTGGCTCTCAAACTTAGCCGTACATCAGAATTGCCTGGACAACTGGATAAAGTACAGATTGAGAGTTTCTTATTCAGTAAATTTTGAGTTCAACCTAAGAATTTGCTTTTCTAACAAGTTCCCAGGTGATGTCATTACAAGCTCAAGTTTGAGAACCACTGGTTTATGGTGTGTTCCTCTTTTCCTTGTTAACAAGGGCACCGTGAGTCATTACCCATAATTCATCTCACATTTAATGAAAAAGAATTTTACTTTCTGAAGAGAAAAAGCTTAAGTTCTTTATAACCATCCTAATATGAAACATCAAGTGCATAGTGTGTTCTGATGGCCCACATACCTGTCTCCCTCCAAAAACATACAGAAAAATGTTATAAACACATATGTTATATTGAAATATTCCATTTTGATCATTCTCTCGCACCATTACATTTCAACATTGTATTTCAGACACAGAGAACAAATTTGAATTTCAGAAAACTACCAGTAAATGAAGGGCATAGTAAAAATTCAAGACAGCTTTGGTCAAAAGATACAGGAGAAAAGATGAATGACTTTCTCAAAATGGAAACATCGCACCTCCACTGCTTAATGACTATGATCTTATCATAAGGAAGAATGATTCTGGGACCTAAATCGAAAGTAGTTTGTTGTATTTATGAAGTGATGTTAAAATTAATGGATACAATATCCCCTTCAAAACCAAGTGAGAGTAGAGCTGGAAAATGCTTAATACAAATCTGGATTCTTCTGCAAATAAATATAAATTGTATGGTTAAATGGTTGTATTACTCCTCCCTGCCTATCCATCTTAGGCACGCTGCCCCACCTCGGTGAGCCTCAGTCTCTTCATCTGTGAAATGAGTGTGATCAACTGAACAAACTCTAAGGACTGTCCCTTGTCTAACATTCACTGCTTCACTAATGAGTGTGCAAGGGACGTTCTTGTGCGAGTGCACAGCGGGCTGATTCTATTTGTAACATCAACCAGCGGTGCTTCTAAGTCCTAGTCAGTTCACTGCCATTTAGGGTTAACGCTGCCTTTTTCTTTGAAACACAGAGAGCGTTCATGACAAATATAATGATAAAAATAGAACAATTAATCACGTTTTAACAGAAATTTACAAAAGAAACACGCCTCTCTTACTTGAAACCTTCATCCCATGATCACCAGCTCCACTGAACGAGCCCTCACTGTACATGATCTTCTGCCTTTTCCAAACAATATCACAGAATATTTGAAGTGGCGATTGTTTTTTAATCATGTTATCATAATTTCTTTCTTCTTTTTTTTGAGACGAAGTCTCGCTCTGTCGCCCAGGCTGGAGTACAGTGGCACCATGTGGGCTCACTGCAACCTCTGCCTTCTGGGTTCTAGCGATTCTCCTGCCTCAGCCTCCCGAGTAACTGGGATTACAGGTGCATGCCACCACACACCCGGCTAATTTTTGTATTTTTAGTAGAGATGGGGTTTCACCATGTTGGCCAGGCTGGTCTCAAACTGCTGATCTCAAGTGTGTTATAATTTCTTACAATTTATGATAATTAACTAAATCAATCCGTTACATATGGGGAGAGTCTGAAATGCCAGCGGCACTCTTCCCTCTGTTGTTTCTTGGCCAGCTCCTCCAAATCCCGGAAGACTCAATTCAGCCGTGAGCTCTGGGAAGCCCTCCCCGCTGCCACCCCCGGCCACCCCAGCCTACGTGTTGCCTAACCCTTGGGCTGGCCTCTGTCGCTCTATTTAGCTCACAGAATTATAATGGTCTGTTTATATAACTGCTTCCTCCACTTAACTGTGAGTTCCGCGAAGTCGCCTTGGAATCTCCTATGTCTCACATAGGCCACACTTACTAAATATTCTTGGAATAACGGGAGGAATGAATAAGCTGAGAGGATGCGTGGAGATTGTCCCTTCAAGGCAGAGCACAAGAGTGTAAACACAGTTCAAACTTCTGGTGTGGGGAAAAGAACTGCTTTACCAGGCAACAGGAGTCTACTTAGCTCTAAAGAATCTGCATCCTGGGCCAAATGACTTTGTAGGTCTTTCCATCAACACATTTTGATACTAGCAAAATGTTATTAAATTTATATCAAGAGAAGTTTTGAACACTGAGACCTAGATCATAAGCATCAGGAATGGCTTAAAGATGTTCAGTGTATATAGTAATGAAAACAGGGGTAGAAAATGAATGAAACGTGTTCACATATCATTGTTTTATCATTTTTACCCCAGCCTGATAACATGGGTATTATTATGTGAGTTTGGCTAGTGGAGAAAGGGCAGCTCAAGGAATGTAGGGGACCTGCCCAAGTTCAGGTGCACAGTAAGTAGTGGACTAGAAATCCACCTGGCTTTTTTTGTTCCAGGTGCAATGGTCGCTGTATTCTTTCAGACACAAATTTCAAAGAAGAAGCAGCTTCAAAAACTAGACACACGTCTGGTGGGAAGAGAGAGGGAGTATGTTGCAAGTCAGCCTTTCTCAGTCCTTCCAAGTGGCTTCATCGAGAACTTGGTTCTACAACCCCAGCTCGTGGTTGCTTTACTCCTGTCCCCACATTTCATCTCTGAGTTTCTATGCAGCTCTGGGAGCAAGAACCCAGAGACATCTAAACTGATGTCCCTAATTGCCAACTCTACACTAATGGCTTTGGACAGAGATTTCTCTATGGTGAATCACCCTCCAATTGCCAGTGAGTCAAACCACTTAACTCTAATCTTTAATTCATATTTTATAAACAGTTTCATTCACTCAGACGTCTTTAATTTAAAAGCCAGGGGCAATGGCCACAGCAATTGCAAGAAGTTCCCTCACAGAGAGAAAGAAGAATGGAAAAACAAAGCTTATGTCCCTTTTCCTTCTCAAGAGAAATCACTATGAATGTAGCACCATCTCCTCCTTCCCCGCCCTGGCTGTCACCTCTAGGGCTCCTCGAAGAGGAGAGTTGGGTGCTGCAAAGGGCATTTGCAATCTGTCCTGCTATCTCTTAGATTAGCCCGGAGACAGGATTTACCATAAACCTTTATTGTAGCAGTGGTGAAGAAATTCCACAGCTATAGAACTGGAAAGATCCTGACGGGCTTTCAACAGGACCTCCCCCGGTAGAGAAGGAAGAAAAGGATTTGATTTTGTGCTTCTTCAGAGCCCATGTCTGAGACCCTAATGAAACTTTCTATTTATACATCTGGATTGTTCTTTTGTCTAAAGATGGGGAAGGGCTTGATTTACTGTCCAAGGCACAGAGGAACAGAGGAACGGCGTGGTCTATATTTTCTGCTCTGACCTTTGGTTTAACTATCCTTATTTGCTATCTGTATGTCAAAATCATTCCTTGTGGGGCCTCCCCACACACAGCTTTTATGACAACATGCTGAAATGGGGTTGTTTATAGCATTCCCCACCTTTTGTTTCCTTTTATCACTTTTCTCAAACCTTCTTGTGTGTTTACACTCTACTCCTTACTGTCCACCTGCCAGGGTCTGTGTCACCTGTGAAAGCAATCTCCACTCCCGTCTGCACGCTAAAATCAATGTGAGCATGGCTTTGTTCCGTTTTACGTATGACCAGTGAGACCAGTTCCGATTCTCCTGCCCTCAGATGTGGACATCTGACCTTATCACCTTTGAACACCCATGCCACAGTGAACTTTGCAGGGCTAGCGGGTGACTTAAGCAGGGCCAGTGTGTGACCTGAACAGGGCCATTATACTCCTCTCTGATTTTGGATATCTGGGTGCTGAAAGAGGTTCAGGAAAATGTAGATTTGAAGTTGATTATAGAAAGAACATGTGATTGAAACCAGCTCTATTCAACTGGACATTTCAGCTGCCTAAACCAATAGATTAATTTTTTTTTTTTTTTTTTTTTGAGACGGAGTCTTGCTCTGTCGCCCAGGCTGGAGTGCAGTGGAGCGATCTCGGCTCACTGCAAGCTCCGCCTCCCGGGTTCACGCCATTCTCCTGCCTCAGCCTCCCGAGTAGCTGGGACTGCAGGCGCACACCATCGCGCCCGGCTAATTTTTTGTATTTTCAGTAGAGGCGGGGTTTCACCTTGTTAGCCAGGATGGTCTTGATCTCCTGACCTCATGATCCGCCCGCCTCTGCCTCCCAAAGTGCTGGGATTACAGGCGTGAGCCACCGCACCCGGCCAATTTTTTTTTTTTTAAAGAATAACCTAGACAAAATGAACCACTATCCACAACGATTTGTCTTCAGTATTTACCTGTCTTGGTATCTATACCTTGCTTCCTTATTTAACTCTGCCAGATGTGACCTCAAAGTTATTTACAGACATTCATGCTCGTAGATTCCTGGATGAGGTTTTATATCCCCCCTGGTGCTAAGTAGTTTTCTCATGTTGCTCATCCCTCTGGTTCTGCTTTTGCTTTATAAATACGTTAGAAAGGCTGGGAGCAGTGGGTCCCGCCTGTAATCCCAGCACTTTGGGAGGCTGAGGTGGGGAGATCACCTGAGCCCAGGAGTTCGAGACAGCCTGGGCAACATAGTGAAACCCTGTCTCTACCAAGAAATGCAAAAATTAGCAGATGTGGTGGCACACATCTGTAGTCCCAACTACATGGGAGGCAGGAGGATCACTTCAGCCCAGGAGCGGAGGCTGATGTGAGCTATGGTGGCACCACTGCATTCCAGCCTGGGTGACAGAGCAAGACCCTATCTCAGAAACAAAAACAAACCAACAACAACAACAACAACAACAAAACCCCACAAATCAAAGCAAAAAGCAAATATGTTTGAGAGCCTCACTCTTGACTTTTCAGCTATTCCAGGCCATTTAAGCCCACCACCCTATTTTCATTCTGTCACATCCAACTCCTGGTTTTCTTTCTTTTTTTTGAGACCGAGTTTCACTCTTGTTGCCCAGGCTGGAGTGCAATAGCGTGATCTCGGCTCACTGCAACCTCCGCCTTCTGGGTTCAAGTGTTTCTTCTGCCTCAGCCTCCCAAGTAGCTGGGATTATAGGCACCTGCCACCACATGCAGCTAAGTTTTTGTATTTTTAGTAGAGATGGGGTTTCAGTACGTTGGCCAGGTTGGTCTCGAACTCCTGACCTCAGGCGATCCACCTGCCTTGGCCTCCCAAAGTGCTGGGATTACAGGCGTGAGCCACACGTGCCCAGCCAAACTCCTGGTTTTCTTTGCTAGTCCCCACTTGGCCTGAAAGCACACAGCAACTCTACCTACATACACAGCTGAGATTAAATACCCATTCACAATATAAAGTAGCTCTTGAAAAGAAAAGACCTTCCCCAAAGGAGTATATCCTTCTTAGTACTTCAGCTTTTTCTCTGCATTTTGAAACTGAAGACGTGTTAGCTAAAAGGAATACAGATGATATTTCAAGCAGTGTGATGGGTCATAGGGCTTGGAAGCCTTCTTAGCATTTTTAAAGCAAGGCCACATCGATCATTTCCTGCCCTGCTCACATTCCTTTCTAAGAAAATCTGCTCTATCTATAGTCTGCCGAATAGGTCATGTTTTGAGCTGCATGACCCAGTCCTCTTGGGATACAGGGTCAACCAGATGAAAGCAGAAAAGACAGACAGAAGCACCTGCATCGTTCAATATTTGACTCACACTGAAGGAGGAACAAGACAAGACTACAAAGAAAGTCCATGGTCCATGAATAACCACATGGAAGATTTTGAAGATTTGAAATTTTTGAAGATTTGATTTTGAATATCCATGCAAAGTCCATTTCCTAAAGCAATCTAACATAAAAGAAATAAAATATTTCCCAACTCTGATCCCGGTGTTTTACCTAGCTAAGTGGCTCTATGACTCTGACAACCGACCAAATAGAATCACCTGCTATGTGACATTTGGAAATTGGCTTTTGTTACTCAGCATAATGCCCTTGAGATCCATCAAAGCTATTGAAGTAATGATAGTAAATTTGTTTTCATTGCTGGGTAATATTCCATGATATTGATGTAGCACAATTTGTTTAATCACCCAGCTATTGTGGGGCATGTTTCCTGTTCCCAGTTTTGGGCTATTATAAATAAAGCTGCTAGGAAAAGTCACAGGCAGGTAAGAAGCAAAAGGGGTGAACTCTGCCATTCTCTACCTTTTGCTAAGATCTCAGTGGACTGGATGATGTCCACCCACATCAGGGAAGAGCAATCTACCTTATGAAATCTACCAATTCAAATGCTAACCTCGCCCCGAAACACCCACATGGACATACTCAGAAATAAGGTTAAATCCGGGCACCTCCTGGCCAATCAAGTTGATGCATGAAATTAATCATCACAACCTTTCACCATTAGGTATAATGTTTGATATAGGTTTTGTCAATATTTTTTATAAAGTCGAGGAAGTTCCCTATTATTCCTACCTTTCTGAGAGCTGTAATCATGAACAGGTGTTGAATTTTGTCAAATCTTTCTATGCAACAATTTACATAGCTTTGTGATTTTTCATCTTTCACCTATTAATATGGTGAATTACATAGATTTTCAAACATTGAACCAACCTTGCATCACTGTATGGTCAAGGTATATAATTCTTTCTATATATTGGTAAATTCTTTTTGCTAATAT
This sequence comes from Homo sapiens, assembly GCF_000001405.40. Lineage (NCBI taxonomy): Eukaryota > Metazoa > Chordata > Mammalia > Primates > Hominidae > Homo > Homo sapiens. Next base: position 40,044,996 of record NC_000008.11, read on the forward strand.
TTTGTTAAGGATTTTTGCATCTATATCTATAAAGGATATTGGTCTGTAGTTTTGGGGGTTTGTATTTGCTTCTTTTTTGGTACTGTCTTGTCTGGTTTCGGTTTCAGATTAACATAAGATTTATAAAATAATTAAATAATTGAGTAATGTTTTCTCTTCTATTTTCTGGAACAGGTTGTATAGAATTTGGATTAATTATTCTGTAAATATTTGGTAGAACTTTTTAGTAACACCATCTAAGCCTAGAGATTTCTATTTGGGAGTTTTTTCTTTTTTTGTATAACTTTTAGGGCTCAGAAAACAGCACCCCAAAATATGGCAGCTGGACATGAAGAACTGTGGAAAAAGCCTCAAGGTTTTGGTGACCTTTCCCCCGTCCTCCTGTCTTTCAATCCTCTGTCTTCCGGGAAGCACAGGATGAGGCTGTTCTTTAAAGTTCCCTTATCTACCTAGGAACTGGGCCTGCCAGAGAGAAATACAATTGCATTTAGTCCATTCCCTGAAATTTCCTTAACCAGAGAAGATGAAAACTCAAATCACAGATAAAGAAACTGAAAATTAAACACCATACTTGGAGCTCAGATAAACTTTGTCACACGTTATCATCTGTTCTTAAGTCCCATTCAGTTTTCAAAGAGAATTGTTTACTAACCACTGTCTGAACATTGGGCCTATTTATTCCCCCTAAAAATATCATCTACTAACTCCTCAAGATGGCCACATTTCTCCCATATCTCCTTACCCTGTCAAGATGGATATATAAGTATCGGTACCTCATTGGGTTATTGGGTAATTGTCCTGAAATTCTGCAGTGCTTATGTACATTGAATATATTTGTATGCCTTTTTCTCCTATTAATCTGCCTTATTATAGGTTCATTTCTAGTTAATCTTTAGAGAAGGAAAGATTCCCCTTGGCCCCTAGATAACAATTCAATTTCCTAAATAGTTATAAGAATATTCAACTATCTTTTTTATATTAAGTGAGTTGTGGTAGTTTATGCTTTTCAATAAATTGGTCCATTTCAGCCAGGCGCAGTGGCTTACGCCTGTAATCCCAGCACTTGGGGGCCAAGGCGGGTGGATCACCTTTCAAGACCAGCCTGGCCAATATGGTGAAACCCTGTCTGTACTAAAAACACAAAAATTAGCCAGACATGGTGGTGGGCACCTGTAATCCCAGCTACTTAGGTGGCTGAGGCAGGAGAATTGCTTGAGCCCAGGAGGCAGAGGTTGCAGTGAGCAGAGATCATGCCATTGCACTCCAGTCTGGGTGGCAGAGTGAGACCCCATCTCAAAAAAAAAAAAAAAAAAAAAAGAAAAAGAAAAAGAAAAAAGAAATGAACCAATTTCTTCCTTTTTTTTTTTTTTTTTTTTTTTTGAGACAGAGTTTCGCTCTTATCGCCCAGGCTGGAGTGCAATGGTATGATCTTGGCTCACTGCAACCTTGCAACCTCTGCCTCCTGGGTTCAAGCAGTTCTCATGGATGAGTAGAATCAACATTGTGAAAATGATTATACCGCGAAAAGCAATCTACGAATTCAATGCAATCCCCATCAAAATACATACCACCATCATTCTTCACAGAATTAGAGAAAACAATTCTAAAATTCATATGAAACCAAAAAAAGCCTGCATAGCCAAAGGAAGACTAAGCAAAAAGAACAAATCTGGAAGCATCACACTATAGTATGCTATTCTATAGTACAGTTTGAAGTATTCTTCAAACTATACTATAAAGCTTTAGTCACCAAAACAGCATGGTACTGTTATAAAAATAGACACATAGACCAATGGAACAGAATAGAGAACCCAGAAATAAACCCAGATATTTACAGCCAACTGATCTTTGACAAAGCAAACAAAAACATAAACTGTGGAAACGACACCTTTTCAATAAATGGTGCTGGGATAATTGGCAAGCCACATGTACTAGAATGAAACTGGATCCTCATCTCTCACTTTATACAAAAATCAACTCAAGATGGATTAAGGACTTAAACCTAAGACCTGAAACTATAAAAATTCTAGAAGATAACATGGAAAAACATTGGCTTAGGCAAGGATTTCATGGCCAAGAACCCAGAAGCAAATGCAATAAAAGCAAAGATAAATAGCTGGGACCTAATTAAACTAAAGAGCTTTTGCATGGCAAAAGGAACAATCAGCAGACTAAACAGACAACCCCACAGAATGGGAGAAAATCTTCACAATCTGTGCATCTGACAAAGGACTAATATCCAGAATCTACCATGTACTCAATCAAATCAGTAAGGAAAAAACAGTCCCAGCAATAAGTGGGCTAAGGACATGAAAAGACAATTTTCAAAAGAAGATATACAAATGGCCAAAAAACATATGAAAAAATGCTCAACATCACTAATTATCAGTGAAATGTAAATCAAAACCGTGATGCAATACCACCTTACTCCTGCAAGAATGGCCATAATCAAAAAATCAAAAAACAGTAGATGTTGGTGTGGATGTGGTGAACAGAGAACATGTCTACACTGCTGGTGGGAATGTGAACTAGTACAGCCACTATGGAAAGCAATGTGGAGATTCCTTAAAGAACTAAAAGTGAACTACCATTTGATCCAGCAATCTCACCATTGGTTATCTACCCAGAGGAAGATAAGTCATTATTTGAAAAAGATACAATTCACAATTGCAAAATCATGGAAACAACCCAAGCGCCCATCAATCAATGAGTGGATAAAGAAACTGTGGTATACGTATATATGATGGAATACCATGCAGCCATAAAAAGGAATAAATTAACAGCATTTGCAGTGATCTGGGTGAGATTGGAGACTATTATTCTAAATGAAGTAACTCAGGAATAGAAAAACAAACATCGTATATTCTCACTGATGTGGGATCTAAGTATGAGAACACAAAGGCATAAGAATGCTAGTATGGACTCTGGGGACTTGGGGCAAGAGTGGGAGCAGGGAGAGGGAAAAAAGGCTATAAATATGGTGCAGTGTATACTGTTCAGGTGATGAGTGCACCAAAATCTCACAAATCACCACTAAAGAACTTACTCACGTAACCAAATACCACTTGTTCCCCAATAGCCTATGGAAAAAAACAACAAATGTTTGATTTTATACAGTGAATCCTAGTTTGATTGATTAATGTTTTCATGGTGTATCTTTTCTATCCTTTCACTTTTAGCCTATTTATATTGTTATATTTGAAGTGAGTTTCTTGAAGAGAAGATATAGTTAGGTCATGTTTGCTTTTCTCTTTTTTTTTTGAGATGGAGTTTCACTCTAGTTGTCCAGGCTGGAGTGCAATGGCACCATCTCAGCTCACTGCAACTTCTGCCTCCTGGTTTCAAATGATTCTCCTGCCTCAGTCTCCCAAGTAGGCGGGTTTATAGGCATGCACCACCATGCCCGGCTACTTTTTATACTTTTAGTAGAGACAAGTTCTCACCATTTTGGTCAGATTGGTCTTGAACTTCTGAACTCAAAGCAATCCACCTGCTCAGTCTCCCAAAGTGCTGGAATTACAGGCGTGAGCCACTGCGCCCAGCCTCATGTTTGGTTTTCTAATCAACTTTGTTCATTTCTGTTTTTTTAATTGTTATATTTGGAACATTTAGGTTCAATGTAATTATTGATAGGTTGGGGCTAATGTCTGTATTTAATTTTTGTTTTCTCTCTTTTTTTCTCTATTTTTGTTTGTTCGGGTTTTTTCTTGTTTGTTTTTTTGTTTTGTTTTTGTTTCTGTTTTTTTTTTGAGACAGCATCTTACTCTGTCACCCAGGCTGAAATGCAGTGGCACTATCACAGCTCACTATAGCCTCAACCTCCAGGGCTCAAGTGATCCTCCCACCTCAGCCTCCCAAGTAGCTGGGCTGGGACTATGGGCACCATGCCTAGCTAATTTTTGTAGAGATAGGGTTTCACCATGTTGCCCAAGCTGTTCTCAAACTCCTGGGCTCAAGCCATCCGCCACCTTGGCCTCCAAAAATGCTGGGATTCAAGCATGTACCACAACACCCGGTGTTTTTCTCCATTTTATTTTTCTGTCTCTCTGTGGGTTATGTGAACATTTTTATTTTTACTTATGCATAGTGTTTTTGAGTATATCTTTCTATAATATTTTCACTGATTTCTCTTAGTGCCATATTTTATGTGTGTGCAGCTTTGCACAGACTACAGGCACACACGTTCTACCAGTTCAAGTGAAGTATGGAAACCTTACCTTATTTTACATGCATTAAACTTCCTGCATTCATAGTATAATTGTTTTAACTATTTCTTCTACATATTTTGAGAACCATATCTGACAGTGTTAACATTTTTGTTACAAATGTCATACAGAATTTGGAAAACTCAAGAGTAGTTGGAAAGTCTCTTGTATTTACCTACATTTTGCTGCATACCTCAATATACATTTTTCATGGCTCTTTCTTTCTTCCTGGTTGATATAGTTTGCATATTTGTCCCCATCCAAATCTCATGTTGAATTATAATCCCCAATATTGGAGGTGGGGCATGGTGGGAGGTGATTAGATCATGGGGGAAGATCCCCCATGAGTGGCTTGGGCCATCCCCTTAGTGGTAAGTGAGCACTCACTCTGAGTTCACAGGAAATCTGGGCGTTTAAAAGTGTGCAGTGCCTCCCTCTCCCCACTCCCTTGCTCCAGCTTTTGCCATGAGTAAAAGCTCCCTGAGGCCTCCCCAAAAGCAGATCCTGGCCACTATGATTCCTGTGAAACCTGCAGAACCGTGAGCTAATTAAACATTTTTCTTATAAATTACCCAGTCTCAGGTATTTCTTAATAGCAATACAGGAATGGCCTAACACACTGATGTTCCAAGATCTAATTTTATCCTTTCTCTTTTGTTTAAGAAATCTTCATTAGCCATTCTTTTAGTGTCGGTCAGCTGCTGATAAATTTGCTTAGCTTTCCTTCATCTCAGAAAGTCTTAATTTCCTTTCCATTTCTGAAGAATGTTTGATGTTTCCTTTTTTTCAGCATTTGAAAAATGGTGTGCCACTTCCTTCTGGCCTTTGTAGATTCTATTAATAAATCTGCTGTCTTTATTTATTTTTTATTTATTTTTCTTTTTGAGACAAAGTCTTGCTCTGTTGCCCAGGCTGGAGTGCAGTGGCATGATCCCAGCTCACTGCAACCTCTGCCTCCCGTGTTCAAGAGATTCTTGTGCCTCAGCCTCCTGAGTAGGTGGGATTACAGGTGCCCACCACCATGCCCAGCTGATTTTTGTATTTTTTGTGGAGAAGGGGTTTCACCATGTTGGCCAGGCTGGTCTCAAACTCCTGGCCTCAAGTGATCTGCCTTCCTCGGCCTCGAAAAGTGCTGGGATTACAGGTGTGAGCCACCGCACCTGGCCATAAAGCTTCTATCCTTAAAACTTTCTCTCTTATGTGTCAATTCTTGCTGTGTACAATAATTTTCTCTGTCTTTAACTTTCAGGATTTTGATTATGATTTGCCTTGATGTGGACTTTTGTATCATGGTTGGGGTTGGCTCAGGTTATTGAATGTGTAAATATTTGTCTTTTCACAAATTTGGAACATTTTCAGCCATTATTTCTTTGAGTACCTTCTCAGCCTCAACCTCTTTCTCCTCTCTGTCCATAATGCTAATAATACAAATATTAAATCTTTTTAAAACATCTCACAGATATCCAAAGCTCTGTTTCTTTATTTTTTGTCTATTTCCTCTCTCTTTTATTTAAATTGGGGAATTTCTATTATCCTGTCTTCAATTTCACTTAGTCTTTTCTCTTTCCTGCTAATGAGGCTATCACTTGAGTTCTGTTATTTGGTTCTTTTAGTGTTCTTTTCTATTTTTCAAGTTTAAAATTTCTAATTGGTTCTTCTTTACATTTTCTATTTCTTTATTCACACTTTTTAATTTTATTTGTTTCAAGTGTGTTTATAATTTATGTTAAAGCATCTTTTTTTTTTTTTTTTTCACAGAGTCTCGCTCTGTTGCCCAGGCTGGAGAGCAGTGACACGATCTCTGCTCACTGCAAGCTCCACCTCCCGGGTTCATGCCATTCTCCTACCTCAGCCTCCTGAGTAGCTGGGACTACAGGTGCCTGCCACCATGCCGGGCTAATTTTTTATATTTTTAATAGAGATGGGGTTTCCCTGTGTTAGCGAGGATGGTCTCGATCTCCTGACCTCGTGATCTGCCGGCCTCAGCCTCCCAAAGTGCTGGGATTATAGGTGTGAGCCACCGTGCCTGGCCTAAAGCATCCTTTTTATGAAGACTGTTTTAAAATCTTTGTCAGATAATTCTAGTATATTTGTCATCTTCTTGTTTGTGTCTGTTGATTATCGTTCAGCATTCAAATTGTGGTTTTTTTTTTTTTTTTTGGTTCTCATATGACAAGTAAATTGCGATTGAAACCTGGACCTTTTGAATATCATAGTAAGAGATTCCGGATTTCATTGAAAGCTTCTAGTGTAGCAGGACTTCCTTGACACCACGTCAGCAAGAGAAGAGCAGTATCTCCTCATTCCTGCCAGGTGGGGTAGAAGTCCAAGATCCCTATCAGGCCTCCGCTGATATCCAAGAGGGGTGGAGTTACTCTTTATTACTGGGATGGTAGTTTAGTATCAATACTAGACCTCTGCTGATACTGTCCTGGTTGAGAGGAGCATGTGAGGGGGGCCTCATCACTACGGGGTGATACAATAGATCTCATTTCTGTAACTGATCACAAGGCCATAACTAATCTTTTTTTCTTTCTTTCTTTTTTTTTTTTGAGACAGAGTCTCACTCTGTTGCACAGGCTGCTGTGCAGTGGCATGATCCCAGCTCACTGCAACGTCTGCCCCATGGGCTTTCAAACAATTCTCCCACCTCAGCCTCCCAAGTAGCTGGGATTACAGGTACCTGCCAACACGCCTGGATAATTTTTGTATTTTTAGTAGAAATGGGGTTTCACCGTGTTGTTCAGGCTGGTCTTGAGCTCCTGACCTCGCGACCCACCCGCCTCGGCCTCCCAAAAAGCTGGGATTACAGGCAAGAGCCGTGGCGCCTGGCCCACTAATCTTTTTTTCCGCCTTCCTTCCCACGTGCTCTGTTTCTCTTGCCATCTTCCAACAACCAGTTTGTCAAAGGATTCTTAATATGGTGACAAAAACCTTTGCCATCCTCACAGATCTGAGACCTTAACAGTCCTTCTACTAAGGACTTCTGTTAATATTTACTACCATGCCTAATTTTACAAAGAAACCATGAAGGGAATAAGTTAGATTTTATTCATATATCTCCTGCTCTAATGTATATGAATAATCCAATTTCTCCCATAGCTAAAATCATAACATCTTTTTTGACCTAATTCATCTAATAAAATAGGATACCCCAAGTTCCCAAGTAAATTAGTATTAAAATTCTCAGCTCTCCAAGACCTGAGAAGAACTGACAACAGATGGCAAGCAGGTGTGTAACCTAGGAAAGCACCAAATCTATTTCCATCTTTCAATTCTGTGAACCATATGTTTTAGCTGTGAGTAAAACACCATCATATGTTGGATCAGTACTTCATAGCATTCACTTTACTCCTCAGGATGGCTGCACAAGCTGGGAAGGCTTTGTTTCCAGCTGTGGCACAGTCGTTGCTTCAGAATAATGGGATACAGAATCAGACCAGTGAATGCCCTCAGCGTGGCATCATAGCCTTACTCCCCTGACAGTGAGGGAGAGTCCCTAATCATGAGATGTCATGATGGTGTGTATGGAGTTCTACAAGCTCATGGATTATAGTTCTGTCAAAGCCATGACAGACACAGAAAGAAAATACAAATCTGGAAAAAGTGTCTCTGTCAGTAAAACCAAATCTCTGCCCTCATCATAATAGGAGGGGCCTAATGTGAACAATTCACTACTGTGATGCTGGATTCCTTTATCAACAAATAGTGACCCAAAATTTTAACCTATACTGGGTGCTTAGCAATAGTAGCCTATTGGGTATTCAGCAGTGGTCAGTTACAAGTCAGCCTTGGTGAGGGACATGCTTGTGGCTGAGCAGATGCACAGTTCCCATTGCTGCCACCAGGGCTACTTTGTTCATGAGTTCATTAAGCAAATTCTGGGATGATCAGTAAGGGAACTTACCAACATCCCAAGGCAAGCCCGTCTACTTGACTATTAGGATGCGCCTTTGCAGTGGCAGACTGTTGGTAAGAATTCTATGGAACAGAATGATGACTTTCTTTAGGGTATTAATCATCTAGCTAAATCCTCACACTTCCCAGCTATCATTACTTCTAAGTACAGCCCTGTAACTAAATGAGATGTAAATAAAAACATTGTATGGAATCTCCAGAAAGATTGCTTAAAATAAGTAGATTGGCTGGGCGTGGAGTCTCATACCTGTAATCCCAGCACTTTGGGAGGCTGAGGCAGGTGGATTACCTGAGGTGAGGAATTCGAGACGAGCCTGGTCAACATGGCAAAACCCCATCTCTGCTAAAAATACAAAAATTATCTGGGTGTGGTGGCATGTGCCTATAATCCCAGCTACTTGGGAGGCTGAGGCAGGAGAATCATTTGAACCCAGGAGGCAGAGGTTGTAGTGAGCCAAGATTGCGCCATTGCATGCCAATCTGGGCAACAAGAGCAAAACTCCATCTAAAACAAAAAACAAAAAACAAAAAAAAACCTGTTACACTGTTTTCATTACTATTATCACTATCATTATTATTAAATATAGGAAATGTTGACCCAAGGTATATTATTTATAAATATTCCAGAAATAATTCAATATGATATGAGAGTGAAAAAACAAAATGCTGCAATTCTACAATATCATTTTAAAATGAAGAAAGGAAACTTCTTCATTTTAAGGTATTTGATATGTCACTCTGAAACAGCTTTAAATGGAGAAAGATAATAAATGATTGTACCTATTACTCTATTATGGCTTTATTGAACGTATTGCATGCCCACAGGGTACTATAGATAATACAGCTAGTACCTCCCCTTAGGGACTAGTTACCTACACTTAAGACCACAGGCAGACTCTTACTCATTTAAGGGATCTATCTGGAAATAACTTATAGCCCTGATCATTCCCCACTGTCTAGCCCTGCCTAGATGCCTCAAAAAAACTAATACAAAACAGGATGTGAAGAAAGGGCATATGCAGAAATGGAAAGCCTATCTAAAATGATTTCTTACCAATCTCAGCAGTGCCAACTATCACAAGAATCAGTTATATGAGACTCTAATCACTCAGGGGGTATGTCATACAATTCCACCAACGACAAAGTGGGGGCACACCTACAGGTCTTCCTAGTGATTTTTCCTCTGCAAACCCCGTTCAGGCACATTATTGATCCATTAATTCATATTTACTGGGCACCCGCTATGCACAGAGCTAATTACTCAGGAAATATATTTATAGCATAAATCTCAACCCTTCAAGCTGGGAAGAATTATGCATTAATTCATTAATTCATTCATGCATGCATCCAAGGATTTAACAAATATTTAATGAACATCCACTAAGTGCCAGACACTCTACTTAGGAATGGGATGTGAAAATAAATAAGACAAAATTCACGGAGCTGTCTAGAGTTTGATCCCACAGCCAACACAACACATTTACCCCTCTGCACCTGTGAGTCTTTCCTGGTAGGGTGGCATATGTGATGGAGCAGGCAGCAGGTCAAAGTAGTTGGGGGTGAAAGAAACAGTACCTTGGTACGCAGGTGGTGCCCATAAGGTAGTGGCTTTTGTCCCCAGGGAGAGGTGAAAAGAGGACACAGGTTAGAAGGTCGCTCTTTGCGGTGCAGGTGGCACAGACATCAATCAATGAAATTGACCTTTGGATTTTAGAGACATGCTCCTTGAATAAACAAACATTTCATCAACTCTGGGAAAACTTGTTTCAGAAGCCTGTTGAGCAATAGTTAACAAAGGGCATCCGGTGTGCTACTCGTTTGCATTTTGCTGCATGAGTACGGTTTCTGCCTTGCTCCCCCCACCCTTCTTGTGGACCGTCTGAAACTAAATGTGCATGTCTGGAAGTTAATGCCGTATTGTGCTGCTGGCTCTGTCTGCCTCAGCTAATGGAGTGTAGAGAGCTATGGTTGTTTGCAACTTCTGTCCTCCCCTTAGGGGTTCCAGTCAGTAATTCCAGCCAGTTCTGATAAACAAAGGACAAAAAGAACTGGCACAGAGTTTGGAAATTGCCTGCTCGGTGCCAGTTCCAGCCTGCCACAGGCCAGTGCCCAGAGAGTGACAGTGCAGCTGTAGGTAGACCACATTGGGGTGAGCCGTCATCGTCAAGCATGGTGTTAGATGAACAAGTGTACCCTGGAGTAGAATGAGGGACCTCTCAGAGAGGAAAGGGGCCTCGAGAGGTCACCTGGCGAGGAGCTGGATGAGCCACATGGCTGGGAGTATTCTCCAAGGACACTTATCAGCTGTGGAGAGGAAACTCCGTCCTTTGCTTCTGTCCTTCTTACTTATTGCAGATTGGTTAGTTTGTTTATTTTCCAAAAGAAGACCTCAAGATAAGGCTTGCATGCAGGTAGTTTATTTGTGAAATAGTCCCTGGAAGCATAAATAAGACAGTGATGGCAATGATTCAGGGCAGGAGAAAAGCCATGAAAGGGAGTATTATTGTGTGGGTTGAGCTCTGCAGGCCCCTGGGTTTCAATCCCAGTGTAGACCCTCCAGGAAACCTGAAGGAAGAAGCACACCTCTGAATTGTCCCAGCAGAGGGTGTGGAGGCTGCCTTATTTAACCTGGCAATTCTCATCCCCATTAATTGGGGATTTCTCCCTAGGGCGTTAGCCCCCTCACTATACACTTTTGGGCTGTACCACTAGGTAGAAAGCGAGTTCCTGAAGAAAATGGTACTGAAGAAAACCTCAGGCAGAGGAGGAAAAGAAATGTAGGTGCTTGGGGTGAGAAGTTCTCAAACTTCTGGAAACTGCCTACATGGTCACAGGTGAATGTGAAGGTGGGTTGTGGAATATGGAGGTGGGGTGCCAATAGGGTCTACTACTGCCCACAGAAGAAAACTGTAGCACACACACAATTTTCACTTAGGCATGAAAAAGAAGACACCTAGCAAAAAAAGTGTTCTTTGTATGAAATAAGAAGCTAAGATCTGGGATATTGTGGTATGAATAAAAGCTGTACCAAGAGATGGCTCTACCACTTTCCATCTGCATGGCCCTACATCATTTCCTTAACTTTCTGAGACCTCAACTTCCACATCAGTGAAATAGGAGCCTTAAGATCGATTCAATCTCCTTCACAGAATTTTCAAAAGGACAAGTGAGAAAATGCTGCATAGATATTTGCATAAAACTAAAAATTCTTATACACCGATTTATTTATTCAACCCATATTACTGAATGCCTGCCTACTGTGTGTGAGGCATTGTGCTAAGAGGACAGTCACTGAGAACAACAAAGTCCTTGATCTCTCTGAACTTGTAGTCTTTTGTGGGATATAGACAAACAAACAAATAACACACAAACAGGCAAGTTTAATAAATTGTAATAAGTGCTAGAATGAAGGAAATACATGGTACTTAGGAACATGAATAGGAACACAGTATCTAGATGAGCAGAGGCTTGAGAACAGCTTCCTGGAGGAGACCATGTCTAAGTTGAGACATAAAGGATTCACTTAAAAAAAAAAGTGTGGGGCGGGCACGGTGGCTCACGCCTGTAATCCCAGCACTTTGGGAGGTCGAGGTGGGTGGATCACGAGGTCACGAGAATGAGACCAGCCTGACCAACATGGTGAAACCCCGTCTCTACTAAAAATAGAAAAATTAGCTGGGCGTGGTGGCACCGGCCTGTAATCCCAGCTACTCGGGTGGCTGAGGCAGGAGAATTGCTTGAACCTGGGAAGCGGAGGTTGCAGTGAGCCGAGATCGCGCCACTGCACTCCAGCCTGGTGATGGAGTAAGACTCCGTCTCAAAAAAAAAAAGTGTGGTAAAATGCACGTAACATACAGTTGACCTTGACCATTTTTTTTTTTTTTGAGACGGAGTTTTGCTCTTGTTGCCCAGGCTGGAGTGCAATGGTGCAATCTCGGCTCACTGCAACCTCCACCTCCCGGGTTCAAGCAATTCTCCTGCCTCAGCCTCCCGAATGGCTGGGATCACAGGCATGTGCCACCAGGCTCAGCTAATTTTGTATCTTTAGTAGAGACAGGGTTTCTCCATGTTGGTCAGGCTGGTCTCAAACTCCTGACCTCAGGTGATCCGCCCACCTCATCCTCCCAAAGTACTGAGATTACAGGAGTGAGCCACTGCGCCTGGCCGACCTTGAACATTTTTTTTTTTTGAAGCGTAATCTTGCTCTGTTGCCCAGGCTGGAGTGCAATGGCGAGATCTCAGCTCACTGCAAGCTCTGCATCCTGGGTTCATGCCATTCTCGTGCCTCAGTCTCCCGAGTAGCTGGGACTACAGGCGTCCGCCACCACGCCCAGCTAATTTTTTGTATTTTTGGTAGAGATGGGGTTTCACCGTGTTAGCCAGGATGGTCTCGATCTCCTGACCTCGTGACCCACCCGCCTTGGCCTCCCAAAGTGTTGGGATTACAGGTGTGAGCCACCGTGCCCAGCCTATCATTTTTAAGTAGACAGTTCTGTTGTATTGAGTACATTTACACTGCCATGCAACCATCACCACCACCCAGCCACAGAACTTTTCTTATTTTGCAAACATGAAATTCTGTACCCATTAAACGCTAATTCCCATTCCCCCACCTCTCATTCCTTGGAAACCACCTATCTTCTTTCTATCCCTACAATATTTGACTACATTAGTTATCTCATATAAGTGGAATAATACAGTACTTAGTCTTTTGTGATTGACTTATTTCCCTTAACATAATGTCCTCAAGTTTCATGCATGTTGTAGCACACTTCAGAATGTCCTTCCTTATCAAGGCTGAATACTATTTTATTATAAGCACATGCCATATTTGTTCATCCAATCATCTGCCCATGTAGACTTGGGCTGCTTCTGCCTCTTGGCCATGAGACTAATGCTGCTATGGATGTGGATGCACAAATATCTCTTTGAGTCCCAGTTTTCAATTCTGAAACTTTTGCTCTGTTGCTATCTGTTATGTCTGATCAGTTTTACATATGCACATCTTTTCTTCTTTATCAGAGAGTATGGAAAACCTTAGGCCTGTGCCTTTTGGAGATGTTCGTCAAGGCCTTGTCAATGCTGTTTTCCTACCAGGCAGCATAGAGAAATGGGAAGAGTATAGGCTCTGGAACTCAACCTGGATTCCAATTCTAACACTTCTATTTATTAACTGTGTAAAATTAAGCAAGTCGTTTTACCATTTTAAAGCTCAACTCACTGTTCTCTAAAATGGAACGAATAGAACTCATCTTACAGATGATTATACACAGTAAATCCTTGTATAATGTGTTGCATAACCAAAGTGTTTTAGCAACTCAAAATGTAAAAAGTTATCTTTAAAAAATGGTGAGTGTGGGCCAGGTGCGGTGGCTCATGCTTGTAATCCCAGCACTTTGGGAGGCCAAGGCAGGTGGATCACCTGAGGTCAGGAGTTCGACACCAGCCTGGCCAACATGGTGAAGTCCCATCTCTACTAATAATACAAAAATTAGCTGGGCATCGTGAGGCATGCCTGTAATCCCAGCTACTCAGGAGGCTGAGGCAGGAGAATCACTTGAACCCAGGAGGCAGAGGTTGCAGTGAGCCGAGATCACACCATTGCACTCCAGCCTGGGTGACAAGAGCAAAACTCCGTCTCAAAAAAAAAAAAAAGATGAGTGTGAACCTTACAGACCATTATTAAGCACTTTGATTTTACAAATGTATGAGCCAGTGAGGGCGTAAGTGGAGTTGCTGGAAAAAGCAGCCAGTTGAAGTCATCTTGGTTGTGTTCCCTGGACCCGAGGGAGATAAAGTGCTGCTGGATGCTATCTCCCATGCACTGTGCTGCAGCCTCACCCCAGGATGGCTCAGGATGCCATGGTGCATTTCCACACAGGCCACCAGAGTCGTCATTAGACCTGGGCATAGAACTAGGGCAGAGAGAAAGAGTTACAAACGGTAAAGCCTTCGCATTGTCCTGACACAACCAGCAGAACCTGAGGAGGGTGTTTCCCCTGTCTGGAGTTGTCTTGCTTCTGTTCAGTCCAGGTTTTTCTCAGCCAAGACATGGGCCCTAGCCCCATCACGCACCAGCTGTTTTCTAAGTCCCCCCACAATCTCCATCTTATATTCCAATCAAAAATTTTTCTTACAATTCTGCAAGCTGCCTCAAGTCTTGTGCAGAATAAGGCACAAAATAAACACTAGTACTTACCATCATATGCAGATGGCAAAACATAAAATATATTACGTGACTGGAGATGTGCACCCTGCAAACCCAGTGCTACTACAAACAACTGGTGGGTGATGAAATTTCTTGCGAAGTTATCAACCCTCAGTCTCTAGGGCAACGAACAAGTAGAGGGGTGTCATGGCACCACTCATAAGAAATCACTTCACAGGACAGAAATATTTTGACCACTTTGTCACTTAGATTTTAACATTAAGGAAGAAATCAGAATCACAGCCCCCAACTCCAGAAGTGAGTCTACCAGGAACTGTAACAGGTCATTAGACAGTGTTTAGTCCTGGGTGTATTTTCTTCAAAGTTTCTGTGGTAAACAGTGTCCAAAACAAACACCAACGGATCCTGCGTCTAAAGGCACTTGTCTACCAAACACTTCCTTTTAGAAAGTACTAATCAGTGACTCAGCCTGGTGACTCCTCACCCTAAAGTCCCTTTGGCTTCAGGAAGGGCCGGTTCTATGACATCAGTTCAGAGACTTGTAATTTTTATTCCCAAACATCAGTACAGGCACTTAAAAGGAGAAAATAAATATCAGGTATCTTCCTCAGTACTCCCAAATAGACAAACGTCCATTCTGTCGAGATTCCCTTTTTTGAGAACACATCAGTGTGTTGCTTTAAGAGGTGTAGCTGCAGTAAAGTAATGCATTTTCAGCTGAGAAAGGGAAAAGTGAAGAAGAGTAAAGGATGTTAGATTATCCTTCCCTCTCCACAATTCCAGATGGTACTGCTTTTGGCAGCGGATGTGGCAAATCATGTGACATAGAGCTCATTCCTTCTTTTTCTGCATTAGCCTTTGTAAGATGCTCTTTGTGTGTGTGCATTGTGTGGAGATGTGGGCTTCAGGAGCAGGGATGGGAAACAGAGCAGCAGAGAATGGCCTAAGGTCAAGAGTTTTGAGTTTTTGAGACAGATTACTCTGGGCTTAGATCTCACCATGCTCTAATACTCAGTTATCTTATCTGGAGACAGAATATGATTCTACTAATTTTTCAGATATTGACATTGAGAACAATATATATCTACTATACTGCTTAACTCATAGAGAAAATAAATGAAATAAAATGAAAGAAATGCTATGTAAAATGACTAACGTATATTAAGTAGTCAATACATGAAAACACCACTATTATTATTATTATTATCATGATCAGTAGCATAGTAGTGGCAGCACAGCTTATGTGGACTGGCTGAGCCAAAGTATGGTTCAGGAGATGGCTCTAGATGGGCTGTCTAGATGCAGGCAGTGTGTGCCTTCTCCATGAAAAGAAACCACAATAATAAGTAGATACTCACATTTCTAACAGATCATGTAAGTGTTCCCTAAGAACAAGCATTAAGGCTCATCAGCAAAGTGACAAGAAGCACCAAAAGTAAGTAACGAGATGGTTCGAGGCAGTGTGCCCAGCTGGGAATTGGTTGGGAGCTGGAGAGGCTCCAGGACAGGGAAAGAAAAACAGAGACTCATAAGGGATTCTGTGCTACAAAATGAGATTTTACCATCCTGGCTACTGGAGAACCCCTTGACACATGTGGGCCTTGGGCCTAACATAGTGAGTTGCCCAGAGACAGCACAAAGATGTTGCTTCAGAAAGGGAACCCACAGAATCTCACAGGCTCTGAGCCTAGAGCAGCTTCAACTTGGTGCCATTCTGAGAGCCGAGTTACTGGGGATCTGCAGACACAGTACTGCTGCTGCACTCCTCCAAGGAGGGAAAGCGGAGATCACCTGCTCCCATGCACCCATGGGAAGGTCCCCATCCATAGCCCTACTGCAGGCCGCCGTGAGACTGAGATGAGGGTGGGCCACACTCCCCATCACTTCTTGCCCATGCTGTTCTCCTGAGAGGGGCCCCACCCTTTCCAGGCACAAGCCCACGGCCAGCACCGTTTTGAGAGTTTATCGCTGGGTTGCTCTTGGACTGAATTCATGCTGATACTACTGCATCTGTGGCTCAACTAAGGAGGGAGAGGGATGCCAGGCTCTCCTGTTCACACCTAGGACAATACCTACCATTCTGCTATGGGCCACTGTGAGAGTTGTGAGTGGACCATGCTCCACACAGCTTCTTACCCAGACAGCTCACCTGAGAGGGACCTCACGTACTCTGGACATGGACACAGTCAGTGCCATTCTGAGAAGTGAACACTGGACTATACCCTGCCCTTGGGCTGAGCTCTGACTGACGTTACTGCAAACACAGCCCAGCCCAGGAGGGAGGGAGAGGCCGGATACTCCTTCACACCCTGGGACAATTCCTCCTGCCCTGCTGCAGGTTGCTGAGAGACCAAAACTCAAGCAGACCACACTCTCCACAGTGTTCGGTCCAAGCTGTTGCCAGAGAGGTGCCCCACCCTCTCTGGTTGTGGGCCCACAGCTGGTGCTGTTTCCAGTGCAGTGCTGGGCTGTACCCCACCCTCAGACCAGGCATGGACTAACATTGCCGCAACTATCTCCATGCTGTGGAGGGAGAAGGCAGATCAGGCACTCCATGCACCCTGAAGACAATTCCCACCACTCTGCTATCCTTGCTGTGGGACTGAGGCATGAGCAGTCTGCGTTTCCCATAGCTTCGTACCCATACTGCTCTATCTGAGAGGGGTCCCACCCTCCCTGGTGGCAGGCCCACAGCACAGCAACCACAGCTCACACCTGAGCATTCTGCCAGTGGCCTGGGGACCACTCCATCTCTGCCTGTCACAGCCAGCACCCAAAGACCCTACCAGGAGGCCTGAAGATAAGTCTTCTGACCCAGAGCCATTCACGTCACCCAGGGCCCAGAAATTTCCCAGTCCCGTCCACCACTGTTGGCACCTGATCACCCCTGCTGGGGCAGCCCCATCCACCACTGTTGGCACCTGATCACCCCTGCCGGGGCTGAAGTTGTGCTAACTCAATCTACTGACACCACCACAGTTGACACCCGCCCAACCCATTGCAGCCACCTCCAACACTAGCGTGGACTGCGTGGGTTGCAACTCCACAGCCACTGCCATCATTCACACCAGACCAGCTGAGACCCTGGGCTACATGCCAGCCCACCACTCCCACTACCAGCATCTTAACAATCCACCTGGAGGCCCAAGAATTGGCCTCCTAATTCCCGCCAACACTGGTGCCAAGATAAGCTGGGCTGAGACTTAAGAGCAGGCACATTCAGCTTACTGCTGCCACTACCAGGGCCTGAAGAGCAGCTTACCTGGCATCCTAGTCCCCAGCAAAACTGCACCACAGCCTCAACTAATAACTCTACCCTAAGGCACCAAAAAAATCATACATATCACTGACCCTGTGTATTGCCAAAGAAATCATACAGGGTTTACATTACAACAGGCACTCAAAATCAAAGCCAAAGCATCCCACTGAACCTACAACATGTATATATAGGCCGAGGGGGGCAAATCACCTGAGGTCAGTAGTTCAAGACCAGCCTTGCCAACATGGTGAAAGCTTGTCTCTACTAAAAATACAAGAATTTGCTGGGCATGGTGGCACATGCTTGTATTCCCAGATACTCGGGAGGCTGAGGCAGGAGAATCGCTTGAACTCGGGAGGCAGAGGTTGCAGTGAGCTGAGATTGCACCACAGCACTCCAGCCTGGGCAACAGAGTGAAACTCTGTCTTGAAACAAAACAAAACAAAATAGAAAGAAGTAACTGCTACACCATATGCACAGATATCCATGGACGGACACAGAAAACATGAAAAAGCAAGGAAATGTGACACTGCCAAAGGATCACAACAACTGTGCAGCAGCAGATCCTAATCAAAAGGAGTTCCTCAAAATGCCAAAAGAAGACATTTATGCAGCCACTGCACTCCAGCCTGGGCGACACAGCAAGACTCTGTCTCAAAAAAAAAAAAAAAAAAAAAAGGAAATCAAATGGTAGCATGAGAGAACTCCATCAAACTGCTAAGTCAAACAGAAAATAAAAAGAAACAAGGAATCTACAAAGCAACTAGGTAACAATTAACATTATGACAGGAACAAATCCTCAATATCAATTTTAATCCTGAACATAAATGGGTTAAATGCTCCACTTCAAAAATATAGATTGGTGGAATGGATTAAGGAAAAAAAAAAGAACCAACTCTATGCTGCTTACAAGAAACTCACCTTCCTGGTAAAGAAAAATAGACTGAAGGTAAAGAGGTGGAAAAAGATATTCCACACAAACAGAAGTCAAAAGCAAGCAGGAGTACCTATACCTATATCAGATAAAATAAACTTTAAATCAACAACAATAAGAAAGACAAAGAAGGCCATTATATAATGATAAAGGGATCTATTCAACAAGAGGATATAACAATCACCCAACACTAGGTGCACTGTAAATATATTTATTTATCCTTCCCAAGAACAGGATACACATTCTTCATATCAGTGCATGGAACATTCTCCAAGATAGAACATGTGTTAGGCCACCAAACATGTCTCAATAATTTTAAAAAACAAGTTTTAATGATACTAGGTATCTTCTCATACCACAGAGGAATAAAACTGTAAATGAATTCCAAGAGGAACACTCAAAATCATACAAATACATGGGAATTAAACAACATACTCAGAAATGATATTTGTGCCAATGACAAAATTAAGACAGAAACTTTAAAAATTAAAATAAATAAAAATATACACAATATACCAAAACCATCTGGGGTACAGCAAAAGCAATTCCAAGAAAGAAGTTTCTGGTCTTCAATGCCTACATCAAAAGAAATGAAAAACAACAAATTAACAACCTAATGTTGCATACCTCAAGGGACTAGGAATAAAAAGAACAAACTAAACCCAAAGCTAGCAAAAAAATAAATAAATAACAAACAGATCAAAGCAGGACTAAATAAAATTGACAATGAAAGCACAATGCAAAGGATCTATGGAATGAAAAGTTGGTTCTTTCAGAAAATAAAACAAAATAGATAGACTGCTAGCTAGACTAACCAAGTAGAGAGAAGATCCAAATAAACATAATCAGAAATTAAAAAGGGGACATTAAAACTGAGAACACAGACATACAAAAGATCAACAGAGACTACTATGAATAGCTATATGATTATAAGCTAGGGAACCTAGAGGAAATGGGTAAATTTTTGGAAGTATATAACCTCTCACTATTGAACCAGGAAGAAATAGAAATCATGGACAGACCAATAGCAAGTAGTGGGATTGAAACAATAATAAAAAAAGTCTCCCAACCAACAAAAAATCCAGAACCAGATGTATTCACAGCTGAATTCTACCAAATGTACAAAGAAGAACTGGTGCCAATCCTCCTGAAATTCTTCCAAGAAAATAAAGGAGGGAATCTTCCTTAAATCATTCCATGAAGGCAGTATCACTCTGATATCAAAGTCAGAAAACTACAGACCAATATCTCTGGTGAACATAGATGCAAAAATCCTCAAAACAAAACAAAACAAAACAACAACAACAAGAACAAAAAAAACCCACCAGCAAACCAAATCCAACAACACATCATAAAGAGAGTACACCATAGTAACATTGTTTTTTTTTCCCAGGAATGCAAGGATGGTTCAGTATATGCAAATCAATAAACGTAATTCATCACATAAACAGAATTTAAAACAAAAACTCTGGGATTATCTTAATGGATGCAGAAAAAGCATTTGATAAAATTCAACATCTCTTCATGATAAAAAAAAAAAAACTCAACAAACAAGCACAGAAGAAATATACCTCAAAATAATAAATACTAAATCTATTATTATTTATTGTAAAGATAAATATGATAAAAGCCATATATGACAAACCCACAGCAACATCATACTGAAGAGTTTTCTCTGGGTTTTCTTCTAGAGAAAGGGGAAAAGTAGAAAGTATTTCCCTTAAGAACTGTAACAAAACAAGGATGGCCAGTTTTATTGCTTCTCTTCATCATAACACTGGAAGTCCTAGCCAGAGCAATAGGCAAGAGAAAGAAATAAAAGGCATACAAAAAACAGGAAGTCAAATTATCTCTATGAGCTGATGATGTGATCTTATACCTGGAAAACTCTAAACACTTCTCTAAAACACACCTAGATTTAATAAATGATTTTGGTAAAGTTTCAAAATACAAATCAACATACAAAAATTGGCAGCATTTTTATACTCCAATAATAATCAAGATGAAAACACAACCAAGAACACAATCACATTTACAGTAGCCACAGACAAAAATAAAATACCTAAGAATACATCTCACCAAGGATATTAAAGATCTCTGCAAGAACTACAATACACTGATTAAAGAAATCATAGCTGACACAACAAATAAAATATCCCATGCTCAAAGATTGGATGAATCAATATCATTAAGATGACCACACTGTCCAAACAAACTATTTAACCAGCACTCCCATTACTGGATATCTACCCAAAGGAAAACAAATGATTGTATCAAAAGAAACCTGCACTCATATGTTTATCACAGCACTATTCATAATAGCAAAGATATGAAATTAACCTAAGTTTGCATCTGCAGATAATTAGGAAAAAAATGTTTTATATATATATATATATATATATATATATATATATATATATATATATAATGGAATACTATTCACCCATAAATAAGAGTGAAATCATGTCTTTTGCAGCAACATAGATTTAACTGGAGGCCATCATCTTAAGTGAAATAACTCAGAAGCAGAAATTCAATACTGCATGTTCTCACTTAAAAGTGGGAGCTAAATAATGTGTGCACATGGACAAACAGACTGGAATAATAGACACTGGAGACCCCAAACGGTGGAAGACTAGGAGGGGCTTGAGGGATAAGAAATTCCTTAATGAATACAATGTGTATTATTTGGGTGATGGTTGCACTAAAGGCTTAGACATTATGCAGTATATCCATGTAATAAAACTGCACTTGTACTCCTTAAATTTATGCAAAGGAAAACATAAAATTATATATTGTTCAGTGTGATCTTGCTCTGAAGAGGTTTTCTCAGTTTTCTGATGTGATTCATAGCTTGTCAGCTGTACTGTCTCAGAATCAAGAAATTGTCCAAGAAGCTCCCCCAGGGGCTGGCTCTAGGATAAAGTATGACATCAGAACAACAAGAATAAGAATTATTTTGGTTTTACACATCTCAGACCATCAAGAAGTGTCAAGTTAACAGAGTCAAAAGAACCCATGGTAGGAGAAAAAAATGATTCCAAGGAAGGGAGAGGTATGCAATCAGCAGTTTAAGGGCTTTGCCTGGCTTTGAAGTCAGCCACCTTTATTTACTAAACTATTTTGACATTCATCTGCTTATTAAGTATTTATTAAATACCTAACGTATGTTAGGCACTGCATGTATAATGATGAACAAAGTAGAATTTATCCCTAATGAATGAGACTGAACATTTTAAAATAAAACATATACATAAGTATCCGTTGTGTTAAGTGCAGTGAGGTTGGGGAAGGATACACAGTGCAGTGAAAAAATAAGATGGGAAGTGTTTTATAGCTCAGCAGGTGAGAGACAGTGTCTTTGAGGAAGTTCTATTAAACCTGAGATCAGAGGGATGGGCAGGAGTTAGCCAGGCAAAGGGAAGGAAAAAAACCTTTCCAGACACAGGAAGCCACATGCTGAGGTCCTTGAGGAAAGAAAAAGATTGACTGTGTGAGAACCTGAGAGAAGGTCAAAGTGACATTGGCATGACAGCATTACAAGAAATCAAGGAGAGAGTGGAACAGATGAAGATGGAGAAGTCAGTAGAAGAAAATAAATCAGGGCCATTTAGGTCATGTTACAGAGTTTCAATAAGCAAAACACTGACATAATTTGATTTAGTACTAAAAAATCTCACTCCCAATGTTCTGTGGGTCACAGATGGGAAGGGGACACAAGTGCACATGGAAAGGACTACTAAGGGGTTATTGTCACTCTTCTTTTTCCTTCCCCTTCTCTCTTCTTCATTTTCCTTCCCCTTCTGTTCTTCATTTTCCTTCCCCTTCTCTTCTCCTTCCTTTTCTTTCCCCTTCTCTTCTCCTTCCTTCAGGTCTTTCCCCTTCCCTTCCCCATCCCTTTCCTTCCAGTTAGTTTCCTTTCCTTTCTTTTATTTATATCCCTTCCCCTTTTTAGTCTTTCACATCCATTTTCTTCCCTTCTGGAACAATTAAAAAATCCACAAGTTATTAAGTGGGTCAAACAAGGTAAGTGTCTGAGCCAGGGTGGAAAGGCCCTGGTAGTTCAGAGCATCATGTTAGAGCCCCCGCAGGGTAAAAGCAGTGTGTATGATAAGAAAATGGGAGTGGAAAAACAAAGGGTTTGCATCCCAAGAGGAGTAAGGAGGGCCTCCACGCAGGAAGTCAGCCTGGTCTGAGAGGTCAAAGACAAGCAGGGTAAAGAACAGGTGCACATCAGTCAGTCTTGGCACCCAGCTTGAAGGGGGTTCCGTTGGCCAAATCACGGATTGGGTCTCAAAAGAAATAATGATAGTAACAGATTATAAACCACTGACTAAAACAGAAAGCCATGAGTTTAATTGTGATATAAATAAATAAATTGAATGTTTGATTTGAAATGGGAAGTTTACATAACATCAAAGTAACTCCCCACAACTCGCTTATTTACTTCAAACAGGAAAAGTGTAAATTCATGATGGAAAAGGGTAAATTCATGGTGGAAAATGGTGGCAGACACCACCACAAGTGTGTATTTATATTCATAGTCTCAACTTTCTCTATGCCCTTTCTCTTTTGAATCTACTCAATATATATTCACATCTTCACCATTCCTTTGAAACCATTGTAATCAAGGTCAACAATGACTTCTACATGATCAACCCTAATAGTCAATTCTCTTACCTGCCCTCTTAAGAGTTTATTTCACCAATGACCTCCCACACATTCCTAAGAGACGTTATTTTACATGACTTCCATACTCTTCTGGCTCTCCTTCTCCCATACTGACTTTCTTTTCCTTTTCATTTGCTGTGTTTCTTTCTTTTCACAATAAACATGTGTTGGAGTGACCCAAGGCTCTTCCATGGAACTCCTTTTCTTCTAAATCTTTACTCACTCCTTAGGTAAGCTCAAGCAGTACAATGTTGGTTCCCAAATTTACATCAATTAACTGTTTCTTTCTGCTACAGACTCTTCTTTTTTTCAACTTCCTACTCAACATTCAACATCTTCACTTAGATATTTAATAGAACTCACAAATTCACTAAGTCAAAAGCTGAATTCTTGATTCCATCCTCTCCACCAAAACCCACTCCTCTCCTAGTGTTTCTGACCTCATTAAATTGTGCTATTGTAGCAAAGACTTGGAACCAACTCAAATGTCCATCAATGATAGACTGGATTTAAAAAATGTGGCACATATACATCATGGAATACTATGCAGCCATTAAAAAGGATGAGTTCATGTCCTTTGCAGGGACATGGATGAAGCTGGAAACCATCATTCTCAGCAAACCATCACAAGAACAGAAAACCAAACACCACATGTTCTCACTCATAGGTGGGAATTGAACAATGAGATCACTTGGACACAGGGTGGGGAACATCACACACCGGGGCCTGTCAGGGGGTGGGGGGCAGGGGGCTGGGGGAGGGATAGCATTAGGAGAAATACCTAATGTAAATTATGAGTTGATGGCTACAGCAAACCAACATGGCACATGTATACTTATGTATCAAACCTGCATGCTGTGCACATGTACCCTAGAACTTAAAGTATAATAAAAAAAATTGTGCTATTGTATTGGTCCTATTGCTTGAACTAAAATCATTAAGATCACCCTCAATTCCTTTCCCATGCCATACTCACCAATAATGCTTAACCCTCAGATGGTACTTACTGAGTGCTAGGTACAGTTGCAAGTGTTTTGCGTAACTTGCTTAATATTTACAAAATATGAATGAACTAGGTGATTTTTGCCTTCAATTTACTAATAAGGAGGAAAAAGTACAGAGGTTGTCATTTTCATAGTATCATAGAGATAGCATGTACCCAAGAAGAGATCTCAAACTTGAGAAGCCTGGTTCTAGAGGCTATGATTGTAACCACCACTCTATACTGCCTAGATTGCCCTAAGAATCTCCTAATTTAGTCTCTTGGATTTATTCTTTTCTCTCTACAGGAAATTTTCTATCAAAAAGATATGAGACAACAAATGTTGGTGAGGCTGTGGAGAAAAGAGAACCTCAACCCTTGTACACTGTCGGTGGGAGTACAAATTGGTACAGCTATCATGAAAAACAGTATGAAGGTTCATCAAAAAATTAAAAATAGAACTACCATATGATTCAGAGATCCTACTCTGGGAATATATCCAAAAAAGATGAAATTAGTATTTCAATAAGATATCTGTATCTTCATGTTCATTGCAGAATTTTTCACAATAGTCAACATATGAAATCAATCTAAGCATCCATCTGTAGATGAATGGATAAAGAAATTGTGGTACATATACAAAAGGGATATTATTCAGTCATAGAATAGAAGAAAATTCTGCCATTTGCAACAACATGGTTAAACCTGGAGAACATTATGCTAAGCAAAATAAGCCATACATACAAAGACAAACCCTGTGTGGTTGCACTTATATGTAGAACCTGAAAATGCCAAACACTTAGAAGCTAAGAGTAAAGTAAAATGGTGATTGCTAGAGGCTGGTGAATGGGGGAAATGGGAAGATGCTGGTCAAAGGGTATGAACTTTGAGTTATAAGCTGAACAAACTCTTGGGATCTAACATACAGCATGGGTGGTGATGAATGTGTTAATTAATTTGACTGTGATAATCATTGAACAATATGTACATATATCTAGCCATCATGTTGTACATCTTGGATGTATCCAATCTTTATTTAATAATTAGATATTTTAAAGTAAAAACAAGGTCCACATAATGTTGAGAATCATTCCTTTAAATCCAAATTCAGCTGACATCACTCTTCTACTTTAACATGCTCTAATGGTTTCTTATCACATAAAGACAAAAACAAAGCCGTGCTACCATGACTACAGGGTCCTGTGGCTCTAACTCACAAAGTCTTCTGCCTCTAGTATTCTCAGGGCCCAGGCCAAGAGTATAAAAGGAGGCCCACATGCCATATGCTTAAATATTAAAGTTTATAAATGCAAACCACTTAAATAAAAATGAAAATGTAATGGTTTCTTTGAAATGCAAGTAAACCTATTAAATAATTTTGTGAAATTAAAACTATTTGGAGTTCTAGCATTTGCTATTCATCTTATTGCAAGGGTAAATAATGGGTATCACCCTTCACGGGAGACAGCAGTGATAAGCCTTTAGCAATAAACGAAAGTTTAACTAAGCTATACTGACCGTGGTGGCTGGCATGAAATTGACCAACCCTGGGGTCACGCATTTTACATCCAACATGTATTTAAATTCAAGAGTAAAATGAATTGTTTAGTATTCATAATGTTCCTCAGACACTATTGGGAGTTCTTGCTAGTATCCTGTTTCATGTTAGGTTGTACATATCTCCAGAACCACAACTGAAATACAAGAAAAACCAAAAATTGGGCACTAGACATTTCTGAGAAATATAAACATCTATTGTATTAATGTGAAGAGGTAGGATTTGACAGATTATAACGCTTCTTTCCTCTTAGTTAAGCACTTAATCCACTCAAACCAACCCTGCAATTCAACACAGTGATGTCAGCGGTGGCACAGCTTTCAAATCTTTATGGACTCTGAACAGAATTGCCTTTCCTTTCTAAAGTATCTAGCAAGATACGCTGAAGTGTTTCCTTCAGTGGCATTCATCAAAGAGCAGATGTCAGCAATTTCAAGTGCTGTTATGGGGCTGTAGTGAGTATCAGATCCCAGAGAGGGGCCCAGAGAGAGGTTTTAACAAATGTAGCAGTGTTGCTGTTACCACTGGTGTTGGATTTGTGTTATGAGGGGTACTCTGAAGCATGAGTTTCAGGGTAGACATCTTTCCTGCTCAGGTCTAAGAACCATACTAGTCCCATGAATAAGCAATTCTCAGATGGCATCTTTTGTGCTTGATTCTACACTCAAAATCCTCTTAGAGAAAATTGACTTGGCTACCCTCATATTCTGCTTAAGTCTCTGGATTCCAGTTTTCCTCCAGGACTTGTTCAGGAAATTTGCACTATCTGATATTCCTTAATACATTTACAAAAGATTTTGAAAATACTTTATTCTAGATTGTACCTTATTTTATTGGGAGCACTCATCTCAGTAACGTTGTTCTTTTTTTTTCACTATCTAATTTAAATTCTTTCCAATTTGGCTTCTCTATCTCCACCCTCCAATCCCTCACCAACTCAGTTAGGATGATTATTGCAAAAATCACTAAAGCCCTGCATGTTGGCCGGGCACGGTGGATCACATCTGTAATCCCAGCACTTTGGGAGGCCAAGGTGGGTGGATGGACTGAGGTCAGGAGTTTGAGACCAGCCTGGCCAACATGGTAAAACCCCGTCTCTACTAAAAATACAAAAATTAGCTGGGCCTGGTGGTGGGCACCTGTAATTCCAGCTACTCAGGAGGCTGAGGCACAAGAATTGCTTGAACCCGGGAGGCAGAGGTTACTGTAAGGTTGCACACCAGCCTGGGTGACACAATGAGACTCCATTTCAAAAAACAAACAAATGAATAAACAAAAAAACACCAAAAACCTTCATGTTGCCAACCAGTAGATATTTTATTAGATTGCTTAACTCTCTGATATTTCTTGTAAAATATGCATTCTCAGTATTGTTTGCCAGCTCCCTCTAGTTTACAAAACCCTGAATTTCTTCAGGGCTCGGCCTTTGACTTTTTCTCCTCTGTCTCTGCACTCTTCCATATATGAGCTTATGAATTGCTTTGACTTTAAGAATAATTTACATACTAATGCATACTAAATTTTAGCCCCAAATTCGACCGTATTCACAGTATCAGCAAATTCAAAAAGAAACCTTATATGATTTTCTCAAGACATTAAACATTTTTTTGTGAAATCCGACCTTCATTCATAATAGAATTCTTAAACAAGAAGTAAAACTCCTTCATCTCAGAGAAATTGACATGAAACCAATAGCAACATCATAAGCTGAAACAAAGAAAGTATATGTGTTGTCACTATTTCTAGTCAGTATTATATTGGGAGAAGAAGATAATGAATTAAACATGAGGATTGTTGGGAAAGAAAGTGAAGAGCAATTGCATAGAAATAAAATATGATTTTATATGTATAATATCTAAAAGTCATACCTAAATTATTAGAATTAATAAGAGGATTTGTTTATAACAGACAGTTAACCATTGAAGCAATATAGAACAACAAATTCTATTTATTATAGCAATAAATACAAATTTAGAAATTAAGAGTAATAGCATTTATACAATGTAAATTTTAGGCCTGGCATGGTGGCTAACGCCTGTAATCCCAGCACTTTGGGAGGCTGAAGCAGGTGGATCACGAGGTCAGGAGATTGAGACCATCCTAGCTAACACGGTGAAACCCCATCTCTACTAAAAATACAAAAAATTAGCTGGGTGTGGTGGCACTCGCCTGTAGTCCCAGCTACTCAGGAGGCTGAGGCAGGATAATCACTTGAACCTGGGAGGTGGAGGTTGCAGTGAGCCGAGATCGTGCCACTGCACTCCAGCTTGGGCAACAGAGCGAAACTCCGTCTCAAAAAAAAAAAAAAAATTAAGACTAATAACATTTATACAAAGTAAATTTTAAAAGATACTATTCACATGTAACATCAAATAATATGACCAAGCAGGAAAAACCTTTCAAATGTGTGCAAGACTTCTATGGAAAAATTATGAGTCATTAAATGTTTCTGAGAGATATCAAGGAGGAAAATCTAAATAGAGGAAGGAATATAACCTATTGATGGCCTGGAAAACCCAGTAGCTATTGTTATTGTTTTTGCTTTATTTTAGGATATCATGAGCTTACTGTAAGAATAATATGGAAATGCAATTGCCAAGTAAAGTGAAGACATGCTTAAAGAAGAGAATCTATTCAGGATAACTTGCTCTACTTGATTTCAAGTCTTATTATAAAACTACAATAAAAAAACTGCTTTTCATTTGCACTGGGAGAATACAATGGAACTGAATAGAGAACTTTTGTACTTGGCCATAAATATGTGATTATTCAATATATGACAGAATTATACTTTTTAAGTATTGAATCTTAGAACAATTGGATTTCCATTTGGACAAAAGAAATTTGCTTCTTGCTACAAACCATGCAGAAAACATCAGCTCTAGGTGGGTCAACAACCTAAATATAAAAGACAAAGTATAAACATCTTATTGATATAAAAGAATGTGACTTAGTAATAGGGAAATATTTATTAAATGAGAGTCAAAAAAAAGGATTGGTTGACAAATTGAGCTAATTGGAAATTAAGTATTTACATTAATCGGAAGACAGCATTTACAGAAAGAAAATGCAAGCCACAGAACATAAGAAAATATTTGTGACACATAACTAATTGGTCAATAATTATTATGCAAAGTATATGAACAACTCCTACAAAACTTATAAGAAGAATGCAGATGACCCCATTTCAAAAAATGATTGAAAAATGAGAGCCTGTCGGGCGTGGCAGCTCATGTCTGTAACTCCAGCAGTTTGGGAGGCAGAGGTGGGTGGATCACTTGACCTCAGAAGTTAGAGACCAACCTGGGCAACATGGCAAGACCCCGTCTCTACAACAAATACAAAATTAGCCAGGTGTGGTGGGGTGCACCTACAGTCCCAGCTACTCGGGAGGCTGAGGCAGAAGAATGGCTTGAGCCCAGGAGGCGGGGGTGGCAGTGAGCCTAGATCACATCACTGCACTCCAGCCTGGGCGATGGAAGTGAAACCCTGTCTCTAAATAAATAAATAAATAAATAAATAAATAAAAGCAGGCACCTCACAAAAGTCAAGATCAAAATGGCCAATAAACATTTGAAAATGTGTTCGACCTCACTAATAATCAAGAAATTGTTGATGAAAAATGACAATGAGATACTACTACATATCAACAAGATCGGCTAAACCCAAACATTCTGTTACTGCTAATGTGGGCAAGGATACATAACAAAAGAAAAAGTCATACTATTTGGTGGGAATATAAATTAGTACCAGCACTTGAGAAAATTTTTGACGATATCTTCAAAAGTCAAATATATGCATATCAAGCAAAGGCATCCTTAAGTAGAAACTTACACATATATTTACTAGAAAATGTGTACTCATATGTCTCTAAAAAAATAGGATTAGTGTTACATTGAAAAAACTCAAAGTGTACATTTGCATTAGGATGAATAAATGTACCTTGCTGAATAGCAATACAAATAAATAACTAAAGCTCCCTGTAGTGATATTTGATCAAGAGTCATCAAACTATGATCCTCTGGGCCAAACAAACCTGCTGTGACCTATTTTTGCATGGCCCACAAGCTAAGAATGTTTTTACATTTTTATAGCTTAAAAAACAAACAGACAAGCAAAAAAAAGTATGTGTTAGAAAACGTAGGTAGCCTGTAAAGACTAAAATATTTACTATTTGGTCCCTAAAGAAAAGGTTTGCCAGTCTTTGACACAGACAAATGTCAAAAACATACTTTTGATCAAAAGAAATAAGACCTAAGAAAGAATACAGAATTATATCAGCCATAGAAAGTTCAAACTCAAGGAAAACTAAGTTATTTTGTTTCATAATTAATATAAGTGGTAAAACTACAATAAAAAGATAGAAGGTGCCTATCATAAAAGTCATACTGTAATTACTACTAAGGAAGAAGATGAATGTTATCACTGGGATAGGAACATGGGAATTCAGGGTCTTGGCAATAATGTTCCATTTCTTGACCTGCAGGCATTCCCTTTACACACGAGTGCACATATACATGCACACACACACAGCATTTTTTGGTAAATATGTTTATTTCACAATAGCTGTTTTCTGAAGAGTAAATCAGACATTTGGTTCTTTCAAGGCATGCTGAAATATGTGAGTATCTTTCTGCTACAAATACAAAGAAGTGCTTGGTAATATGTAATACAAATAGTTTAATATATAATTGACCTAAAAAGAAAGAAGGTAAAATTCCTAGATGCCAGAGACAACAGAGGAAAACCTTGAGGAGTGATGCCATGGTGGCCTAGGAAGGAACTGAATCCTGGTACAGGTCTTAATTGCCAGGGATGGGGTGATGACGCCTGTGAAGAGGTGACAAGAGGTACATTCAAAAAGGCAATATTGGGCCGAGTGCGGTGGCTCACGCCCGTAATTCCAGCACTTTGGGAGGCCAAGACAGGCGGGTCACGAGGTCAGGAGTTTGAGACCAGCCTGGACAACATGGTGAAGCCCTGTCTCTACTAAAAATACAAAAATTAGCTGGGCGTGGTGGCGGGCACCTGTAATCCCAGCTACTCAGGAGGCTGAGGCAAGAGAATCGCTTGAACCCAGCAGGCGGAGGTTGCAGTGTGCCGAGATCATGTCATTGAACTCCAGCCTGGGTGACAAGAGTGAAACTTCGTCTCAAAAAAAAAAAAAAAAAAAAGAGAGAAAAAGAAAAATGGAAACCCAACCTATTCTACAGCCAAATGAGGAGGAAAAGTTGGCATCAATATGTATTCCCAAATGAAGATAGTCTTGTGTCCCGACTTATTAAGCAAACAGAAAATATTTTTTATGGGAGTATTTTTTACCCAGTGTGTGTGCGCACACACACACACCCACACACACACACTCCTCCTGAGTAAAAGAGCACATACAAAATTACAAACCACATGAGAAAATAATCTGTCATGAGAGAGAATCTGATTAACAATAAACCCTAGGCATATGGTCTCAAGAACTCAAGTAATACAACAATCATAAATTGTGCTTAAAATTGTTCACAAATAAAACCATGAAATAAAATTATAGTAGACAACATTTTAGAAATAATATTTTAAAAGAAAAACAAAAAGAACATTAAAAATGAAAATATACTCATTGAAACTAAATACTCAGTGAGTTAAACATCATGTTGCACACAACTGAATAAAGAATTGTGAGCACAACTAAATAAAAAAATTAGAGAACGGAAGAGTAGTCTGCTGAAATTGCTACAAGAAGTAATAATTCAGTGAGATAAAGCAATGGAAAATGTAAAGGAAAGATTGAGCCATGGTGAGTAGAATAAAAATAACTGACATATGTCTAAATAGGAGCTGTGGAGGAAGAGAATAGGGAAACGTTTGGTGAAAAAAATATACAACATGATAAATGGCTAGGAATTTTCAGAGCTGATGAACAACTGTTAATCTTTACAATAAGGAATGATACCAATTCCTGAGCTTGATAAATAAAAATAAAAATTAATGAGATGCATCATAGTGAAACTGCAGGGAAAAGGAGAAATAGCATAACTCTCAGAAGCAATCAGGTAGAAAAAGATTACCTACAAAAAAGGAACAGATTGTCAATTAGATGTTCTACCAGCATACAGAAAATAGAGAAAATTGATTAGTATTTTGAAGTTGCTAAGAAACATAATGTGAACTTAGACTTCTATGCCCAGTTAAACCCTCAAAAGTCAAATATATTTTCACACAAATGCTAACTTTGCCACCCATATATCTTGCTGAAAGACACAACTGTTATTTATTTTTATTTTCTGTTACAGCTGTTATTTAATAGCTATTTTTAAATAAACTTATGTCCAGATAAATGTTGTGTGTGTGTGTGTGTGTGTGTGTATGTGTGTGTGTGTAAAGTGAATGCATGCAGGCCAAGAAATGGAATATATGAGGTGTGTTTCATAAAGATAAAAATTGAACCTAAGAAGGAAGAAATAGAAAGCAAAAATAAGTGGTTACAAAATAAATCAGAAACATGTGAGTAAATCTAAATAAAATTATTATAAAAATGAATAATAATTAAAATAATATCCAATGGGTGGGGAGTAAAACAGATGTAACTAAAATACTATACAACAATAATATGGAATATGTGGACATTCTACAATTCTTCATTGGCCATGATAAAACCTTGCTAATTCAGGTATGCATTTTAACATTATATCAGACAAAATAAAACATCTTTTAATTTGGTGGAAGGAAACAAAGCGGAAAGAAATTCTAATCATCCAACGGAAGGATGATTGAGAAAAAGAGGAGAAAAATAATTAAGAAATAGCATGAAAACAAAAAAAAAACTTGTCACGTAAATAATTCCAAATATATCCATAATCTCAATAAACAAAAAAGATAAAGATCCTCTAGTTGGATAAACAAAAAGGCAAGTTATATGTAATGTTTAGGCATTACACAGAAAGAATATTAATAAAAAATGGGAAAGGTATATTAGGCAAATGCTAATCTGTGTAAAGCTGTTAAATGATGTAGCAATACTAATGCCATTCAATTAAATTTAAAGGTATAAAGAAATATTAATGATAAAGACAATCATGGAAATTACTGTAAAATTATCTAGAAAATGAAGTAATACTAAATCCATCCTCCTCTAACAGTGTAACCTCAAAATGTATAAAGCAAAAAAAAAAAAATCAGAGGGAAAATTGTTCAAATAAAATCATAACAAGATTCTAGCTCACCTGGCAGAAACAGAAAAAGGGAAAAATGAAAAACATAAAAACATTAAAGAGCACAATTGACAAATTTGCTCAAATTGTCATACAAAGGCCAGTACCCAACAATTAAGGTACTCATTACTTTCTAGCAGAATAGAATTTTGATAACCATAGACCATGTCTAAACATGTGCCAGAATTTAACCTGGTACAGACAACATTTAAAAAACTACCTACTGGGGTGCACTACTCAGGTGACACATACACTAATATCCCAGACTTCGCCACTATACAATTCACCCACGTAATAAAAAAACTACTTGTACCCCTACAGCATTGAAATAGAAAAAATTTAAAACAATAGCAAACCCCTCAAAAGCACATTACAAAAATACCTCCCAAAACAATAAACAATTTGTATTAAGATTTTAAAATTTGATTATTTGGGTATTTCATAAGTCAAAGAGAAATTCAGAATGGATATTAAAGAACTGAAAAACATACAGAGAACTGAAAAACTACATATTGAAACTCAAGAGATGCAACTGAAATAACGCTTCCAGAGTCTGGGAGCCTGAAATGCACACATGAACAAGGGACACGATCAAAAATAAGGGATCTATTTGTTCAACTTATGAAGTAGGAGAAGACTCAGAGGGTAAACTCCAAGAAAGGAAAGAGAAATAGAGGAGAAAGACAAGCGCAAGGAAAACAAAGAGGATCGACAAAACTCAAAGCTGATTCTTTGAAAAGATAAAAAGTGTAGGTAAATCCCAGTGAGAGAGACAGACAGGCAGACAGACAGAGACAAAGAGACAGAAAGATAATAGAAAGACAGATGATGGAGCAAATAGTTTTAGAAAAAAAAATGAGTGATTATTAAGTAAAACTTACACCAATACATTTGAAAACTTGGAAACATGGACCATTTTTTAGGAAAATATAAATAAAAATGACAAGGATAAATAGGTAACTTGATTAGAAATTACGTCATTAAAGTTGTTCAATTGATTCTCAAATTATCTACTTATTTCTTCTCTCCCCCACTCTTAAAAAAATATTCTAACTAGAAGGTGAGTAAAGACAATCTTAACACAATGTATTTCAGGAAATGGGCCAAGAGAAGAAACTCCCCAACTCACTCTATGAAGCTAGTGTAATCTCAATTCTGAAATTTGACCAAGAACTTATCAAAAGAAAAAATTGTAGGCAATCTTATAAAGGCACACAAATAAAACAATTATAAACAAAAATTAGTAAACGCTATTGAATCCAGCATTTTTTTTTCAGTGAACAAGGAGGGTATATCCCAGTAATTTATAAATAGTTTAACATTAGAAAATCTGTAACTATAATTCAGCACTTAAAATTTAATGATTAAAGGAGATAAAATGTGATTACCTTTAAAAATATAAAAAGGTATGTTAAAATGTAATATTCATGACTTTTTAAAAAAAAACTCTTAAACTAGGCATAAAATGTTAGTAAAGCTTATTATGCAAAATCCTAAATTGAATATTGAATATTATACTTAATGGTCAATTAGTAAAGTATTCCCTCTAATGCAGAGAAAAAGATAAGGATGTCTGCTATCAGTGCTTTCTTCACAATTGTACCTACAGTCTTAGCCAGCCCAATAAGATAGGAAAATGTAAAAAAGTGAAATTTGGAAGAAACAAATGAACATCTTTCAAAGATGACATGGCTATCTTCATCGAAAAGAAAGAAAATGCACAAACTATTACAATTAGTAAAAGTGTATCAACGTTACTGGATATAACAATAACATTTTATGATGACCATAAAAATTTGAAAATATTTAAAAAATATGATTTAGCAAATCTTTTCCATGATAGCAAAAACAGCATATGGAAATATATTTTATTTATTTATTTATTTATTCATTCATTCTTGAGACAGAGTTTCTCTCTTGTCCAGGCTGGAGTGCAATGGTGCGATCTTGGCTCACTGTAACCTCCACCTCCTGGGTTCAAGCAATTCTCCTGCCTCAGCCTCCTGAGTAGCTGGGATTACAGGCACCTGCCACCACACCCAGCTAATTTTTGCATTTTTAGTAGAGATGGGGTTTCACCATGTTCACCAGGCTGGTCTCCAACTCCTGACCTCAGGTGATCTGCTGCCTCAGCCTCCCAAAATGCTGGGATTACAGGCATGACCCACTGAGCCTGGCCAGGGAATATAATTTAGAATAGTAGAGAATAAACTTCATGGAAAAAATATAAGAGGATTTTTAAAACGACAAAATATAAAATACAAAAGTGATATAATACATGTTCATGTATGAGAAGATGAAATATCTTCAATATAATTCTAACCACTACCCCACAGTGGTTTGTTTGTTATTTTGAAAGGAATTTAACAAATGTATACTAAAATTAGTATGAAAGAATACAGGGCCAAGAATTGCCAAAACTACTCTAAAGAGGGAGAAGAGAAGGTGGACTAAACACTCCAGATACAGCATTTATTATAGGGCTATTAATTAGGACAGTAGTGTGGTATGGATGCAGAGAGAGACTAGAACAGACACTTGAATATGTAGAGGCTTGTTATATGAGGTGGCTTATGGCTGCATCATATATATTGTTGGAGTAATTATCCATTTATAATAAATTAAATTAAATTTGGACCTCACATGATAACAATGCCAGCAATAGCAATACTAATAATAACTAGCATTTACTGAGTACTCATGACACGTCAAGAATTGGTTGAGTGAATAAATGCTTTATGTATTAAATCATTTAATCCTCTCCACCTGCCAATGGGATATTTTACAGATGAATAAACTGAGTCTTGAAAGAGGCAGAACTTGCTCACAGTCACATAACAAGTAAGTAGAAGAACCGTGCTTTGTATATGGGCAGTGTGGCGGCAGGGCGCTGGCTCTGAAACACACACTACAGCATTGCAATGCAAACGAATGCAAGGTCATCACAGTGAAAAACAACTCTGAAAAGCCCAGGAAATAATTTTAGGGCATTTTAAGTTAGAAAAAGAAAATTCTACACAGATATTTATAAAATTATCAACATAAACAAGAAATGTCACACAACAGTCTGGAAATGATGGTGCTGTCTTAGAAGGAAGAGGGATGAATGGGATGGGGAGGGAGATTTAAGTCTTTCTTTGATATTTTCTTCTTTGAATTGATCTGTGACAAGTATGGAAAAGATGCTATTTGTTTTATCTGATTGGTGGATACTTGTGTGCCTCTTTCTTTTTTTATATATTTAACATTTCTTAAATGTTTGTATTTTTATAAAGCAGATGCAAAGTATGTATTTTTAAGGAAGAAGTTGGAGAAAAGGAAGACAGAATAGAACGCTTTTAAGACATACGTTTCTGTGTATTTTAATGAAGCTGCAGGAGCTTGAGAACTAGATAAAGTCACCTACAACTTCTGCTTTCTCGGTTTTCTTCTTCCAGATAAACACTAATGTGATAAAATGACCTGAAACAATCCATTCTGAGACATTTGTATCAAAGTCTGGTTATCATCTGGGGCATCTATTGCTTTGCACATTGCAGGTCCTCAGTAAATAGCTGTAGGTTGAGCCATTTACAATCTGGTATTAAACCATAATAAACCAAATTAAGCCATATTAATTCAGAAAATGCCTAACAGGTGTTCCTTTGATGCAAAATTGATTTCCTGGGTATAATGTGAGGAAAAGAAGGCTGGGGGCTTCAATTTCACTCTTTCTTTGTAGCAAAACAGATGAGAAAGTTCGTGCAAACTGGCTTTAGAACAGCTTCCTAGGAACGGCTTGGGTATTTGTTTACTCTGAAAGCATTTCACTCTCTATTCACACGCTTTGGTAACGTCTCTCCTCTGCTAGCTTCGGCTAACCTTGGATGCCCTTTCCCTCTGTTTAGAATTCCACAAAGATAAATTTCCATTTCAAGCACAGCCTCCTGCTTCTGACTAAAATTGTTCCCATCACTCGCAGCCGTTTTCCTCCTAATGGGGCTTCCATTTGCTCTCCTCAGGGCATTCTCTAGTCCCTGAAGCCAGCTTGCAGAAAACACAGCCTGCTTCTCTTCTTTTCTTTTATATTCATGATTATTTGGAATGGAACTGGGTTGAGACACTTGGAATCTAGATTCAAGAAAGTTCCCAATTTTTCTACCATCTTTGGCTCATTTCCTAGAATGAGGTTCTGTGGATGCGCCAGGTGATTCAGGCTGTATTGTCGACGTTGCTGTTGTTTTTCAATAAATTATGTAGAAGGCACTTCTGCCCTAGCTCTAAAAATCAGGTTTGCTTTGGTACTTTTCTGCTCTTCTATGAAGTCCATTAATATTAATCAATATCTTATTTGGCCTAATTCCTAGATGTTTGAGAGTCTTTTTCAGTTATGAAAATATTGCTTAGTCAACATTCTAAAATGTCTGAGAGGCATCTAGAATCATCCTAAACTTTGAATTGCCCTCTTGATTAATGTTCTTATCCAAATGATCTTTGTGAATGCCAATATATTATAATTTCCCTCTGCAAGTTCTTAATTTGAATTTAACTTTATTTGGCTCATTGAATGGGCAATCTCTTTTGCTTAAATGTATTTTGTATGTGTTTTTTTATTTGCATAAATGTGAAGGATGTAAATGCAATCTTGTTACATCGACGTGTAGTGGTGAAGTTTGGGCTTTTTGTGTAGCCATCACCTGAGTAGTGGACTTCATACCCATTAAGTAACTTTTCATTACTCACTCTCCCACCTTCCAAGCCTTCAAGGACTATTATTCCATTATTTAGCTCCCACTTATTTGTGATATTTAACTTTCTGCTTCCAAGTTATTTAACTTAAGATAAGGGCTCACAGTTCCATCCATGTTGCTGTAAAAGACACGATTTCATTATTTTTTATGGCTGAATAGTATTCCATTGTGTATATACACCATATTTTCTTGATCTAATCATAAGTTGATGGACACTTAGGCTGGTTCCACATTTTTGCTGTTGTGAATGTGCTGTGATAAACATATGAGTGCAGGGCCACCTAGACCACCACTCTATTTTACAGTGGCAACCCTGATGTCTATGATATTTGCAAAGATCTATTTATAAAAACAAATCAAGTAGGGCAGGGTGCAGTGGCTCACGCCTGTAATCCCAGCACTTTGGGAGGCCAAGGAGGGCTGATCACCTGAGGTCAGGAGTTCAAGACCAGCCTGGCCAACATGGTGAAACCCTGTCTCTACTAAAAATACAAAAATTAGCTGGACATGGTGGCACGTGCCTGTAATCCCAGCTACTTGGGAGGCTGAGGCAGGAGAATCGCTTGAACCCAGGAGGCGGAAGTTGCAGTGAGCCCAGATGATGCCATTGCACTCCAGCCTGGGCGACAGAGCAAGACTCTGTCTCAAAAAACAAAAAATCCAATAAAAAAACTGCCCAATTATTTCTGTCCTCACCAACTCTATAACTTCCTGCCTTGTAGTTACTTCTAATATAAATCAAATTTTCTTCCATCCTTTGAGAATGCAAAGAGTATCTGCAAAAAACATTATCTTCACACTAATAGAATGTTACAGTACTTACTCATTTTTGTTTTGAAATTGTCCATAGTCCCCCCCTCTCTCCACTGTAAACACAGGGCTTTTGCTCTCACATCGTCCCCACCTGTGTTTTCCCAAACATTTAAGTTTTCTTGTCTAACTCAACACTGATGTCCAAAAGGAAAATTCCAAGTTGAATAAGATATGTTTTCTAACATACAAGAACTCAGTCTACTGATAGAGAGAGATGTGTCACAAATAACTACAGTATATTAAACTCTGTATGAGAATTTTGGACAAAACTGTTGGATTCTAACTTTGCATCCAGGTGCCAGGAAGGGCACTCAAGAGGGACAGTTGAATTTGGTCCAAGGCCGTAGCAAAGTTAATGAATTTTGGAGTCAGACAGGTCCACTTGAGCTGTCAAGTTTATTAACTGTCTGAACGTATAAGAGTTTATTTTTATTTCTAAACCTCAGTTTCCTCACTGCCCTGATCACACTTGTCTCAGAAGATTGTAAGAATTAAATACAAGAATATGTATGGCACAGTGCCTGGAACATGGTAGACACTTAATAAACCTTAGTAGTTAAGTGACATTATATTCTGTTATATGTTAAGTCTTTTTTAGGCAGATAGATAGGCCTTTGCTTTAGCAATTGTGTATCCAGTGAAACAGTTCATGCACATTTATGTCATGTTGAGGACGAAACAATAAACTAAGTGTTACAGGTAACTTAGTGCTTAGCAAAGAATGAGTTAAAATTTTACTGGGCTTAAATTTACTCAGATGAGGGTTCCTTTTGCTTGCTGAGGAGTTGAATTTCATTCTGTTCTAACTGAAGCCTAACATTTCTTTTTTTAAAATGGGAAAGTAGCATAATCTACATTACAGTCAGAGGTCTATGTGGAGATGGATTGCAGTGTGACGATGACGAGGATTTGTAGTCCAATTAGCAAGCTATGGCAATAGTCCAAGCAAGAGATAATGAGCTTACAAATTAAGTCACTGGAATTGGAGAATAGGCCCAGTTATGGCATTTTTAAGTGATGGGATCAATAGATGGGAAAGAACTAATTGTTTATGTGCACATGTGCCTAAAAGGTGGTACCTCTATTACATTATAGCCTCCTCTACTTGGCTACCAAAAAATGTTATATGGGCCAAAACTGGGATGTCATCAGCTCAAACCAATGATACAGATTTCAATTGTTAATTAATTGCCCAAAAATATTTATTTTGCAGGAGGTTTTATGGCCATTTCATTTTGAGAACTCAAGTCTTGGATTGGAACTGAGGATATGTAATAAAACCTCAAATAGATATAAATGTAAATTTGTGTACGTATATATTTAGGTGCACATATACATGTGTTCGTGCGCACATGGGTGTACGCACGCACACACACATACACACATTTTTCTTTACTCTGTCCAGTGAGAGTTTCTTGGAACACTGACATTGTTAATAGGAACTGGTACACCTAGTCCTAGATCTTGGATTCTAAGCACTACTTTCCAATAAAAGGAATTAGGGACTTTTGTGGAAATCAACCACCAGTTCCAAAGCTGGGGCTGGAGATGCACAAGATAGTCCTAGAATATATTTTTATGTCAGAAATCAAGGAAGCTCTCAAAGAATGAAGGGACATGCCAAGGGGATATACTGGCCAAATGTGAAGTAATTTGGACATCAAAATAAATAATAATTGTTTTTAACCCATAAAGTAAAATCCATAAATCCACACTGAAGATGAATGTGGAATAATAAATAAATAAATAAACAAATAAGAAAAGGAGAAAGTTTTTCTTTGCAGTAGGAAGTCAGTAATAAATACGGAGGCATGATATGTTCAGAAAATCACCATTTGACAACCGCTGTAGTAATAATTGTTTTAGGCAAGAATCATCGATGGGTAAAACTTTGATGGGAAACATTAATGAACAAAGTTAACATCACCATTAATGAGACAAATAGATATAATGTCCCTGCATCAACATGGCTTCTGTGGTGTTCCTGCCAAAAATGCATTGTGTGAATCTAAACATATAGAGGCTTCAGACAATCCCAAACTGAGTGCTATTCTGTAAAAGACACATGGCCACTACTCTTCAAAAAAATGAGTCGTGGAAGACAAAGAAAGAAAGAGTTATTTGTAATTAATGGAGAATAATGAGACAAGAAAACCAAGGGCAACATGAATACCAGATTGATCCTGGGCCAGTAAAAAATTACAAAACTTGACTAAAGTCTATGTATTAGATAATAGAACTGCACTTACATAAATGTTCTGATTTTGAAAATTGTACTCTGGTTTTGTAAGAAAATACCCTTATTTTTAGGAATTGTACACTAAGGTAATGGCGTATTTTCTTTGCAACTTACTCTCAAATGGTTCAAAAATGTTTACATACAGAGACAGAGAGAGAACATGATGAGACAAATATTGTAAGCATAAAATTATCTCAAAACAAAGAGTTAAGACAGATTCTTTAAAAGATGTATTTTTGGCAAAGTATCATACAACATCTGGGTACAATAAGCAAAAGTTTGCAGGCTATAAAATCACTGCCACAAGCAGATTACCACAGGCAGAATTACACACTGTCCCCTTCCCCATATGACAGAGTCAGCAGTAGCAAGGGCCGGCTTTCAGTGATGGTATCTCCACAATGTATTGGCAGAACAAGAAGGTCATTTGAAATTCGTCAGCTGAAGACATGCAAACACATGACATGGAGCTGGCTATTAATCTTGGTTCATTTTATAACAAAAGTGATCTCTAAAGGGCACCCACTAAGACAAACCTGCTTCAGAAAACAAAACCAATACAAATCCAGGGATCACTCAAACAGATCCCACGCTGGATTTAAAGTATGCTTTCCCAAACTATGGAACACAGTGGGCATGGAACAAAGTGAAGTATTAGGCAAGAGACATTTCCCTCCCTATAGAATGACAAGACACAAAAAACATGAGGTTTGCCCCAATACAGTCTTTTGGTAATCAGTTGTCACGTGAATGAATCTTACCTGAAAAGAATAGGGCATTGGTGAGTGGGAGATACCTTTATGGGAAAGCCAATAAGAGGGATATATTTTCCCTGCATCCAGTAGCAAGAAGTCTTACATAAACAGGAAATGGAGTTGTGTGCGCTTGGTTGCTGTAAATGTAGACTTCATTGAAGAAAGATGTCCCATGGCTATGTTTCCCTTGGGCTCTGGGAAAGAAAGCTTATATTAGGTTTGCTTCCTGACTTTTTATTGTCCATAAATGGCTGCTAGTGTAAGAATCCATGTTTCTGAAAGCATCCATTTTTTAAAAGTCCTCTCTCACTTTCTTTGCCTTAACTATTTCAAAACAATGGAGTTTCAATCTTGAAAGGAAGCTGAGAGCTCTGTGGGAAAGAGTGAGGGCTAACCCACTGAAATTGCTTGGACCTGATGCTTTGCTCTGTTGCTTGGCTCTTCCTCATGCTCCCCCATCTATGTCTGAAACTGTCATGTCAGTGCATTCATTCCCTGGTTCATTTATTCATTAATCCATATGTTCCTCAATCAGTCATTTACAGAGCACTTGCAATAGATCCAGCGCTGCTAGAAACGTTGAAGGGGAAAAAAAAAAGAAATGCAAGACATTGTATGTGAGGGGCCTAATATCCTGTTCATTTGTTACTCAAAGTTATTTATGCAAACTAAGAGGTCAATGTTCAGATGAGTTTCTTTCCTAAACTGACTGTGCATCCATGGAAGGGAGAGATGAAAAGAGAATAGAGTGGTTTGGAAAGGCAGAAAAAAAAGACACCAAACGATCCTGACAAGTAGTTGGAACTTGGAGAGTCAGACACACGTAGGAGGAACGGTAATCAACAGTTAGAAGGTCTGGCTAAGTACAGCTTGTTCAGAGAGCAGTGGTGAGATTGTTTCTAGTGTTATAGGACACATTAAGAAATAATTTTAGGCAGATAGAGAGGAAAAGTGGTCCTTGGAAAGTTGTTTCTTTTAAAGCAGCTCCAGAAATGTTTCTCGTCTATCAGGAAAGCCCCAGCTCTTAGAGGTGGGCAGGCAACCTTCGACATGCAAATGCAGACCATTAGAAACTGGTCCACCCAAACATGGCGATTCCGCCCTCTTCTTCTTGCATTTGCTCCCTCATGTGCCTGGCAACATGGCCACCCCCACATCTCCCCACATGTATAGAATATCCTGGCACCCTGCATTTTCATATTAAAAGGCTAGGGTGGGAGGGCCAGTTTTTTTCGAGGGCTACATGAATGACATGCCTGGTCAAACGAATCCCCTGAGCCCTATGCAAATCAGACATCACCTCCTCCAGCCTCTTCATATAACTGGCTGGCATCGGCCGCCCTGGGGGTTCCCTCTCTCAGCTTTGGAGACTCCGCCCCGCTCTGGCTCTGTACAGGGGAGCTTCTTCCTTCTTTCTTCTCCCTTCTTTCTTGCCTATTAAACTCTCCACTCCTTAAAACCACTCCACGTGTGTCCATGTCGTTTTATACAATTCGACATGAAACAAGAGCCCTGGTGTTCCTCCACTCACTGGAGCTGTATCACTAGGAAAGGCCGGCGAGAGAAAAGGTGGGAAAATTGTATCTTGTAATCTCCACAATGGTAGGCTCTATGTTGGCCATATCAAGAGTTCAACGCAAAATCCTCCCCTCTCTTCTTCCTTTTCTCTCTGGCTCTCTCCTTCCCTTTCCTTCTTCCGTCCAACATATTGCTGGGTAGAATACAATGATATTATTCAGGACTTTATATTATTATTCCGAGTATGTTGGAATTTAGCCTACAGAATGTAAGGGTGATGTTGCCCCAGATCACTAGCATACCCTCCATTCGTTTTTACTAGTTCCTCTATGATTTTATAACTGAAAGATCACAGTATTCTTTTAAAGAGGTTCCTGGTGTCAGAAGGGGGTCGTTTGAAGCAAGATAGCAGACCTAACTATTGGTAAGTTGATTTCATTCAGAAGGTAGGAAAAGCAAGGAGTTCCTCTCTCCTGTCTTCTCTTTCTCTTCTCCCCTAAACAGACAGAACATTTAAACTCAAGCAGTCCTGGGCTCTTACTCAAGACACACGGGAAACTGGTAGGGAAAATGAGAGATAGGATCATGTGCATGGCTATTTAAAAGTTTATTGCCCAATTAATTTGTTATGTATTCTTGGTAAAGCTCAGAACAATCTAACTTGGTCTCACGAGAAGAGAGTATGGTATTATCAAAAGAGAAGCAGGTCAGTTTGCAAAAGGCTATTTTGCTAATAGATCA
Organism: Homo sapiens; assembly: GCF_000001405.40. Classification (NCBI taxonomy): domain Eukaryota; kingdom Metazoa; phylum Chordata; class Mammalia; order Primates; family Hominidae; genus Homo; species Homo sapiens. Next base: position 40,088,690 of record NC_000008.11, read on the forward strand.
ATTTTAAAGTGAATTCCATTTGCCAAATTACTGATAATTTCTCAGTTTTAATTTTGCTTCAGCCTCTATCCAGCACTTGTATCTTATACCCCCTCTTATTCCTATCATTGCCGTTTTACATGTAAATGGATAGCATTTCCGTTTTTGCTTTTTAGTCTCTATTGTCATGGGTGTGAGTCCTACTACTGCTCTGCACTCTGTACCTGCTTTAGTCCCAGACGTTATCACAAATGTTACACTTTTTTTGGTTGTTGTTATTGAGATAAAGTCTCCCTGTGAGGCCCAGACTGGAGTGCAATGGCGCTATCTTGGCTCACTGCAACCTCCGCTTCTAGGATTCAAGGGATATTTTATTTATTTTATTTTATTTTATTTTATTTTATTTTGAGACAGGGTCTCACTCCGTCGCCCAGGCAAGAGTGCAGTGGTACAATCTGGGCTCACGGAAACCTCCGCCTCCCAGCTTCAAGTGGTTCTCCTGTCTCAGCCTCCCAAGTAGCTGGGATTACAGGCACCCACAACCACGCCTGGCTAATTCTTGTATTTTTAGTAGAGATGGGGTTTCACCATGTTGGCCAGTCTGGTCTCGAACTCCTGACCTCAGGTGATCTGCCCTCCTCGGCCTCCCAAAGTGCTGGGATTACAGGCGTGAGCCACCACACCTGGCACAAATGTTACACTTACACAGCGTCTAACACCATATATCTCAGCTCTTTCTATGCTAGCGTTTATAGGAAAGCCCAACTATTTTCATTTAAAAATAACGTAAGCTGGGGTAGAAAAAAATGTAGGAGCAAAACTGCTCCAAGAGTAGGAGGGGGAAGGGGCAAGAGTTATACATGAAAAAAAGAGTTTGAGAAGCACTTCAGCCATTTAATAATTGATTAAATACAATAATGGAATAAATTGATCATTCAGTTGGATTCATTTGCAGGTTCCTGGTTTTAAAGCAAATCAGTCGGGAACCAGTGAAAAGCCTTAAAGCTCCACGGTTAAAATATCTTCTCCACTTGGGATGATGGCCTTAACCTCCCTGTGGTCAGTTATAAGGTCTTGACTTATTTTGTTCCTCTATCCTTTAAGATAGACATGTCGCCCAAGTGACACAGAGGTCATTTTCAAAGTCTCTTCAAGAAGGGTTGTATGGACTTTTTTCATCAGTACTACACTTTATAGGTTTGTTGTTGTTGTTGTTTTGATGGAGTCTTGCTGCATTGCCAGGCTGGAGTGCAGTGGCACGATCTTGGCTCACTGCAAACTCCGCCTCCCGGGTTCAAGTGATTCTGCTGCCTCAGCCTCCCACGTAGCTGGGATTACAGGTGTGCACCATCACGCCTGGCTAAGTTTTTGTATTTTAGTAGAGACAGGGTTTCACCATGTTGGCTAGGTTGGTCTCGATCTCCTGACCTCATGGTCCACCCACCCTGGCCTCCCAAAGTGCCAGGATTACAGGCGTGAGCCAAGCCTCCTGGCCAGGGTTTGTTTTAAATATTAAAAGTGAAAAATCAATTCTTACAAATACATGAATGAGATTGAGATGTATTTCTTCTTTAACTTTTTTTTATTTGAAACAGTGCTTTTAATTGTTTCAGAAAGTTTAAGAATGGCTGGGAGTAGTGGCTCACGCCTGTAATCCCAGCACTGTGGGAGGCCGAGGAGGGCGAATCACCTGAGGTCAGGAGCTCGAGACCAGCCTGGCCAACATGGCGAAACCCCGTCTCTACTAAAAATACAAAAAAATTGCTGGGCATGGTGGCATGCACCTGTAATCCCAGCTATTCAGGAGGCTGAGGCAGGAGAATTGCTTGAGCCCCGGGAGGTGGGGGTTGCAGTGAACTGAGATGGCACCATTGCACTCCAGCCTGGGGGACAGAGTGAGACTCCATCTCAAAAAAAAAATAAAAAATAAAAAATAAAGTTTGAGACAACATTTCTCATGAATTCTTTGGATTCTTTGGGACTGGGGTAAGTGGAAAGGGCTGGGGACAAAGTTCGGGGTAGTAATTATGTTCTAGGACCATCCTAACAACATGATGCCATTCTTCTCTTCCAATAATTGTATCTCCCCTTTGTTTCTGAGAATTGTGGGCCTCACCCTCCATGACGCCTCACGTCGAAGGAACAATTTGCTGTTGTTTTCAAGATTTTGCTACACTGAAATCCATAGTCCATAAATCACATTTAAAGGAGAGAGTGGGCAGATGATTAAAATGCTTTTTCTAAATTCTCGGAACAGCCTTACCATGGAAGCATACTGACTATTAATCACCAAACTCAGCAGGACTGTAATCTTTGCCTTTTAGGAGGAGTCACAAGCATAACAGGTTTGAGTTGTATTGTGAGGCTGGTCATTGAGACTGCAGCATCAACAGGACATTTGTGCACACAGCGGGGCATCTGTCGACTTTTGCCAACAGAGGCATGTGTGAACATTTAAAAAAAAAATAAACCTGTTTACAACAGTTTTAGATTTACAGAATTATTGTGAAGTTAGTAAAGAGAATTTCCACATACTCTAACCCCGTTTCTTTGATGATTAAGATTTTATATTAGTATGACACATTTGCCCTAATTAATGAACCAATATTGATACATCATTATTAAGTAAAATCAATGCTTAAATCAGACTATCTCAGTTTCCCCCTTGTGTCTTTTTACCTTTCCAGGATCCCATCCAGGAAACCACATTATATTTAGTAGCTGTGTCTCCATAGGCTCCTTTTGGTCATGACAGTGTCTGTGATTTTCCTTGGTTTTGATCATCTTGACAGGTTTGAGGAGTTCTGGTCAGGTATTCTCTAGAATGTCCTTCAATTGGAATTTGTCTGGTGTCTTTTTCATGATTAGGCTATGTGAACCCTGAAAATTTGAGACAGGTCTCAGTTAATTTAGAAAGTTGATTTTACCAAGGTTGAGGATGCCCGACTGTGACACAGCCTCAAGAGGTCCTGATGACATGTGCCCAAGGGGGTCAGGGCACAGCTTGATTTCATACATTTTAGGGAGACAAGAGACATCAATCAATAGATATAAGACATACACTGTTTTGGTCTGGAAAGGCGGGACAACTCGAAGCGGGGGCAGGAAGACTCTAAGCCGGGGAGAGGGCTTCCAGGTCACAGATAGGTGAGAGAAGCGGTTGCATTCTTTTAATTTTTTTTTTTTTTTTTTGAGACAAAGTCTAGCTCTGTCGCCCAGGCTGGAGTGCAATGGCGCGATCTTGCCTCACTGCAACCTCCACCCCCTAGGTTCAAGGGATTCTCCTGCCTCAGCCTCCTGGGCAACTGGGATTCCAGGCACCCACCACCACGCCCAGCTAATTTTGTTTTTAGTAGAGATGGGGTTTCACCATGTTGGCCAAGCTGGTCTCAAGCTCCCAACCTCAAGTGATCCACCCACCCTGGCCTCCCAAAGTGCTGGGATTACAGGCTTGAGACACTGCCCGGCCTGTTTTGAGGTTCTGATTAGCCTTTCCAAAGGAGGCAATCTGATATGCCTTTGCCTCAGTGAGCACAGGGATAACTTTGAATAGAATGGGAGGCAAGCCTGGGATAATGTATTTTGGAAAGAAAGACAACAGAGGTAAGCAAGCCCACAGAATTCCCTCTCATCATGTCTCATAGAGGGTGCCTGCTGTTGCATGACTTATGACTTTGATGGTCATCTTGATCACTGGGATCGAGGTAGTGTTTGTCAGTTTCTCTCCTGTAAAGCTGTTCTTTCAACTCCTTCCCTGCTGTGAAACCAAAGGAAATGACTGACAGTCTCCATCAATTAGAGGCTTATTTTTGCCAATATTGAGGATGCGCCCAGGAAAAAGAGACACAGGCTGCAGTAGAATCTGCGGCCCATACTTTTTCCAAAGATGATTTTGAGGGCTTCAGTATTTAAAAGAGGAAAAAGTAGGTAGAAGGGGAAAGGAGGAACCAAAACAGAACAGTGTAGACAAAAGCAGCAAGTGGTTGCATTCTCTTGGGATTTTCATCAGCATTCACTGAATTTACCTTGTACATGTGAAAGGAGTGGGCAGAGGCTGGGTGTGGTGGCTCACGCCTTTAATCCCAGCACTTTGGGAGGGCGAGGTGGGCAGATCACAAGGTCAGGAGTTCAAGACCAGCCAGACCAACACGGTGAAACCCCGGCTCTACTAAAAATACAAAAATTAGCGGGGCGTGGTGGTGGGCGCCTGTAATCTCAGCTACTTAGGAGGATGAGGCAGGAGAATCGCTTAGACCCAGGAGGTGGAGCTTGCAATGAGCCGAGATCTTGCCACTGCACTACAGCCTGGGCAACAGAGCGAGAGTCCACCAAAACAAACAAACAAAACAAAACAAAACAAAAAGAACAAACAAAAAACAAAAAGAAAGGAGCAGGCAGAGGCATTGGTCTGCTCAGTGAATCTGCGTTTTTGCATGAAAGAAAGTAAACATAGAGTAGAGGAAGCAGCCAAATATGCTTCAGTCTCCGGTGAGCAGATGGATGACTTCTGTTCCTGTCTCTGTCCTGTCTTTTACCTGTGAAAAGAAGCTGTTAATTTACATTGTCGGGATGAAATTCAACAGAACTCCGTTTTAGGGTAAAGATCTTGGGGCCCAGAAAGAATGTCCTTGTGAGGACATTGTGAGGGAAGCCCCCTGGGAAGGTATGTGGCTTCTGTCTTTGCAGTTACCTATTTAGGAAGAAAATGGGAGGCAGTTTTGCCTGACTCAACAGACTTAACTTTTCCCTTGGCACAGTGAGTCTGGGGCCTCGAGATTGTATTTTCCTTTCTATACCTTACTCACTCCTTGGAAAGAGGTCACTATGTGCAGCTCACATTCACAGAGTGGAGAGTTACAGTTCACCTTCTTAAGAGCGGAGTACCTACATATGTTATTTTGAATTCTTCCACATGGGAAATGTATCTATTCTCCCCATTTATCTATTTATTCAACCATTTATTTATGTAAGTGTGGATTCAAGGATATTTAGTTTATATTTTGGGCTATAATCCAATACTACTTTATTTATTTATTTTTTGCTCACATTGGTCTAGCCTTGACCATTAGGAGTTCTTTCATTTGGCTCCCATATTCTTTTGGCAAGCCTTCATCAATGTGGGCTTTTTTTTTTTTTTTTTTGAGACGGAGTCTCTGTCGCCCAGGCTGGAGTGCGGTGGCGCGATCTCGGCTCACTGCAAGCTCCGCCTCTCGGGTTCAAGCAATTCTCCTGCCTCAGCCTCCTGAGTAGCTGGGACTACAGGCGCCCGCCACCACACCTGGCTAATTTTGTTTTTGTATTTTTAGTAGAGACGGGGTTTCACTGTGTTAGCCAGGATGGTCTCGATTTCCTGACCTCGTGATCCACCTGCCTCAGCTTCCCAAAGTGCTGGGATTACAGGCGTGAGCCACCACGCCTGGCCCAATGCAGGTTTTTTATTGTTGGAGAACTTCCTTGCTTTCTGGCACTACAAGATGATCCAAGCCCATCTTGTATATTTCCTTCCCCAATCCAAGGATCTGCCATTTCTTCAAGGAACCCTGGCTCCTTTGATTGAAGAATGATAATAGAAACCAAGATCAGTGTGCTTGTTGCTACTGTGATGTTCATGTAAACCTTTAGAATCTGAGTTTCCTCTGGAATTTCTATGCTGATTCATTAAAAATGCCAACGTGTTTATTATTCACTGTCCACACGCCTACCAATTCTGGGATTATGAGATAGTCTGAGTACTTTGTCAACATCAATTCTTAGAATTCTTAAAATAGCATGAAGAAAATCTAATCTCTGGAAGTGGATGAGGATAAAATGTAATTTGAGGTGGCAGTAGGAGAAATGTGAAAATTACTGTTTTATGTTAATATTGTGTCAACAAGCAGGCTTCTTCAATTATAAGGTAAAAACAATCTTCCTCTTCAGAGAAAGGGAAATAAAACTGCTTTGTATAGGAAGATTTATTTTCTGAACTGTCTCTGGATTGTTTCTGCATACTCAGTCCAATTTGATGTAAATTTAGAGAGCAAATAGATTTACCTTTTGTAGACCACCACCACCTTCCCCCACCTAGTTTCTCTGCATTTATTTTTTATACAGTAAATATGATTTGAGCACCTAGTATGAGGACAAGTCAAAGAAGTCCATGATTCTGGCTCTTATTGCTGCATCAGAAGTTGTCCTAAAGCTTCGTAGTACAAAACGACAGCCATTTTATTTTGCTCACTGTTTTGTGGATTGGAAATTCAGGGAAGGTTCAGCTGAGGCAGGTGAGGAGAGAGCTGAGAGAACCTGTAGGCTAGAACCATCTGTGTGTCTCTGCTGGAGAAATAATGGGCGATGCAAAACAGGACAGTTTGCATTCCTCCTTCCTCCTTCCTGCCTCCTGGTGCCTCCCCTTGCCAGGAACGAATCAGAAGCAAAATGGCAAGGGAGTCTCCAGCGCCAGCATCACATAGCAGGCAACAGAGGGTGGACTTGAAGATGAGAGAAAGTAGAACATCACTAGCACAATCAAACTTTATGAATAGCCAAAAGCTTCTTTAAACACCAAAACTCGTTTTTCTATTCTGTTCTGTTCTGTTCTATTCTATTCTATTCTATTCTATTCTATTCTATTCTATTCTATTCTATTCTATTCTATTCTATTCTATTCTAATGTTAGAGACAGGGTCTCACTCTGTTGCCCAGTCAGGAGTGCAGTGGCACGATCTTGACTTACTGCAACCTCTGCCTCCCAGGTTCAAGCGATTCTCCTGCCTCAGCCTCCCAAGTAGCTGGGATTACAAGCATGTGCCACCATGCCAGCTATTTTTTGTATTTTTAGTAGAGATGGGGTTGGTCAGGCTGGTCTTGAACTCCTGAACTCAGGTGATCCACCAGCCTCAGCCTCCCAAAATGCTGGGGTTACAAGCATGAGCCACTGCGCCTGGCCACAAAACTCATATCCATTTTAAATGGAAAATTTGGACTCTTCTTCACTGAATATTCTAAATTTAATTTTTCTTGGTGTCTTATCAAGAATCAGCTGGTGTTTTTTTTTTTTTTTCTGTTTATAATACATTATTTCCTCAAGGCCTATTTTGTTGTGTAAGATTCCTCACCCTTCCCTCAAAATCAAATGTTCTGTGTTCTTTGAGATATTTCTCATTTGTTTAGTTTTTCTTTCTTTTGCCAAAGAGTTGCAAATGCTTTGTATCAGTGCAGAAAGTAAGGCCTGCCTGTTTCTATATTCTAATTCCTATATTTTAAACTGATGTTGGCTCAGCTATCAACTATGAAAACCTATTGAAAATAGTATAAAATAACTGTAAATGGGCTTGAATAAATACCTAAAGAGTTTGTCTGTAGGTCAGGTGGATCAGTCTCACTGCAGGCACCAACTTCATAGTCACTTAGAGACTTGGCTTTTAAATTTCGGATATTTAAGCCTGCTGGACAACTGATACATGATTTAAGTCAATGTTTGTATACAAAATATTTTCAGTACTTCTCTCTTTTTTTTTCTTTCTGTATTTAGGGAAAAACAAGTTAAAATTTAACTCTGAAGACAATTGTTTTCCTAACATTTGGCCATGTTATAACTGTTAGATGCTAGTGTTTAGAAGATCTGTGAAGAAACTAATATTTTTACTCAACTAGTCTCCAGGTATCTAAGCAGCAACTGATTTCAGAGATGACATGAGAAAGTTGTCATGCAAAAATATCTTGAAGAGTAAGCCTTGATGGCCAATTGTACCTTCCACAATTATGGACTGATTGATTTTTATATTTCTTGTATTCTTGGGCTGCACAGTAACCTAAAAACATATTTCTGCATAATCTGTGGATCACTCTTAAAAGCTCTTAATATGATTCTCAAAATGTAGCTAATAAATTTTATCAAAGAAAATATCTTGATTTAGCAGAGTCTATTTAAACACAAAGAAAAATTATTTCTCTTTGATGAATGGCAGGTTTGATTTTCACTGGATCCTTCTCAGTCAAATCTTTATCCTCCCTCTTAAGGAAGATTATGCCATTTTAGATTGTTTTATTCAGTGCGGATATGCCTTTGTCAGCACAGAAATATGTCTGGATAACATATTTTATACCCCAATATCTGCACTTTCTTTTGGAGTTATTTTTAGGGTGCAGATTTCCCTTTCTATGGATTTCATTCTTCTGAATCTCTAATTGAAGAATACTGTATTTAAATTCAGAGTCCTGTGAATGGACTAGAAGGAATCTCTGATCTCTGAGGTCATTCAGTGAAACATAAGTTGTTCTTGCAATAGGAGGTATATGCAGTTGTATATTATAGATTGCACATTCACAGAATAAGTTCTTATTCAAATATATATATATATATATATATATATATATATATATATATATATTTACTTATTTTTTTTTTCTTGGAGACAGGATCTCGCTCTGTTACCCAGGCTGGAATACAGTGGCACAATCATAGCTCACTGCAGCCTTGAACTCCTGGGCTTGAGTGATCCTCCCACCTCAGCCTCCTGAATAGCTGGGATTATAGGTGCATGCCATTGCACTCAGATAATTTTAAATATTTTTGTAGAGATGGGATCTCACTATGTTGTGCAGGCTGGTCTTGAACTCCTGGCCTTAAATGATCCTCCCTCCTAAGCCACCCAAAGTGCTTGGGATTAAAGAGGTGAGATATTAATGAGATAGCTGAAAAAAAACAGGTTTGGACTGTTGAAATCATGAGAGGAAATAGGAGCCATATTTTTTAAAAAGTGTGCAACAATGAGGAAAAGATAGAGAATAGTACTCTGGGGACAAAGGAAAAAAAATGAGGAAGTGTTCAGAGGGTTAGAAAGAGAATCATAAGAAAGTGATACCACAAAGTGAGGGGAACATTTTCAAGTAAAAGTGAGTGTTCAATTGAAAGATCAAAGAAGAAGAGAACTGAACATTAGTAACTGATAGCTCTTTCATCTGACTCTAGACAAATAAAATGTGACAACTCCATTTAAACTCGGATGTGTCTAATTCTACAACCTGCGATCTTTCTATCATACCATACTACTTGCTATTAAAACAAACATACAAACAAACTCGAGGTGCTGAAAAGACCAGTCAAATACCTACTAATAAATACATGCACTAATTAAATGAATACTGATTTCATGACTGCTTTGATCCAGCACTATTCTAGACACTAAATGTAGAGTGCAAATAAAGAGGATGTGATGTCGGCACCTTATAGAGCTTCCAGTCTTGGGAAGTGGATAGATATCAATTAGTCATATTTAATAAGTATTATGAAGAAAAAATAATATGAGGATATAATAAAAATAATAAAAGGATCTATCAGGACCCAACCTGGTGTGAACTTCAATTATGGCATCATATTTGAGCTGAGGTCTTGCAAATGGTAGAAGTCAGTGAGGTGGGATGGGCAGGGGTGAGGATTTGCATGATAAAAAGAGAATGACGATGAAGTGCTGAGAAACTGGGCTAGAGAGTTCAGCATGGCCAGATTATGCAAAGCTTGGTAAGCCAGGTTTGAAGGTATCTATTTAAGTGTAAGGAGAAGCCTTTATAGAGTTATTATATTTAATTTCCACACTGCATTCTGACTCACATCATCCTATTTTGAAAAGAATTGTTATGACATTTCCTGGTAGTAAAATGCAGCTACAGATGACTTTTTTCTTCCTCTTTGTGAAGCCAATTTATCACTCCGTTGATTTACCTTTATAACATCAGCACCATAATAGCTATGATTTAGGACAAATCCTAGAGTTAGGAGAACACTACTGGTAACATCTACCCTGTGGATGCAACCACACCAATGTAGTATTAGAGTAGAGATGAAAGTGAGAGTAGAGAGGAAAGTGGGAATTGAAGAGACAGTGAGCTTCCTTTGTCTAAAATATAGTAAATTCAGCTGTGAATATACATTTTTCTTTGGAGAATGTAATGCCAAACTTGGCCTAGCAAGAATTAGGGGGCTGGGCACAGTGGTTCACGCCTGTAATCCCAGCACTTTTGGAGGCCGAAGCGGGTGGATCACTTGAGGTCAGGAGTTTGAGACCAGCCTGACCAACGTGGTGAAACCCCATCTCTACTAAAAATACAAAAAAAAAAATTAGCCAGGCTTGGTGGCATGTGCCTGTAATCCCAGCTACTTGAGGGGCTGAGGCACGAGAATCGCTTGAACCCGGGACACGGAGGTTGCTGTGAGCCGAGATTGCACCACTGCACTCCAGCCTGGGCAATAAGAGTGAGACTCTGTCTCAAAAAAAAAAAAAAAAAAAAGAATTAGGGTGACAATCACAAACCTAAAATATCTCTTGTAGTCTGGGGACTCACCAAATCAGTTTACCATGTGAGTGTTTGCCTGAGACACAAAATGATGTGGCTCAGTTGAGCAATTGCCCTAAACCCCACTCAGTGGGGACGGGAGTTGGGAGATCCTCTAGATTAGCACTGTTGGAATTGTGATTATAGTCATGACTTAGCTCTATTCTTTTTATTATTTCCTGGTCCCACCTAGATTCAGTCACTCCCCAGTTCTTATCTGAGAAACTCCCATATTTGTTCTTTTTATTTTTTTCTATTCAGGGCAAGTTGCTATGCAAAACACAGTATGTCTCACGACTGCATCATCTACACTAAATTCTTCAAGTCCCTCTCATCAGCTTGGGCCTGTTTTCCATGCTATAATCCTACATTTCCAGTTGCTTACAGGATATGCATGTGAATACCATCTGTTATGGGTGGAATTATGTCTCTCCAAGATTCATATGTTGAAGTACTATACACCTGTACCTCAGAATCTATTTGGAGATTCAGTCTTTTAAGTTGTCATTAAGGTAAAATGAGGTCGTATGGGTGAGACCTAATCCAGTATGATACATATCTTTATAAAGAGAGATTAGGACATAGACACACATAAAGAGAAGGTTAAGTGAGGACAAAGGGAGAAGATGGCCACCTGCAAGCTGAGGAGAGAGACGGCAGAAGAAATCAACCCTGGCACCACGTTGGTGTTGAACTACACTCCACAATTGTGAGAACATGAGTTGATGTTGTTCAAACCATCCAAACTATGGTAGTTTGTTGTGGCAGCCCAGCAAACGAACACAGCATCCTGGACTCAAAGTCATTTTACAAGACTGAGTCAGCCCATCACCTTCCTCTAAGAGTAATTCCTCTTTCCCAAGACTAAAATTACAAACTCTTACTCAGCATCTGTTGTGGATTTATTAGGTGTCAAGCACTGGGGGTAGTCCCTGCCCTCATAAATCCCATTCCACTACAGCTCCCCTCAGCTCATATCTCTCACTGACACTTCCATTATCTCTACCACCCTGACTGCAAACCGTGCAGTCCTTTGCTATTTGTCCATCTTTCACCTTTCGTTTCTACTCAGTCATAGATTTCCAATGAGTGTTTCATGGCATGCTTACTGCATTTCGTGAGACTGCCACGCCTTCCCTGAATTACTGGTGTAGTCTCCTAATGGGTTTCTCCTTTTCCTGGTCTTTGCCTTCACTTATCTTCTATCTGTTCTGTATACCAAATATTCTGCAAACATAACTTTCACCACGTTACTCACCCTCCTTTCTCAAGAACCTCTCTTACAGGAAAGGTAAGGATAAATGTGTGTCAGTCTGAGTCACTTAGAAGTGAATTTTATATTTGATGTTTCAACATAGGCAGGGCTTCACCTGTAGATGAGTATCTGAGGTCTCTCATTGATGAATGTCATATCTTTCCATACAGTCTTCATCACATTGGCTTCTTGGGCTAGCAAGTAGTGTTCACATTTTGAGTTAGGTAAATGTTTGAACTGTTCATTGCTTTGACAACTGCACTTTTTCTCTGTAAGTTTTCTAAAGTTGCATATATAATCATGATCAATCCAGATCCTAGAAATAATTTAAGTCATAATGGAGTATGAGTCCACCATTGTAAATTTCACTGCCTTAAACTTCTTTTATATATTAAAATTATTTCTAAATTAATTTTACTTCTAAATTAAATGTCTCCCTTGAGAGGCACTGCAGTGTAGTAGATGAAAACACAGACTCTGAATCTGGAATTTCTGTTTTCAAATACTGGTACTGACACCTAGTAAGCTGGATTACTTGGGTGAGCTGTAAACTTTCTGTCCCCAGTTTCTGATTACAACGATACTTATCACCTAGGGTTGATATGAGAATAAAATGAGTTAATAAATGTACGGTGCATATATCAATTCATATAATAATATAAATGTATGCTCTTAAGAGAATATAAATACAGAAGTCCTATCTTACCTGCCCTCTCAAATTATGCACTAGGAACCACAAGTCTCATTTGTTAGCTCCACCATTTGCATTTTTTTTTCAAAGCTCACCCTTCACCAGACCCCTCCAATGACATCACAATAAAGAAAGAGGCTTGGCACACTCAAACACACCAATTCAGTGGTGATATAAAAATGGTGAAAAAGAGTGCAAATAACTTTTCAGAAGATTGGCTTGGGGTTTATGGTGTTGCATGTGAATGGGTGAATGCTAAAATAAACCCACGCTAACATGAAGACCAAGCTAGTGCTTGGTGTAGATGAGGAAGATCACAAAAATGCTGTTTCTCCTGCTTCGGGAAATGCTGACCTCCTTCAGATCAACACGAAAGATCAGGGGCCAGATCTGTCCTTTCCATCAGACAGAATTCCTTATATCTGACCTAATCTATGTGCTACAGGCTAGAGTGAAAATATCTCCTTCTCTCTTTCCCTGTCCCCCTTTCTCAATTAATTTCCCAAAACCTGTATGTAAATTGATCTTCACAAAAGTAAAAAGAAGAATGACCCAGTATAACTCACTGTTTTGTCATTTCCTCCAGGTTTTCTTTCTTTTTTCCTATTTGTTTTTCCACTGATCAATTTTTCTATCCACGAAATTAGAAATCAAAATTCCATGACCTCTAAAATGCTGTCCACATATTGTAATCTGTTGCCATGAGCTTGACACTTGTCAGGAGTTACAAAGAATATTAAAATTCCCCCTTTCTGGGAATATTTGGTCTAAGTCGGAAAGATAAACAATACAATTAAAACAATACATTGTATTTTTTTTTTTAACCAAGGAATGTATTTTGCTATGAATGGCAAATAACATAAGAGAAACTGTAAATGTGGTAGAGAGGAAACAATGATTACTAAGATATTTGGGGATTCTGGAAGAGTTTGCCTGAGCTGAACTCTGGAAATCAGAAGTGAGGGAGAGGAAGAAGGAGAGGAAGGAACATTCTAGGAGGGAAAACTGAACTAGGCATTTTGTGGGACACCTGGAGGATCACGAGGTTGAGGACATGCCAGGGGGAATTCAGATTTCAGATAAGAGGCTTGTGGAAAAAGTTCAAAGAGGAATATTGAGACCACATTATGAGGGATTTTAAATACCAGGCTGGGAGTCTGTGCTCTGCTTTTAGGTTAATGCTTCTCAAAAATTTCCCTAAGGGAGATAGGAATATTGTCTCATTTGACTGCAAAAATTTTAAAGTTTTATCTAACAATGTATAATGGATTATTTTTAAAGCTAAACTAATGTCCATGAATGTTGCATTCTATTGCATCTTATTTATTTTAGTTGTTCTATAACAATTATGATTTTCTTTCATTGAAACTTCCAGAAAAATCCAAGCTGCAGGATATGTCTTTTCTTAGAGCTTTAATTAGAGCTTTAAGTACCCCCCGATATTTCTAAGAATCCTTGAGGTAAGAGCATTCCAAATAAAAAGCACCAGCCTTAGGCTACAGAAAACCACTATAAATATTTTGAAAAGAGACTCATACACTAGCTGAAGGTAAGACATATTTTTTTTTTTTTTGAGACAGTATCTCACTCCTGTTGTCCAGGCTGAAGTGCAGTGGCGCGATCTCAGCTCACTGCAACCTCCACCTCCCAGGCTTAAGCAATCCTCCCATCTTAGCCTCCCAAATAGCTGGCACTAGTAGGGGCAAGCCACTGTGCTGGGCTAATTATTTTTTTTTTTTTTTGGAAAAACTGATTTTCACCATGTTGCCCAGGCTGGTCTCTAACTCCCAGGCTTGAGCAATCTGCCCGCCTTGGCCTCCCAAATTGCTGGGATCACAAGTGTGAGCCACTGCACCAGGCCAGGCACACTTTAAAAAGGAAACAAGAGCTGCAGGCAAATGCCAACCTGTTCTGTTCTTGGGGATCTTTCCTTTTCTTAAGCTTTCCCTATGCAGGACAGAGGTGAAGATCACCACCACAGTCATTGCTAAACATGGACAATCTTTACCTCTTCAAATCATTGGCACATACATTATTTCATTTTTATTTCAGCATATTCTTCCAAGAATGGATCAGAGGCCAATAGAGGGCTACACTGGGGAATGTTATTTCCCCACCTGGAAAAATATATGCATTTTGCTCCTTATTTGAGACCACTGTTTCTTTATTAAAAAGTCAAAAGTTTATTTGAGAATGATTCTATCTTGTTAAATAATAAATTTTCGGGTACAGATCTTCACTCGGCAACAATGAGGCCTTTCTTATTTGGTGAGATAATACTACTTTCCCTTAATTTACTTGTTTGAACCTGGCTGAAAACATTGCAATTGAGACTTTTCCTGCATGTTGGCTGGGCCCAGCTTCTGAGAGCGGGACAGGGATGGTTCCTTGGAAGGGTGGATGTTCTTGAGGCTGTGGGAGAAATTAATTCTCAAAACAGGGTGTCCATGTTGCCTGTGCTTTTGACTGACAACCTTGATTTACATGATTTACGTTGCTTTGATGTCTAGCATATGATATCTTTTCATGATTTACAACTGGGGATATAAGGCACTACAGGGATGTTCATGTTTCTTCTTATTGCTATTTCTTTTTCATCCATGCAGTGACCCCAAACCTAGCAAATGGTATAGGCTGAAACTCTGGATGTGGGCAAGAGAAGGGGGTAGGGGGAGTTGTCTTATTTGAGACCCATGACCTTTGAGTTGGAAACTTCTCTTATAAATAGGTAATTATAAAAGTTGTGATTTAATGGGGGCCCTGAAAGGCTCTCTGACCCCAAATATCTCTCTCTGCCTACCTGCCAAGAATCTGCCAAAATTAAGTCTTTCATAAGTCTCTTATTAAGGCATAAATACTTTGGGGCATTTATGGAGGACTTGGGGAGGTGATGTTGAGGTTAAAACCCAAGTTGATTTTAGCCCCGTCATGGAATCTTAGAAACTTTTAGGAGCCTAATAAATAAGAGGTCAATCTATTCAAAGTTCCACCTAGGACAAAAATGCTTTGTAATTGCTAAAAGTTATTCACCCAGCTTCAGACAAGCAGAGTAAAGACCTAGAAATTCACCAAGTGATGAAGCAATTTCTTCCATTATTACACCATAATAATGGTATTTGTTTAACAATTATTATACTATGCAACTCTCAGCACACTTGTTCATCTATATTACTTATTTACTTCTGTGTGTTGAGCCCAAATCTGCCAACATGTGACTTCCATCCTTTGATCTCATTTTCTGGGAGCAACACAAAAAAAATGTGGCTTCCTTGAAAGTTCTTCATGTATTTAAAGATCACTCTCAAGCCTGCAGTCAACCTGGAGTAGGCAGATGAAGCAGCTGGGGAAAAGACCTCTTGACCTACCAACAAACAGTAAGCACTTAGGGGAACAAATGAAAAACTATATGTGCATAAGGTTACTTATAGAAGCTTGAATAGAAAAAAAATCACAATAACTTAGATGACCATCACTGGGAGATTAGTTAAGAAAATTACCATGTATGTTTATCATGTGATGTGGTGCAACTACAGTCACATGTTACCCAACAATAGGGCTATGTTCTGAGAAACGTATTAATGGGTGATTTTATCCTTGTGCAAACATCAGAGTGTACTTACACAAACCTGCATAGCATGGCCTACTACACACCTTGGTTATAAGGTATAGCCTATTGTTCCCAAGCTACAAACCTGTACGGCATGTTTCTTTACTTAATACTATAGGTAATTGTAATACAATGGTAAGTATTTGTTTATCTAAAATACACAAATTGTCTATGTATAGGACACTTACTACGAACGGAACTTGCAGGACTGGAAGTTGCTCTGGGTGAGTGAGTGAGCGAATGAGTGAGTGAATGTGAAGGTCTAGGACACTCCAATACCCTACCATAGATGTTACAAACACTGTGTGCTTCGGCTACACTAAATTATTTTTAAAATTTTATTTCCTCAATGATAAGTTAACTATGGGCACATATTCTCAGGGCCTCCTGGGGCTGTGTCATGGGCAAAAAAAAATCTTAAGTAATAATAATAATAAATTAACCTTAGCTTACATTTTTACTTCATGAACTTTTAAATTTTATTTAACTTTTTCGTAATAACACTCAGCTTAAAACATAAACACATTGCAGAGCTGTACAAAAATGCTTTCTTTCTTTATATCCTTATTTTATAAGCTTTCTATTTTAATTTTTTATTTTGATTTTTTACTTGTTAAACATTTTTGTTAAAAACTAAGACACAAACACACACATTAGCCTAGGCCTACACAAGGTCAGGATCATCAATATCACTGTCTTCCACCTCCACACCTTGTCCCACGGGAAGGTCTTTAGGGGCAATAACACGCATGAAGCTGTCATCTCTTGTGATAGCAATGCCTTTTTCTGAAATCCGTTTTGAAGGACTTGCCTCAAACTTTTTGCACATAGAAGGAGTATGCCCTAACATAACAATAAAATGTATAGAACAGTAAATGCATAAGCCAGTAACATAGTCATTTATTATCATTACCAAACATTACACACTGTACATGATGGTATGTGCTGGAGTTTTACACAACTGGCGGTACCAGCATCACCACAAACACATGAGTAATGCATTGCTCTACAATCTTATAACAGCTACATGGTCAGTAGGTGACAGAAATGTTTACAACTCTACCATAATTTTACGGGACTACCTTCATAAATGTAATCTGTCATTGACCAAAACATCATTATGTGATGGATGACTGTATTAAAAATGAGGATGTAATGATACATTTTTGACCAGAAAAATATTCATGGCATATTGAGTAAAAGAAACTGTTCATAAAACAGGTATATGATTCTATTTGGAAAAATTATAAACATATATATATATCCATTTTTATAAATATGCAAGAAGGGATAATTAATAACTAACCTATGGTTAATATTGAATGGCATTTGGATGGTGGGATTGGAAATATTTTCTTGAATTTTTCTTCTTTATATATGTCAACAGAAACCCTTTATGATTTTTTTTCCCAAAAGCAATATAGCTATTTTCAAAATAAAACGAGAACAAATGACTGCTTAGTGCGCAGTTGGTATTCAGTACACATTCATTGAACTGAAACTGGAAGGTGAAAATAAAACATTACCTAAGTCCTGTAAGAACAAAGAGAGAGAGAGAAAAAGAGTGGTGTATGTGTGTGTGTGTGTGTGTGTGTGTGTGTGTGTGTGTGTGTGTATGTGTCTGAGAGAGAGAGAGCTTGAAAAATAAAAGAAAAATTTGTTCAGGGTGGCCTAAAAGGAACAATGGAAACAAATTAAGTAAAATGTCAAAGCTGAATTAAAAAGATAAAATTCCCAATGAGAGATAATCTGGATGGTGGAACTGAACTGCATAGGAAGTAAGCAAGAGCTTCCAAAACTCAAACTATTGTTTGAGTTTTGGAAAAACAAAAACAAAACTAAAACTTTTCCAGTTTCTGAAAGTTGACCTTTCAGAAACCCATCTTCATTTCTTCCATTTGTTCTAAGGATACTGAAAAGGGTCAAAATTATGTGTCGGATTTCTCCTACATGGCTTAAGCCTAAAGTGAAGCATCTCCGTGTAGAAGAGTGGCCACTCTGGGACTAATCTGGGCACAGCACAGCCTTTCCTCCCAGTGGAATGTGTTCTTTGTCAGATTCTAGCCTCAGGCCTTTGCAGCTGGCTGTGCCCCAGTCTGTTGGGTACATCATGGAAAATGAGATCCTGTATTAGCCACATGTGGGCTGTATTTGAACAGTATGTTATGGCCTCCTGCCTGTGTGTAGGTTTTGAGAAGGTCAAGACACATCTGGTTCTAGTCTATCCTCACAGTTGGAGCAGGAAGAAAGTGGGTTCTGAAGATACTGGTTTCTGACCACTAAGGAGGGGGCTGTGAGGTTGTCTTTTATAGACTGAGTACATAAAAGCATTTTAACATTTCTTCTTTCTCCTTTTTATTAACGAAAGCTGGTCTTTGAAACTCACGTTTCAAGCCACAAATATAAAACCCCAAACCAACCCTTGGCACTGGACTCATTATCCAGGCTCATCACAGCACCTTAAGACATGATAGTACTCTATTTGGAAATATGTAGCCCCTGACCTCAGGTCCAAAAGTCTTCCCATGCCCCAACAATCTCAAGCCCCCCCAAAATAAATAAATAAACAAAAACAAAAAACCCATTTTTTTAGTTGACACTGCTTGCTCTATAACTGTAATCATATTTTTACACCCCCAGTTTCTCCTTGCCTCTGCTCATTTCTTACTGTGACCTGCATTCAACATCTTCATTTCGCCGCCTGTCTTCAATCTACCTTCAACTGCTATGCTCTGACTTTCACCCTGACCACCCCATTAAATTCAGCTGCTCCATCCAAGGGGGCTTATTCTCAAATTCCACATCCATCTTTGACATCGGTGAAATGTTTGACTCTGGTATCCATCTACTTCTTGAAGCTCTTCTACCTGTTTCCATAACATTGCATCATCCTGCTTCTCCTCCTATTTCTCTTCCTTTTCCTTCACTCTGCCTTCATGACACATTTTTCTCTTTCACTACAGGTCTTCATAATCCCCTCTGCTCTTCTTGTTCATTCTAATTCCCTTGGAGAATTAGCCACTATCAATATATCAATATTTTTACATAGATTGTACCATTCCACTCATAGTACTCACCAAATACATCTAGCTGAATGTTGCATGTCATCAGAAACTTAACATGCCTAAATCAAACTGGTCTCCTCACCCGAACCCATACTCAGATTACAAATTCATTCCCAGTGGTCTTGCTCTTACTACCATCTTCTCAATCTTGAAGGACAGAACCTTTATGATTATATTTTATTTTTCCAACTCCTTCTTTTATATGTCTGTATTTCCCTCAAAATCTTCTTCTTTCTTTGAAATTACCATTCAAGTGATCTCCCTGTCCATCTCTCCTTTCAGGTCACAGGTCTGTAATTTTGAAATACAGCATGTGCACAAAAGAGAGTATAAAATTCATGTGTCTAATTACAAGAGTAAACAACAAAATGAACACCAGTGAATTGACTGCCAGATTAAGGTATTGAACATTTTCAGAACAATGCTGCAGTTGTGAGTTACTCCAAAAGTTTGTCCTCTCTGCATACGATTCAACTGGTACACTGCAGTCAGACTAATTCTCTTGAAATACTACCTGTATTGAATTATTCTATTTCTCAAGAACATATGATGATTTACTTTTGGTAAGTGAAAACTGCTAAGTTTTCAGTGTAGTTTTCAAGGCTGTCAAATATCCAACCCTGTCCAATTGCTTCTACTTTTTAATTTAGTAGCCCACCGCAGAAATCAAGTCAGACTATACACTCTGTGTGTTTTGGTAGACTCGTCTTGGCTAGTTTCTTATATCTTTGCTGCTGAGACTCTAGAACCTTTTGCCTAAGCATCTTTGATAATAGGATGGGACTTAGTCCAAGTAGTAGAACACTTCTCTCATGATTTTCTCAGGGCTTGGGGTGGCTTTAAACTCATTAACCAGTAAGAAGGAATTTTACTTAAAAGCTGTAGAAAATAAATCTAAATAGGGAGTAAACTGATTTCATCTTACTTTTTGCCTGAAGCTTTCGTGTATAAATCACGGCAGAAATTTCATATGAATAAAGCATTTCCTTCCTCGCATCTGAATTTGCATTGACTTAAAAATGAAACTAACCACAATAATGTGAGTTGTTGGAGGAAAAAAAATCTAATTCAAAAGCTGTTTAATAATAATGTCTTTACTCATTTATTTTCTCAGTAGGGAATGAGTATCACAAACACTTTTCTGTTTTTATCCCCGAAACTAATCTCCATTGCTAGGTCAATCTCAAGGGGACTCTATGCACATATGTACTGGGGAAGTTTCTGTTTAGAAACCAGATATAACGCCAAACTTCATCCTGCTTTGGTTTTTATAAGCATCCCACGTTGTTGTGATAACTGAGATAAACTGAATTTTTTCTTCGCTTTTGAAAGCCAGAATGACAAAAATATGGTAAATATTTTAAAGCTAGATTTTAAGGTTGTTTCCCAAGCTGGCAGGAGTCTTGATGTTGCATCAACTGCACTTTAACATTTCCTGTAAGTGATTAAAGACTCTTTTTAGAAGATAATAATTACTTATTAAAACCACTCTTGGTTCACAAATTGATTTGAGACGGCAAGCAAGGTTTTTTTTTTTTTTTTTTTTTGCAAAATGAGGCTCAATAATCTGGGCAGTCTTTCACAATTTTTGTTCTGATTAAATTGTCCCATAAAATATTGACTGCTAGCGTGTACCACTTTCCTACATCCCTGGGAATATCTGAAACAAAAGATGATGAGTTCTGCCTTACAATCCTAATATGAAATTAAATAAGAGATGAAATAGTATGTAAAACATATTGAACACTGTATTGACAGAATCCCGTGGGACATTGTTCACCATGCCCACCATCATTCACTCTTCCCCTTCGCCATTCATTTTATTTTGAAATACATCTTGAGTACAGAAGAGTGTATAAAATCTTTGTGTATAATCACAAGAGTAAACAATAAAATGAACACCTGTACCTTGACTGCCAGATTAAGGTATTGACCATTCGCAGAACCTAAGAAATCCCCTGAGTGTACTTCCCTTTCATTGTTCTCTTCTTGGGCTGGGTTGTGAAACCTCAGGATGCACTTGCTTCCTCAGGCCTCTTCTGCGTAAGATTATTTCTGGAAGCGGCCTGATAAAACTCTTATTGGCATTCCCATCTAACATCTACCTCTCTTTGTGTGCTGGCTTTTTCTCCAAGTGCTCAGACCACAGTTGTGCCACATTCCGCCTTCTAGACATCCAATCCCACCTATTTTGCATCTATATCAGTCAGGGTTCCAGCAAGAAATAGATAGCACATTCACATTTTGAGGATAATTTTTAATAGAAATCTTTTGTTTGTTTGTTTTAGAGGTCTGAACAGAATTTAGGGAAATCAATAGAAAAATCATATATTATCCCTGGGCTAGCAGTGGAGGAGAAGCCATACCATCCTGCTATGAAAGGGGTAAAGAATAGAGTGGCTTCTGGCCGGGTGCAGTGGCTTACACCTGTAATCCCAGTACTTTGGGAGGCCGAGGCTGGCAGATCATGAGGTCAGGAGATCGAGACCATCCCGGGTAACACAGTGAAACCCCGTCTCTACTAAAAATACAAAAAAATTAGCTGGGCGTGGTGGCGGGCGCCTGTAGTCCCAGCTACTCAGGAGGCTGAGGCAGAAGAATGGCATGAACCTGGGAGGCGGAGCTTGCAGTGAGCCGAGATGCCGCGACTGCACTCCAGCCTGGGTGACAGAGCAAGACTCCGTTTCAAAAAAAAAAAAAAAAAAAAATAGAGTGGCTTCCGCAGCCCAGACCTGAGGAGCACAGCACAGCCTGAAATGGCTCGTAGCCTTTTGCAGAGACACAGTCTTGCTGGCAGGGAAAGACTCATGGGGTGCCTTGATCTCTTGATGCCTACTCCTCACCCCAGTGAGAGTCCAAATGAATGAGAGAGGGCAAGGGAAGCCTTCCATGCAGCCATAGACCAGCCTCCTGGGCCATTAAGCAGGTGGGTATGAGTGGGGAATAAATCTGGAGGAGTCCATGGAAGCCATCCATCACAGCTTCTAAGGCATCAGTAACAGAGGAGCTTCAGAAAACATCCCTAGCCCTAGTATCTTCAAAAGGAAGGGAGACTGGCTGATCCATCTCACTTATTTTCCTATGTTGTTTGTTTTAATTTAATATCTGATTCCCACCTCTCTTGAGATCCTCCAAAGACCCCTCTGCCCCTTGTCCTGCAACCTGATCCTCTGAATACAAAACTGCTACATGGCATCTTTTAACATATGTCTGGCCAGAGAGTACCCATCTTTTAAGGCCCATATCAGATTATATTATTTTCTGGGGAACTTTGTTAATGACATATCCCCAGAAATGTCTTTTACTCTCAACTCTTCTTGCACCTATAATCCAAATCCATGTTCTCCAAAATTTTTGATCACAGAGCCTCTGAAGAAAAAAAAAATTAAGCATAGTTTTCTGGTCTATGTTTAGTCATATGTTTATAAATTATATGCATGTGCAGTTCTAATATATGCATTATTTTAAAGGACACATAATTCGACCTTGAAATAATAAATTAATATGAATAAAAGTTCAAGCTCTTTTTTTCACTCACCTCAATCAGTCTTCCCCACTTTGGTAACTTGATCTTCCTCCATCTCTAGTGCTTATTTCTATTCTTTCGTGTTTATGATTTTTTGAGCTTCCTTCACAATGAAAAGTTCTAGACTATTATAATCATGTTTTTATAAAAATGAAGTGGTTTATAAAAGTGTCAATATGTGGTAAGGGTGGTAAGTTTATGTGTGTGTGTGTGCGTTTGAAACTTTTTTGTCACTTGTGTGGGGGAATGTGTGTGTGTGCCTGCGTTCACCTGTCCTTGAGTGGGGTGTGTGTGTGTGCCTGTGTTCACCTGTACTTGTGTGTGTATGTGTGTGTGTTTGTGTGTGTGCATGTGTGCCTGCTTTCACCTGTACTTGTGTACTGGGTTGCTACATAAAATGGGCTTATTTCTGTGAGTATTGTTTTAAAATCTGGAGAAATGCTGCCCCAGAAAATGTCTGTGAAAACTCTGCACTCAAAGTTTAGAAAGAATAATGGAAAAGGTGTCTTTTCTGCTACTACTATAGAGTCAGCTTCAGGCTAGTAGTGAGAGTCCATGCTCTTCTTTAGTAAGCATCCAAGGCCTCCTAAAATTTTGGACTCAATTTTATTCCAATCAAAATGTTTATTTCCTCACATCTATTTAGTTTAGAGGCATGCCACATGGGACTAAGATGATATGCAAAATAAATCCCCATTAACTGACTAAAGTGTGACCATGTGTGAACATACTTTCTTTCCAAAAAAAGAATCTCAAAATGTTAAAGATGAAAGGCTATTAATTTCCTTCTTAGATTAAAGATCTTTCTATCCACCCTGCCTCTAATTTCTTTTGGGAAAATAACATTTGTTGTCTTCTCTGACTCTAAAGGTTATTTGCGTTTCACATAAGAAATAGAAAAATAAAAGAATAAAGAAAAACAAAGAAATTAAATGTGTTTCCATACCTAGAGATACCTGGTATTAAAATTTTAGCTTATGCTTCCAGTAATTTTTTAATGTATAACATCTTTTATACCTACTAGGAATCATACTTCAGTTTTGAAATCTTCCTTTTGTTCTTAATATATCATGAACATATGTCCATAGGCTAATTATACTTGGAGAAGATGATGTTGATCACTGTATAATAAATATTTCATCATAAAGGTGTCTTATAATTTAAGAATTTTCATATAGTTAAAAGGTTACATTGTTTCCAGTTTTCACTGCAATGAACACTCATTTTCAACAGCATCTTTGCATATCTCTTATGTAATATAAATTCTTCAAAGTACAATTTCTGTTTCAAAAATATAAAACTTAAAAAAATTACTCAAGTTTATTATCATATTGCTGTCCAATTGTTACTATAAGGAAAGAAGGAGCTAAAGAATAGAGTGGTTTCTGCAGCGCAGAACTGAAGAGCATGCTGCAGCTTGAAATGGCTCATGCCTTTTGCAGAGACACAGTCTTGCTGGCAGGGAGAAACTCATGGGGTATCCTGATCTCTTGATGCCTACTCCTCACCCCAGTGAGAGTCCAAATGAAAGAGAGGGGGCAAGGGAAGGCTTTCATGCAGTCATGGACCAGCCTCCTGACATTAAATGAAGATTGCATCATTTTTATATACTTGTCAATTGGGTAAATAAAAATTGCTAAATATTTTACCAATCACATTTATTTGATTGCTAGTGATGTTGAACACTTTTCCAAAATTTTTATTGGCTATTTGCATTTCTCCTTTTTTAAGTTGCTTGTTACATATTAATACAGGGTTAAGAAATCTTGTAGGCAGATAGTAAGGGTATGGGAGTCCTACATAAGCCTTTCCTTTTTAATGAAAAGCAGCCCCAAATCATTGTCTAACAAAGAGCAGCCTGTAAAGTCAATCTGCAGACATAGACAAGCAAGCTGAGAGCTTGCACGGTGAATGCCAGCAGGAACTAAGGACTAGACATGTTGTAGATGGCAGCTCCATCTTCCCTTCCTTTTGTCAGTCACTTGTACTATAAGGAGCAAACAAGATGGCCCGGATCAACTGGAAAGTCCATTTGCATAATATAAGATTAGGGTGGGGTGACCAGCCTTCCTCGCATGCTATGTAAACATCATACCTGATTGAACCAATCTGTCAGCCCTGTGTAAATCAGACACCACCTCCTCAAGCTCGACTATAAAATCCCGTGCATCTGCTACTATCTGGTCCTTTCCACTTGGAGACCCCTTACTCTATCTCCTTCTCTTCTCTTCTGCCTATTAAACCTCCACTCCTAAACTCTTCGTGTGTGTCCATGTCCTAAATTTTCCTGGCAGGCAACAACGAACCCCAGGGCATATATCTCAGACAACATAGCTGCTTCAATACCATTCACCCCTTTTTCTGTTAGATATTCATCTTTTTATTTAACAGTTCTTTATACATTACAAATATCAATCACTGCCCATCTTATATGTTCCCAATATGAAATCTTGGGCTTTACCGACAAGGACCTGGGTCACAAATAGGTCTCACAAACTGTGCATGGTGAAATAACCGATGCTGGGAGAGAACTCTACAGAAACCAGATCTTACCAAATGGAGGTCCCTTTGAGGACTCCATATTTATACCATAAAGGCAACCAATTACGTTGCTCATGGTTGGAATTTATTTTATCTTTTCCTTTACCCAGAAATGGAAGAGTTCTGGTGCCTGTGCATTGGTTTGCATCTGTCTCTGTCCTTATGTTCAACCCTTCTCTGCAGTCTTTTCTGCGAGAAACAACAGAAGAAAACAATGTCTCCTGGAGTTGCATAGTAACCAAACAGTCCCCGCTGATGGTTTATGAGCCTGACACATTATATTAACAGAGTTTCCAACACCACAGAGGGACCAATTTCTCTTAAAACTTTAAGATAATCATCCCATTAAATCATGCCAATCCGACACAAGGAATCTGACAAGCAAAGTGTCTACTTAAATGTTATACAAAATAGATAACTCTGAATGCTAAAATAACTACTTCTTTTTGGGTGAAGCCACAGTTTTCTTGTAAATAATTTCTTAACAGCCTCTATCATTTATACCGTCATATAAAGTAGGTGGATTGCTTGGAAACGTTGTAAACTCATTGACTTTGGGGTTTCGTTTTTGTAGTATTCTTATTTACACAGGATCTACCACTGAGCCTTGATCAAATGACTTCATTTTTGGCCATAGTTGTCTCATATGTAAAATGTTACCAAATTGTTGAACTGTCTGAAGGAAGGAAATCAGAAGAGAAGCTTGCCTGCCTGCCTGTCTTCCTTCCTTCCTTCCTTTCTTCTTCCTTCCTTCCTTCCTTCCTTCCTTTCTTCTTCCTTCCTTCCTTTCTTTTTTTTGAGACAGAGTCTTCACTCTGTCCCCAGGCTGGAGTGCAGTGGCATGATCTGGACTCACTGCAACCCCCGCCTCCTGGGTTCAAGCAATTCTCCCGTCTCAACCTCCCGAGTAGCTGGGATTACAGGCGCGTGCCACACCCGGCTAATTTTGTATTTGTAGTAGAGAAGGGGTTTCATCATGTTGGCCAGGCTGGTCTTGAACTCCTGACCTCAAGTGATCTGCCCGTCCCAGGCCTCCTAAAGTGTTGGGATTACAGGCGTGAGCCATTGTGCCCGGCAAGAGAGGCTTTCTTAATTTCCCTTCTCAACGACCTGTTAATTAATCTTCCTCTTCAAACCCTGCTATTGGTGAAGCCAGTCGGGTTTCTTACTTTGCTCTTTTGCCGAGTCAGGAGCCAGCTGGAATGGGTAAGTAAACCATGAGACTCCTACATTTCATAACTGTAGCAGAACACTTTAAATATGTTTATTTTTGTTTAAAAAGATGCAAAGTCATCACCTACCCCACTGCTATAAAGGTATAAAAATGCTAATGTAATCTTTTTAAATCTGTTATTGCTTCTCTGGGAGGAATATGAGGTAAATCGAACCTACACTGATGCAGCAAAATTCAAAGCATTTGACAGAAGTTCATTTTCCTTAGTCGCCACCAGGCAATGATAATGGTTGTAAACAGCATATGCCAGATATCTGTATCTTGTCTTTTGGAGGGTTCCAGCTTACCTTCCATCTATCTGTTCTTCTAAGAATGAAAGTTAATCTGCTTTTTCACAGAAGTCATTTTTTGATAGTTGTTATACATAATTTGAACAGAATTTAAGTATGTATTCTTATGTGACTTAACTTAGAGAATATGTTATAGTTAACCCTTTCACTCTTTTGCTTACAAGCCTGAAAGTCGAAAATGTGTGAAACACTTGATGTTCTTCTTTACTTTCTTCAGGTATTTAATTTTTCTGAGTGTCAGAAATTTTATCTTCAATGGAACATATGTTCCCATCTGCCCTTTTTGTCTCATCACTAAAAAACACAGTGTCAACATTTATAGGAAAAACTCTCTCTGCCTCACAAAGTTATCTCTCTCCGCCTCACAAAGTTGTTATGATACTCAAAGGTATAATAACATTAATAAAACTAGCTACATTTATTAAACTCGGTTGTATAATAAATAATTTGACTGGTCTTTGTCCCTGGTTCCTGGAAGGGAGACTCTAAATTCTTGGAATTTTCTAAATGATAAGAGTGCCTTTGTTATTCACAATGGATCTCTGGGACCACACTTACATGTCAGCACAATCTCCCAGCCTCGGTGGAAAAGAGGGGACTGGAGATTGAGTCCAAAGACGTGGCCAGTGATTCAACCAATTGTGCCTGTGTAATGAAACCTTAATAACTGTGGACCCTGAAGTTTGGTGGAGCTTCCTGGTTGGTAAACATATCAGAACACGTTGTGAAATACAACAGAAAAATTACTTCTCGAATTCAAGGGAATATAAGGTATATTAAAAGTCTGAAATAAAGCAAGCTGTAGTTTTTTCTCGGCAATGAAGAGGTCATTCTTGTCTGTGTTTCCCAGGTCCTCTTTCCTGAACTGAGGCCTACCCTGTTATAGCACTGGTAATTAAAATCATGTCAGTGAGAGACACTTAATGATTATGAAATCTTTTCATCTTAAAACTGTGATGTGAGAACAAGACCCTGCAATATATAAATTATATGCAAATGATAAAGAGAACATGCAAATTGAAAACTTGGAAACTAAAAGCTCACACATAGCCCAAACATTCCTTAAATGAAGAATGAAATTTCCCTTCTAGAAACTGAGAGATACTATATCCAAAGATTTGACCTGCTTATTACTCAGATGACTGTGTTTTACAGTTAAAACCCTTGGATAAAGCTATTTCATATAGCAAGAAAATAAAAATTATCAAAGTTGAACCTACTGGCTGTCACTTTGCATGCCAGAATTCTGACAGACATCCCTGAGTAACATCCACAAGCCCCAAGAGATGAATACTGGAAGATTCTTTAATATTAGATTCCTCCCAAAATGACGGATGAGAGTCAGATCTCACCCGGGAGAAGCATCATGGGAAATAACCAAGGTGCCAAATAAGAAAGATTAAATCCATCCAATTTTACATGAGCTAAAGGAGAGCTCATTGAGCCTGAAGAAATAGGCAATAATATGACAAAGAAAAATAAAGAGGGTAGGAAAAATAGAGGGCAAGAAAAATAACTTGAATAAACTGATTTTAAATCTATGAAAAAATTGGACTTTCTGCAAAAATAATTTCCAAGTTCAAATTGTTGTTCAGAGGAGCTGAATTGGAAAGTAAATTATATGCAATGGACATGAGCAACAATCTCAGTTTATTACAATAGCCCTTTTAATGCCATCTCTATCTGCACAGGTTTGCCAACTCACTATAACCTTGAACATCACAGCAGTTTGTTTACTCCAACTGTTTAAACCCTCACTAATTTGTAGCAATTAGTAGAAACCTAGCTTCATTCTGAATGATGGATTTTTTTTTTTTTTTTTTTTTTTGAGACAGAATCTCACTCTGTCACTCAGGTTGGAGTGCAGTGGCGTGATCTCAGCTCACTGCAACCTCTGCCTCCCACATTCAAGCAATTCTCCTGCCTCAGCCTCCCGAGTAGCTGGGATTACAGGCACGTGCCACCCTGCACGGCCTTTTTTTTTTTTTTTTTTTTTTTTGAGACAGAGTTTCACTTATATTATCCAGGCTGGAGTGCAATGGTGCGATCCCGGCTCACCACAACCTCTGTCTCCCGGGTTCAAGTGAATTATCCTGCCTCAGCCTCCCGAGTAGCTGGGATTATAGGCATGCGTCACCACGCCCGGCTAATTTTGTATTTTTAGCAGAGATGAAGTTTCTCCATGTTGGTCAGGCTGGTCTTGAACTCCCAACCTCAGGTGATCTACCCGCCTCTGCCTTCCAAAGTGCTGGGATTACAGGCATGAGCCACAGCACCCGGCCAATGATGTAATGTTTTAAAGTCATGTGACCTGCATCAGGCTGTCTACGCCAGTGTTCATTAGTTAAGATAATAGATCACATACTGTAGTCAACAGCCTAGAGGAAATTCTCCATTAGAAGTGTTAGAAGATTGAATGAAATTATTTCTTTTGTCTTACCAGTTTTCTTATTCTGTAATTTGGATAAAGCATCATAATTGTCCATTAAATCTTTAATGTAAGTAAACAGTTTTTCCTTTCAAGTAATTTTAAACATCCCTACGTTAAATTTTAATTTTATTATTCATTTTGTAAGCATTATATCAATAGTCATGAACACTTGCCAAAGTTTTTCTTCTCAAACATTGTTTTCACTGAATCCCTGAGTGTATCTGAAGATTTTGTGTTTCCCAGTCATCAAGCTCAAACACCTTCCATCATGTTGCCTAACTTAATTCTTAAAATGCTACCAGTTCTCTTAAAATCTCTTAATATTTTACAAATCCTTTTACAGCTCTTAAAATGCAACAAATTCTCTTTTTTTAAGACAAGATTTTTAATTTACTCTTCTCTGCCAACATGTATTTAGCTCGATTCCAAGGTTTTACACATGCTGTTTCTTGCTAGAATTGACTTTTTCCCCTTTCTAATTTAAAGGCTACATAAACATTAACCCCCCCAAGTCACTCATCCCCTTCTTGGTGAATACTTTTCCTTTTTTTTTGAGACAGAGTCTCACTCTGCTGCCAGGCTGGAGTGCAGTGGCGTGATCTTGGTTCACTGCAACCTCTGCCTCCCGGGTTCAAGCGATTCTCCTGCCTCAGCCTCCGGAGTAGCTGGGACTACAGGCATGTGCCACCACGCCCAGCTAATTTTTGTCTCGTTCTGTCGCCCAGGCTGGAGTACAGTGGCGGGCTCTCGGCTCACTGCAACCTCCACCTCCCGGGTTCACGCCGTTCTCCTGCCTCAGCCTCTCGAGTAGCTGGGACTACAGGCGCCTGCTACCACGCCGGCTAATTTTTTGAATTTTTAGTAGAGACGGGGTTTCACTGTGTTAGACAGGATGGTGTCTATCTCTTGACCTCGTGATCCACCCGCCTCGGCCTCCCAAAGTGCTGGGATTACAGGCGTGAGCCACCACACCCGGCCAATACTTTCTTAACTATAGTCTGTGTGGCTTACAGTCTAAGTCCTTCATGGTCTTCAGTTTCGTTTATATGAACGAGAAATTATGCAAGTTCTATGCCATATAGTTCTCAAGTTGGTTGTCATTTATTTAAGACAGATACCATATTTTAAATGTTTTTTTCTCCCTGTAAATGGATAAGAATACTGTTGAGTGCATGATATTGTAAATCGTGGATGACTTATACAGTATTTTCTTAATTTGATGACATACACACTTAGCAATTACGTGGAGTTATTCTAATATGATGAAAAGGCTGGGATTCACTTTCCTTGAAAATGACAAGTGGCCATAGGAGGATGCTCCCATGAAGACCTGGCCCCATAGTTCAGGTGAGTGGGAAGATGCATACACGTACCACGCTTGTATGTCCAAACAACAGAAGAGGAAAAAGCCACCTCCCTAACTTCCAATGACATGATTTATAGAAGCCACCTGAAACTTGACACGAGTATGTCTGGAATAGTGGCACCAAGGCTCCAGCAGAACAATAAAGTGCTTGCCTCTCTTAAGCAAGCTGAATCCAAAAGTCCCAGAGAGGGAAATACAGGATTTCCCCTGGCTGTCAGCACAGTGAGTCAGCGTCTCCTGCACTAAACAATGGATGAATACACAGCCACTTAGAGACCTTTCATCTTTATCCTTTTTTAGCAAAGCATGTGCCTTCTTTTCATAGGTAGGATCACTGACGCCTCACGCTCTGCCCCCTCTTCACCATCATCTGTTAAACAGGAAATCTGCAACACTCTTTTCAGTAAACGGGAGGGGTCTGCTGTCAACCAAAATGAAGGCAAAAAGTTTTAACTCAGGCCAGTCTTTCTGAAGCTGGGTAAAATGATAAGGAAATGGAAAGTAACACCTGGAAGAACTGGTGATCTGCTCCAAAGGCAGACATAATTCCTTATGAGTGAACTAAATTTTATCTGGAGGCCATGCCCTGGATTGCTTAAATGCCTGTTTACACAGGACATTTTAGACATGGTTACTCAAATAAAATATAAACCTAAAACCTGGAAATTCACCTCTTTAAAAGAAATGCATGGACCATAGTTTTCACATGAATTCTTCTATTTTTAAACCCAGCATACAAAAGAGGAGAAAATTATATTTTAAAATTCATACTTCTATGGACTCAATGCCATCATTCATCACTACTCAACAACAGCCGTGAAAACCTACCAATCCAAGCAGTGTCAGCCCAATGTCATGTACTCTACACTATTCTCATCAACATACAGAGAGGAGGAGAATAAGTTTAAGTCAGGGTATCTACCTTAAATGAATGACAGATGTTAAGTCTCACTTTCTTTTCTTTCTTTTTTTTTTTTCAGACAGAGTCTTGCTCTGTCACCCAGGATGGAGTGCAATGCCACGATCTCAGCTCACTGCAACCTCCACCTCTAGGGTTCAAGTGATTCTCCTGCCTCAGCCTCTTGAGTAGCTGGGATTACAGGTGGGCACCACCAAGCCCGGCTGATTTTTAATTTTTGGTAGAGACGGCATTTCACCATGTTGCTCAGGCTGGTCTCAAACTCCTGACCTCATGATCCATCTGCCTCGGCCTCCCAAAGTGCTGGGATTACAGGCGTGAGCCACCACGTGTATGTCTCACTTTCTATGTTACAACATGGCACTCTTCTTTTCTAGGAAAAGCTGAAAAACTTGAGTATAATCCACACAGGGACCTAATAAATGCTCCTGAACACCAGTCAAGGGCATCATCCCTAGGTCTGTTGGTTAGGAATTGTACTTGTCTGCTAGTGTCAAAAACCCCGAACTCAATGGCTTAAGCAACATAGGGTTTGTTTATTTTTCTCATGGGAGATTGGTAGTCAAGTGCTGGTATGGAGGCTTCACAATTTCGTCACAAAGTGAGTATTGCTTTAGTTTTGTACTTTCCCTCCTTAGAGTATGACCTTTATCCTCACTCTCAAAAGGACCTCAAGAGCCATCATGCAAGGAAAAAAGGGAACATAGAAACACTTCATTATCTAGTTCATGACGTACTGGAAAAAAGTATGTCAGCTGCATTCATCCTATTTATTTATTTATTTGAGACAGGGTCCCGCTCTGTTGCCCAGGCTGGAGTGCGATGGCACGATCATGCCTCCCTGCAGCCTTGAGTTCCCGGGTTCAAGTGATCCTCCCACCTCAGTCTCCGCAATAGCTGGGCCTTCAGGCGGGGGGAGGGGGGTGCGATGAGTACCTTTTAAAAAGCTTTTCTGGAAATCCTACTCAGTGGTTTCCTCTTTTACATAAATGGCCAGAAAACAGTCACCTGGACACATCTCACTGCAAGCAAGTCTTGGAGAATATGATGTTAGGCCTTTTTAGAAATGAAAGGGAGGAAATAGGTAATTTGCAAGCTACAGTTTCTGCTATGATAGAGAAGTGCACTGCAATGCCCATTCCTGCTCAGAAGCCTGTCTAGACAGTGTCGTATCAAAAGCTCCTCTGTTTCCCCATGAAGTACTACTTAGTTAGCAGCTGGTTTCAAAATAATAATAGCTGCCATGCATGGAGCATCACTTCAACTTTATGTGTCCTATGTTTAATTTTGGCAATAATTATTCATTTATACAATACTTTTAACAATCATTAAGAAAATAAAATTCTCCTAGTGTTAAATGTGCATAAAAATATCTAGATCATGAGGTGTTTCTATGTTGCCTTATGTTCATTGTGCTATCCTGCATTATGTAGGATCCCTGTAGCTCTGCCCAGTTAGATGTTAGTTATTTCTCTTTCAGAAATAGTGTCTAATGGCTTGCACCAACCCAGGGACATTTCAAATATCACAAAAATAACATTGGACAACTTTTCTCAAGAGACTTCATTTCTGTTTTCCCTTGTCAAGTCACCTTTTTATATTCTTCATTTATGCCTTTAGGTCTTAAATGATATAGGCATTTTCTTCAGAATTTTCATTGTGATGTAAAGTAGTTAAGCCTTTCTTCCATCACCCATTAAGTGGAAAAACACATTTACTGGGAAGCATGTTGTAGGAATCATTTATTTTTGCTTCCACTTGAACTCATGTTGATGCGTAATACTTAGGGTTAGAAATGTAGAGCAGTCAGTTGCATTTAATTTCAGGAATCTCAACTTGCCCACTAATGTATATCAAGTTAATCCTCATTATTAAGATTTCATATTTGTGAATTTCCCTACCAGCTAGAACGTATCTGTAACTCTTCAATCAATACCTGTAGTGCCGTTTGGTCATTTGCAGACATGCACAAGTGGGGAAAAACTGGGGTCTAACAAAGTGATGTTCTGCTCTTATGTTCTGTACTCCCTATTAACAAGTGTACTTTTTCCAGTCTGTTTAGAGCCACCTTTTCTGCATTTTTGTTCCTTTTGCTGGTAATTTTTCTGTTACCCTCACCCCTACAGGATAGTGTTGTTCCGTCCTCCTAAGGGCAAGGAAGCTGACATTTCTCTTACAGAGAAAATACGTTCATAGGCAACTTTGTTCAAGAATGTATGTAGTGCTGCTGGCCAGGAGTTCAATGTTAATCATTCAACAATATATGTTAAATAATGTGTTTTTAAGCAGAGACACACGTAAAATAAGGTATGTATTGATTTGTTGATGAAAATGTTGTGAGCAGAGGCTCGTGGGACCCTCACCCTACATTTCCCCTAAGAGCAGTGATTCAGTATTCACAAATTCAGTGTTCCTGGTGACTTTATAGAACATAACTACCACAGATAACAATAATTAATAGTTTTTGATTTAGGTGGCCCCTACATTAGACCTTTCACAATCAAACCAGAAGATGCAGACCTTTATTTTTCTTGATTTCATGCCTCCACGGTCTAACTACTTATGTTACGAAACTCAAGAGGTCATTATTCTCAGCTATAGAAAAAGAGCCCACAGAAAAAGGAGATTTTTCCAACAATCCTTTTTTGAATAATAGGATTGACAGAATGTAATTTTGTGCTCTTTTAGTGGGTGTTGGAGTCCGAATCTTTTTCATCATTTCTGTTTTCCAATTATTATCTACATGGAGCTACTTTTCATAGAAAAACAGTCTCTTTCTAATAGCACGCATAGGTAACTCTGGTAGCCAAGG
This sequence comes from Homo sapiens, assembly GCF_000001405.40. Taxonomy (NCBI): domain Eukaryota; kingdom Metazoa; phylum Chordata; class Mammalia; order Primates; family Hominidae; genus Homo; species Homo sapiens. The sequence goes on from NC_000008.11 coordinate 40,122,720, forward strand.
GTATCCAGTAATTCTAGCAGGTGGTGTCACTAGAAGCTGACCACCATACTACATTCTTCCTCTCTCTTTCTTTTCTTTTCTTTTCTTTTTTTTTTTTATTTGAAATAGGGTCTTGCTCCGTCACTTAGGCTAGAGTGCAGTGGCATGGTTATGGTTCACTGCAGCCTCGAACTCCTGGGCTCAAGCAATCCTCCTGCCTCAACCTCCCATGTAACTGGGACCACAGGTTCATGCCACCATGCCCAGCTAATTTTTTTACTTTTTGTAGAGATGAGGTCTCACTTTGTTGCCCAGGCTGGTCTCAAACTCTTGGCCTCAAGCAATTCCCCCGCCTCAGCCTCCAGAAGTTCTAGGATTACAGGTATGAGCCACTGTGCCTGCTACATTCTCTACCTTCTCTTCTTTATCTCTCTATCTCTCTTCCTTTTTTACACACACAGAAACCTACTCAAGGCTCCGCTCACTTAAGACCATTCAACACCACTAATTTATATAATGAAAATTTACCTAGTATTCACTGTGGACTATGTAAATAATTCTGGGAGATAAAAAAAGTGACTGATTTCTCAGGAAATGTAGGGTCTGATGGAGCAGTAACCAAGAGCAATCAAGAAATATTTTTTTAAAAAGAAAGAGAAAGGAAGAGAGAAAGAGAGAAGAAAAGGAAGGAAGAGATGAAAGAAGGAGGAAAGAAAGAAATAACGAAAGAAAGAGAAAGAAAGAGAGAGGAAGGAAGGAAGGAAGGAAAGAAGGAAGGAAGGAAGGAAAAGAAGAAGGGAGGGAGGGAGGAAGGAATGAAGGGAGGGAGGGGCCGGGCAAGGTGGCTCACACCTGTAATCCCAGCAGTTTGAGAGGCTGAGGCAGGTGGATTGCTTGAGGCCAGGAGTTCAAGACCAGCCTAGCCAACATAGCAAAATCCTGTCTCTACTAAAATACAAAAATAAGCCAGTCGTGATGGTGGGTGCCTGTAATCCCAGCTACTCCGGAGGCTGAGGCAGGAGAATCGCTTGAACCGGGAGGCAGAGGTTGCAGTGAGCCGGGATCATGCCACTGCCTTCCAACTTGGGCGACAGAGCCAGACTCCATCAAAAAAAGAAAGAAAGAGAGAAAGAGAGAGAGAGAGAGATAGGAAAAAGGAAAGAGAAAGAGTACACTTATCTTTGAGCCCTTTTGCCATTTGCTTCTTACCTAGATAAAGCTGCAAGCCTGTGAGCAGCACTGCCTGCAAAATGATATAAGAGAGGGGTGTGTGTTTGCAACTGTGTGTGTTTGCATGTGTTTGTGTGTGAGAGCATGTATCCTCAGCTTTCAGTTTCTTGGCCCTGTATAAAAATATTCTAGACAAGGAAGTTGTTTTTAAAAACATATGAAGCAAGGCCTTCTGTGTGAGTTCATGGTTGCTGATTTCCACCTTAATTGGGAGTTGTTTCATGTTGCCTGGTGAACACTTTGCAAATGTCACAAGTTTCAGCTTTGTGTCTAAGATTGGTAAATCTCTATAATTTACCTAAAGTCACTGGTAATTTATCTTGTCTTCTACTGTGCTACTAAGAACTCAGGAGATGGCACTGAATTTATGGGAAGTATCAGACGATTAATTCTCAATGAGAATCTCAAATTCATCATATTCTTTTTTTCTGATTGTGCATAATGAGATTAACTTACCCACGTATAAGATAAGGAGAAGCTAAAGACTGGTGTGCAAAACTCTAGCTTAGAGTGTTCAGGGGAGGAGTCATGCTTCTTTTGAGGATTTTCTGCCATCTTCCTTTACATTGTCTGTAGTACTCTGTTACGTGAAAAGGAGCCCTTAGACATTGCTCTCTTGAAAAATCATATAATAGCCTTGAATTTCATCCAACATCTCTTTCGTAATTCTAAGAGCTCAGCTTTGCACAAAAGATAAAAGACAAAAGCAAAACAAAACTACAAGCCAAAAAAAAAAAAAAAAAGACAAAGGGAAACAGAAATGAGTCAACCAGATGTAGAAAAAGAGAGAAAACCTTGGCAACAGCTATAAAACTACCACAAAAAAACACATTATATTTCTATTCAACCTACTTCCAGAAGTTATTTGAGATACTTAAATTGCCCTATCTAATGCCTAAGTTGGTGCCTGACCTACAAAATTAAATGTTAAATAATTAAAATAATGAACAGAAAATGTAAAAAGTCATAACGAAAGGGAAGCAGTTATTAAGCCAGGAAATGTTGACTAAGGATATTTGCAAAAATTGAATGTCACAATTTAATTGTGAGTTTCTTGCAGCTGAAGCAAAAATTGAAAATCTGTAACATACAAATTCCTTATTACCCCATGAATTCTGAGGAAACCATTACATCAAGAGATTCCATATCCTCTTAGAGTTTGGTCTCATAATAAAAAGTCCATTGTGTGAATTATGACTAGAGACATCAGATTTTAATCAATGTGTGCCCTTCTCCTGCCTTCAACTATATAAACAGAGCACAACTACCTTTTGTTTGAGCATTTTTATTGGAAGGTGATAGTGATGAAGTCCCCATTGCAGTCCAGAGATGCAGGGTGCCAGGTCCCTTGATGGATCTCTGATCAGCTGACTGTATTAGTGTGGGGCAGTGCTTGGTTTCAGCTCACCCAGCTTTTCCAGCTTCCACTGGATCTGGTCCTTTTGCTTCTTTGGACCACAAATCAGGTGTATGTATGCAAATCTGCAGCAAAGTACCCTTATTTCTGTTGCAGGTCACTGACACTGTCAAGTTCAGAGGTGGTGAGAGACACAGATTGCAGGTATCTTTGTAAGTTCCAATTCGTCCCCCACACCAGGTTCAGCTTGTCTTTACTCTCCCCTGAGTCACTTCGAGTTTGGTTCTACTGATCTACAGGAAGCTTCTTCCCACCACTGAATTCAAGGGACAGTCTTCCCATATGTCTTTACCAGCTCTCGCAAATGAGTAAGGTCTAATTCCTATAAAAAATTTCTTATTCCATGTCATTCTTAGTAGTTTTGTTTGCCTGATTTGATACCTAAGTTGCTCCATCCAATGCCTAAGTTGGTGCCTGGATACTGTCATAATGTAAAACTAAAACATGGAGCATTCTCTGTGGGACTATACAGTGGGCAAAAACTGGAATGTCTTTGATAGTAGCCTTAAAGGATAGTAAGAAAATTGTCATTGAACACTGAATACAAAGAAATTTGTGTTATGTAATGGCAGAAATTTTACCAAAACTATGGTCTGTGGTAACATGGAAAATAGAAAATATGACTAATGAAATAGAAATGCCAATTAATTTATTTTAGCTACATATGATAAAGTATCAATAGATAAAGATAAGCTAAAATAAAGTACTATGTCTGTTTTTAAGCAGAAGTTTGAAGCAATATTCAGGAGTCAGGCCTTGATGGATTTGAAACTAAAACTATTTTTTTATTTCTAACTTCTCTACATGGAAAAAGACTCTCAAAGTAAGAAATAACCTCAGGGTAAAGAAAAAAAATCAAGAGTTTCGTTATAAGACCCTGTATTAAAACTTCAAAATGATTTAAGTACATGCCTCATAAACCCTTTCAACTAAACCAAAAGGTGTCTGAGAAATATAAGGGTTTTGTCTTACAGCATCCAGATTCTCAGCCTAAGCCAGAAATGTGGAGGAATGGATTTTGTTTAATGGAATGAACCCTAACAAGATTTACAGAAAACCTACAAGGCGTTTTACTATAATTATACTAGCAGAAGCATTCGATGCTTGGATTAAAAAGGATAGAGACAAAAACATCTTTGAACTCCTAACTTCCTGAAGGAAGCAATTAGAGAAAGTTACTCATCTGCAAAAAATAAGCCTTTTTTTTTTTTTGAGACAGAGTCTCGCTCTGTCGCCCAGGCTGGAGTGCATTGGCACCATCTCGGCTCACTGTAACCTCCGCCTCCCGGGTTCAAGCGATTCTCCTTCCTCAGTTTCCCAAGTGGCTGAGTTTATAGGTGTGAGCCACCGTGCCCCACTAATTTTTGGATTTTTAGTAGAGATAGGCTTTCACCATGGTCTTGAACTCCTGACCTCAGATCATCCTCCCACCTCGGCCTCCCAAAGTGCTAGGATTACAGGCGTGAGCCACTGCATCCGGCCTAAAATAAGCCATTTCTTATGAGAAAGAAGAGATATTTCAGAGAGCAGAGCTTAGAGTCCTGACAGCAGAACTAAGATCAACAAAAAAACAGATCCAAGGAGCATCTAATTAAGATATTAATGATACATTTCTGATGAAATTTTGAAATTGCTGTGGACTAATGGCTGCTATATGTCCCCTATTTCTTTTCTTTTTCAATGAGAGTGTCTATTTTAATTAATTTTTGTTTTTATTTTTATATTTATATTTTAGAGACAGAGCCTGTCTATGTCATTCAGACTGGCCTCAAACTCCAGGGCTCAACAAAGCCTCCTGCCTCAACTTCCCCAGTAGCTGGGACTACAGGTATATGCTCAGCTTCAATTATTTTTGTATTAGTTTGCCAGGGCTGTTATAACAAAGTGCCACCAACTGGGTGGCTTAGACAACAGAAATTTATTGCTTCACAGTTCTGGAGGCTGGACGTCCAAAATCAAGGTGTTGGTAGAATTGGTTCCTTCTGAGGACTGTGAGGAAGGAATCTGTTCCAAGCCTCTCTCCTTGGCTTATGGATGACCATCTTCTCCCTGTTCCTCTTCAGATTGTCTTTCTTCTATGTATGTCTGTGTCAAAATTTCCCCTTTTTATAAGAATGCCAGGTGTATTGGATTAAAAGCCCACCCTACTCTAGTATGACCTCATCCTATTTACATATGCAATGACTCTACTTCCAAATAATTTCACATTCTGAGGTACTGGGGATTACTTCAACATATGAATTTCGAGGGGCACAATTTAACCAATAACAATTATTTTCCTGATCACTCTTGTATGTTGGGTGTGTGCACAGGAGCAGCTAACTTGTTTACAGGTTTTCAGACAGGAAGAAAATGTTCTTGAGGAATTGTACCCATAAACCTCTTCTACATCTGCATTTGATTTGTCTGAAGAGATCCTAGATTTCAAGATCACTGCATTGGGATAAAATTACAGGGATCTTAGAGGAGTGGCAAGTGTATTTTGCAGGTGGGAGGGATGTGAATTGTTGTGGACTGAGGAGGTGGATTCTGGCAGACTGTAACCAAGGAGAGCCACAGTATCCCATCCTGCATGATCTTCTGGACAGGACCTTGCCACTTCTCCATCAAAAGTTGTGGTCTATTATCTTTCCCTTGAATCCTTGCTGACCTTAACAAACTCATTTGGCCAATAGAATGTGGGAGATATGACAGTCTAATATTGATGACTCAAACTCATGTAAGCATCATTACAGCCTCTGTCTAGATATCTTGGAGAATTTGTTCTTGGGGGATTCCTTTTTGGAATCCATTTACCTTAGTGTGAAAAGCCCATGGAAAGACCATATTCACAAGCTCCACCTACATTTCCAGCCAATGCCAGCACGATCTTTCAGACACGTGAATGAGTTTATCTTGGGATATGCAACGAATTTGAGCTTTTAGATGACTGAAGCCCCTAACAACGCCTGCCTTCAAGCATTTGAAAAATTAGAATAGAAAACCACGTAGCTCAGCCCAGTTCCTCTCAGAACCACAACATTTACAAATAGTTTTAATGCATTACCATTCAAAATCTCACAGACGTGTGTGTGCGTGCGTGTGTGTGAGTGTGTGTGTGTACTGGTAAAAGAGATTTGAGGAAATGTTCAAGGATCATCTGAAAAAAAAAGAAGAAAATATATTAGCAAAGAAAATTTCGAAAACAAAAGTAACGATGGGGGATTTACTAGTAAATTGAAACATTTTCAAGCTACCATAGTCAAAATGCTGACACTGGCACAGAAAGAGAGACATTATAGCAGGAGAGGGAGAGAGAGAGAGAAAGAGAGAGAGAGAGGAGAACTCTATAGTTTACTTCAAGATGGAATAAAAGTTAACTATAATAAATACATTATTTTCAGATAACTATACATTTAACTATAATTAGTGAAACCACAAAATAGAGTCTGTGGCTATAACCTTAGACATATCTACCATATTCTCTCTGCCAGGTTATACTAATAGCCTCCTATCTTGCTCTTTTGCTTCTATTTAGACCCACTTCCAAGCCATTTTTCCACCAAGCAAAGTGAACATATCATCTTCTCACTGGAAACTTTCCAAAAGTTCTAAAGTTGGAAATCCAAACTTCTCCTCATGATTTATAAAGAACCATGGGATCTGGTCCTGTTATATTCCCAAGGTTGCATTCTGCATCACCTGCTATACTTGAGTCAGACTGGCCTTCTTTCTGTCGTGGAACCCACCAAGCCTGCTCTCATTTCCAAGTCTTTGCACTCACCATTATTATCTCTCCTTGCAATGAGGCTTCCCACACATGCCTAGGACTGTCTCTTTCTTATCATTTGGTTTCATTTCTAATGCCTCCTCCTGAAGTCTTCATCTGAAACTAAGTTTAAACATGCACCCCTCACATGGATGGGCACTCAATTTTCAATTGTCCTATTTTTTTTTTCTTCGTGAACCTATCACTATCTGAAACAGCTTGTTTATTTAATTAGTAGACCATTTATGTTGATTATTGTAAATCTGCTGTGACTAGATTGCAAACTCAACGAAGGTAGGAATTTTGGCTCCATCATTTTTACAACCCCAGCACCTAGATCAGTGTCAGCTATGTAATGGTCACTTGGTAGAAATTTCTAGAATCATTTTATGGTGAGGATATTATTTCCAATATACAAATTGAAGAAAATACAATCAGAAAGATTGATAAACTTGTCTGTAGACTTTAAAAAATCTACATTAAAAATTAAGAATAAAATTATAAGATAATAAAGAAAAGTATTTGCAAAATGTCTTATAAAAGGACATTAAAATAATAAAATTTCATTTTTATTTAGGTAGAAATCAGGTGTATGACTGTATGCTGTATGTGTAGAGGGGATATAAATATACTTCTAGAAGGAATGGGAAAGCCTTAAAAGTATTCATGCACTTTGACCCTGCAATTCTACTTATATGAATTTTCCCTTGAGAAATTAATCAGATGTAAATGAAGATTTATGGACACCAAAGTTTACTGAAAAAGCTTTTATAAATTAACAATAGCTAATTTGACAATAAAGTGCTTGTTATTTTATAGCATCTCCATTTAATTAAATGTAAGGCTGACACTTAAAGTCACGGTCACAGAAAAAATTCACATAGAATGAGTAAAAGAAACCAATATTTATATAGCCCTAAAATAAAGCATGATATAAGCTATATATTGCATAACATATGCTCCTAATTTTTAACAGCATATCCATATTTCTGTGCCTCTGTTTTTAGGCATATGTGCACACAAAACCGACTAAAACAAAATACATCAACAGGTTAACAGTTCCTATTTGAGGCTGGTAATATTGTGACTGGTTTATACTTTTTGTATTTTCTAAATTGTTTTTATAAACTTCTATCACCTTTATAGTATTTTTTTTTTTTTTTTTTGAGACAGGGTCTCACTCTGTCACCCAGGCTGGAGTACAGTGGCACAATCACAGCTCACTGAAGCCTCAACCTCCTGGGCTCAGGAGACCCTCCCTCTTTAGCCTTCCAAATAGCTGGGACTACAGGCGCACACCATTACACCTGGCTAATTTTTGTATTTTTTGTAGAGACAGGGTTTCACCATGTTGCCCAGATTGGTATTGAACTCCTGGACTCAAAGTGATCCTCCCACCTTGGCCTCCCAAAGGGCTGAGATTACAGGCATGAGTTACTGTGCTTGGACATAATAACTTTGAAAAAGGAAACAAATGATATGAAAAACAATTATATGTTATGCTCAGAAAATTAGGGTTATTTATCTATGATTATATAGTATATTGTGATGGAAATTGGAAGGTTTTGATTCTGGAAGCCTGAGTTTTGCCCACTGGAACAAACTTGATTTTTCTGCACAAGCACCCTCAATGATACTCAACACATCTGAGAGGCTGTATAGTTAGGAAACCAAAAGTAATATCAGTTCAAACTTAATTAAGCAGATGACATGATAAATTAGAGCATAAACTGCCACACTCATTTTAGGAGAACCTAAACTCAGATTTGAAAATGAAGTTATTTTCCAAGTCGTAGGAAAAATCACAGTTGTTTGGGAATATCCTATCTCATTCTTTAAGCAATGGGGACAGCTAAAAGTAAATGAATGGGATCTTTTTACCTGTTATATTTGGTTTAGTTGGCCTTCTCAATTCTTCTTGGATTAACTAGTTATTGTTATCATTTCAAATATAGACCTTTGCTATAAGAATCACACAAACATATTACGTATTCCTCAAATGTGATACAAAATCAAATTTATAATAAAGGCTTTTATTTAGACATTATCTCAGTTTAGTTATACTACTAAATTCACCAAGTTCATGTGTTCATTGAGCAGATATTTGTATATCCAGGCTATCTTCTAGGTGTTGGGTGAAACAGGTAAATAAACTTTGCACTTTCAAATATTTATATATTGTATAAGGATAAGCAGATATACATATGATAAACATGTATATATAAACATTATAAATGTACATATTTACTACATATGTAATGACTTAAACTGTTTCAGAGAGTGATAAATACTATGAATAAAAAAACTGAATTATGCAATAAAGAGTTGGCTGTGGGGGAACCAACCACAAATCACTTGAAAAATATTTAAAATATATGTTACTCATCTCTCTAAATCCTGTTAGACTTTTAGTCTAATTTATGATTCTCCTTCCTCGACTGAATTTGTATGTCTTCTCTCTCTTTTATAGAGCTGTTCTCTCTCTGTTCTGTTAGGTCTAACACAGCTAGAAAATTCTGATTGAATTCTAAATTAATTTCCTGGGGCTGCCATATGAGTTATCACAAAGTGGGTTGCATAAAACAACAGAAATTGGTTTGTTTGTTTTTTGAGATGGAGTCTCACTCTGTCACCCAGGCTGGAGTGCAGTGGCACGATCTCAGCTCACTGCAACCTCCATGTCCTGGGTTAAAATGATTCTCCTGCCTCAACTTCCTAAGCAGCTGGAACTACAGACACACGCCACCATGCCCAGCTAATTTTTGTATTTTTAGTAGAGACGAGGTTTCACCATGTTGGCCAGGCTGGTCTTGAACTCCTGACCTCAAGTCATCTGCCACCTTGGTCTCCCAAAGTGCTGAGATTACAGGCATGAGCCACCATGCCCAGCAAGAAATTTATTTTTTCATAGAAATGTATTCTCCCTATTCTGGAAGCTGGAAGTTAGACATCAAGATAGCAGCAGGACACGTTCTCTCTGAAGGCTCTTGGGGAGAAATTTTCCTTTACTTCTGCTAGTTGCTGGTGGTGGCTGGAAATTCCTGAAATTTCTTGGCTTACAGATGTATCACTCCAATACATGCCTTCACCTTCACATGGCCTTCTTCCCGGTGTGTCTGTGTCTAAAATTTCCCTCTTCTTTTAAGGATACCGTTAACTCATTAGGGCCCATCCTAACCCAGTATGCCTTTAACTTGATTTGATTATATTTGCAAGGACTATTTCCAAATAAGGTCATATTCACAGACTTTGGAGATTAGGATGCAAACTTATCTTTTTGGGGATACAATAATGGCCTCTATGGGAAGGGACCATTAGAATGAGGATCTGACTAATGAGAAAAAGAAAGCCCAAGGCAGCCCCGGGGAAAAATACTTCCATGTAAAGGACAGTATAAAAATCCTAAAGATGTTAAGGTTAAGAGGCAGAAAGACCAATGTGACTAAAGGGGGTTGTGGGGGGACAGGGGGGTGGTGCGGGGGGTGGAGAGAGAGAGAAAGTAAGTCAGGCCATACAGGCCATATATGTGGGTAAGAACCAAATCTCAGTGAGCTTTGTAAGCTGACATAAGAAGTTCTGATTTTATTTTATTCAACGTGAAGCTGAATAATTTTATTTGGAGAAAAGTTATTATCTATATTTTAAGGAAACCATCACACTTGTTGGCTGGGCGCTGTGGTTCACGCTTGTAATCCCAGCACTTTGGGAGGCTGTGGCTGCTGGATCACTTGAGGCCAGGAGTTCAAGACCAGCCTGGCCAACATGGTGAAATCCCCTTTCTACTAAAATCACAAAAGTCAGCCAGACTTGGTAGCATGCACCTGTAATCCCAGCTACTGGGGTGGCTGAGGCAGGAGAACTGCTTGAACCTGGGAGGCAGAGGTTGCAGTGAGCCAAGATCGTGCCACTGCACTCCAACCTGGGCCACAGAGCAAGACTCTGTCTCAAAAATAAAATAAAATAAAATAAAATAAAATAAAATAAAATAAAATAAAATAAAAATAAAACAAAATAAGACACATTTGTGATAGTTCACAGGAAAAACAGTGGAGCTAGAATGTGGTGGTAGCAGAAGAGTCAGTGGAGGAGAAAAATTTGGGGAAGCTGGTCCATCATTCAGAATTCATGAAATGGAATGTGAGGTGGGAGGAAGAGGGGAAATGAGATGATGAAAAGATGCCCAGGTGGGTATTGTTGCCATTAACTAAGACAAGATGGGCTGGGAGGGAAAGAAGATTGTGGACTATGGGGTGGAGTAGAGACTGAGTTGTGGTTTTTTGGTTGTTTTTGTTTTTCCTATGTCTATCTCCTCCATTGGTATAAATTCTTGAATGGAGAAAGTATACTGCTATGGTACAGAGTAAGCACTTGAAAAATATATGAAAAATGTATGTTATCCATCTCTCCAAAACCTGTTAGACTCTTCATTTAATTTATGACTTCCCTTCCTTCTTGACCCCATTTAAATGTTTTCTCTCTCTTTCATAGAGCTCTTCCTTCTTGGTTCTCTTGGGTTTAACACAGCTGGAAAATTATTTGCATGCATAAAGCCCACTTCCAAATGTCTCACACACAGGTGGTGGCTCTGTAGAAAAAGCAGGGACCTAGAGTCACAGGAACTGGGATAGCCATTCCATCTTAGCTATCTAACGTCCTACGCGATACTTAACTGCCCTACAGCTTAGTTATTTCTAGAATTTAACACGTTGCTGTGATAATTGCTTTAGATAATATATGGAGCATAATGTTGTGGCTAAAGCACACCATGAATCAGACATGGGAGAGGCAGAAGCCCCGACTAGGACAATGATTTGCGATGCAGCCGTTTGGTGAAAAGCCATCTGGCTTTGCATTCAGATAGACCCGAACAAAGACCAAGGCCCTGCATATTCATTTATTAACTGAGCCTCAGTTTCCACAAATGTCTGACTACCTACCCACCTTGTGGGACTGCGGTGATGATTTGAAAAGTGTATGAAAGGTGCCTAGGACAGGGGAAACATGAAATGTTACTTTCCCTCCCTCTTTCCTCTGCCCACGCGTGGATCCCTGCTTGACAGGATGCTGGGTATTTATGGTAATCATCTACCTAGTGTTCAATTTCAGAGAGTAATTTTTCACACGAGCTCTTCTCCAGCGTTTCTAAAAAAGAAATGAATTCGGCCTCTCTTACTATCGCCAAAATAAAGATAATTGATAACTGAGAGGAATGCCAGGGGTATAAGAGCAAAGTTAGGAAAACCTCTTAACTGTTTCCTAAAATGATGAATGTGTGGTCTAAACCAGAGGTGGGAGTTGAAAAGTGAGATGTCTTCTTGCTCCCTGTAGTTCTCGGGAGGGTGGAGGGGGGTCTCTAAAAAACTAAGTCTTGAGTTGTGCTACAGTCACTCAAGTCTCAGAGAAACAACAGCAAACTTCTGAAAAGGGGATTGGAGCTCTGCAGCATATCACTCTGATCCTTCTGCTACATCTCTTCTAAAAGATTGCACCCCTCTCAGCTCTAAAATGATCGGATGCCATGCTCATGGGATTTGGTTATAGGTAAAGGATCCAGCAACGAGGTCTTTCTCAAAATACCTGCTAAATAGATGCTGCCATCTGATGTGGTCTTTAATGGTTTTAGTGGCTCCTATGCAAGTAGAATATGATGAACTAAGCCTGAGATTTAGGCAGCATTCTGTTATTTCTTTTCTTTTCTTTTTTTAAAAGTATCTTTTGATATTAGTGACTTCCTGCCAGGAGTACAAAAAGGAAGGAAGGTGAGGGAGCCAGGACAGCCGATTCCGTTTTGACACAGCCTGGGCCTTTTGTGTAACCCCAGGGATTTGGGCCTCAGAAGCATGTAGGGCCAGTGGGCGCGTAACCTCGCAGCTGCTCATGGTACAGCCTCTGGCTGGGCTTCCTACTTCCCTCTGGACGAAGAGCTGGGGATGATCTGCAGCACGCTCTGTGAACACAGAACCTGATTGGACAAGGGGAATGTCCGGGAACTCGGTGTTCTGAAGTGTCTTTAAGGTTAGAAAAACAGAATGTTGGTAATGAGCTGGGAATTGAAAAGAGAGAACCAGCCGCAGTTGAAGTGAGCAGAATTTGCCAGAATGCTGTGCATATTTCTTTGGAAAGTCAAAATAAGTGAGCTTCAGACTAGACACTTAGCAGACCCTCAACATACACTTTGTGATTAATGAATAAATGCTCTTTATTCATGAATAGCATGGTTTGTTGTGAAATCCAATAAGGATCAATGGTTAAGCAACCAAGTAGAAATTGTCACCAGGAAGGAGAGTTGACTGTAGTTTCGTTGACTGCATGAAGCTGAAGCTCTGCAGTGTGTTAGGAGAGAAATAAGACTTGAATGCAAATACCTGCTCTAAAAAGCACCACTGAAAGTTATTCTCATACGCACTGATTCTCTATCCTGTTGCAAAGTAGGTTTAACAGAAGGAAAGGCATTTGTCATCCAGAAAGAAGCAGGCAGGACGCTGGAGCACTAAAGATGTACTTTGTCCACTATCCAGATTTGTAGGAGCTCAGCCTTTGGTTTGTTTAATCTAGGCTGGGGCACCAAAAATCAGCTTATGCCCCTCAGAAAAGTTCCTCAACTGTGCAGTCTAATCTGTTAAAAAAGGTTATGACGGTCGGCGGCTCACGCCTATCTCAGCACTTTGGGAGGCTGAGCCAAGAGGATCGCTTGAGCTCAGGAATTCAAAACTAGCTTGGTCAACATAGCAAGGACCTATATTTATAATTTTTTTAAAGGTTATGGTTCCAAGTTTTTACTATTGTAAATAGTGCTGCAATAAACATACTTGTGCATGTGTCTTTATAGTAGAATGATTTATAATCCTTTGGGTATATACCCATTATTGGGATTGCTGGGTCAAATGGTATTTCTGGTTCTAGATCCCTGAGGAATCGCCATACAGTCTTCCACAATGGTTGAACTTATTTACACTTCTACTAACAGTGTAAAAGCATTCCTATTTCTCCACATCCTCTCCAGCATCTGTTGTTTCCTGACTTTCTAATAAATGCCCGTCAATGATAGACTGGATAAAGAAAATGTGGCACATATACTCCATGGAACACTGAGCAGCCATAAAAAAATGAGTTCATGTCCTTTGCAGGGAGGGACATGGATGAAGCTGGAAGCCATCATTCTCAGCAAACTAATAAAGGAACAGAAAACCAAGCATCGCATGTCCTCACTTATAAGTGAGAGTTGAACAATGAGAACACATGGACACAGGGAGGGGAACATCACACACCAGGGCCTGTCAGCGGGTGGGTGACAAGGAGAAGGAGAGCATCAGGACAAATACCTAATGCATGTGGAGCTTAAAACCTAGATGATGGGTTGATAGGTGCAGCAAACCACCATGGCATTTGTATATCTATGTAACAAATCTGCATGTTCTGCACATGTATCCCGGAACTTAAAGTAAAATAAATAAAATTTTAAAAAAGGTTATGGTGGGTCCATTCTGTTTACAAAATCTACATGGTAGGACATATGGCATAGTTCAGTCAACATTTCAGCTGAACCCATTTTAATCACTAGAGGGATTATTTAATGCGGGTAGTTTCTAAATAATTCTAAAGTAAAACTTAGAATGCAGTTAACTAGAAATAACACTTAATGAGATTTGTGAGCGTATGTAGAATATTATACCTTGAGAAGAAAAACGACAAAAGATAACACAGTAAGTTGACATCAGGGACTTTTCATAAAGTAAAATTATGGGAAAATAAATGAAAGTCAGTACATGCTAATGGACTCAGTAAACACTTATTTGATATTGTTCAGTGATCAATATCAAACACTTATTTGATATCAAACACTTATTTGACTCAAACTGGGAGCTCCGTTGACCCTTACCCCCACCTCTATCCAGATCACTAGACCCCATTGCATTTACTTCCAACGTTAATCAATGTTCAAAACAACTACAAAGTTCAGAGACTATGATCCATTTCCTCTGCATCTGAGACTTAAAATCCATAATATGCTCTTTTTGAGTGCTAATCTATGAGTGATCCTGAAACACATTACTATACTAAAAGCTACGTTCTGTTCCTTCCCAGAACAGCCTTAACCCATTTAGACTGTCTAAAAACTTAGGTTTGACATAATCTAGCAGAAAACTAAGTTTCTCTCTAGAGGTACATGCTTAGATTTTATGCAGTTATATGAACTTGCCCGGCATTTTAGGTAGTCCTAATCGATATATCAACAAATAGTAAATTAGCTGCAGGTCAGTTTTTCATGCCATGCCTTCTAAAACAGGTGACTGTTGAGTAGGGAGTGTGGTTAGCTCTTGGGAGTGTATTTATCAACTTTTACCCAGAGCTACTCAGGACCTAACCCCATACCCAACAGTGCCACTAGTGTCCTTTGCCATTGTCCTCTTCTCACTACCTTGGTCCTCCAGCTTCCTTTTCATTATCCCTCTATAAATGGAAGAAGGGACACTTTGGGATGTTTGAAGGAGTGACTAACACGACTAATAAACATATATAGTATTTGTTTCTCTAGGAGACAGCAAAGTGGATGGAAGGCATTAGAAATAAAATTGAAACTTTATTTTATTAAGTAGAAGGACAAATACACAAAGAAAGACATGAATGAGTGTCCGTATGGTCCAAATTATTGAGATATTTTTATATGGTCCTACAATTTAGTTAAAGAGATATTTTTAAAACAACTCCAAAAATGATGGTCGTGTAGTGCTGGATTATCTATCAGTGCAGGGTAGTTTTGTTGAAGGTCTTACAGAAAATTGCCCAAAACAGCAGCAGCAACAACTCATTACGCAAAAGTTTATTGAAGAAAATGAAAACTATCTCCCCTGCACAGCAGTGGAAAGGTCATTAAAATTATCTAGTTGAGAGGTGTTCAAACTGCACGTTATGGCACGCTAGTGAGTTCTGAGATCGGTTCCATGGGCTGGGAGCAGTTTTTTGTAAAAAATGATACAATAGAATACAATAGAATGAAAAACAATACAGGGCATAAGGCTAGTAAATTTACTGCTTTTTGAAACTTGTGTTTCAGTTATAATATGTATCAATTATATTTGTGCCCTACACACACACACACACACAAATATCCTTTTTAAAACTTTTAAAATTTTTTTTCTTATACTTTAAGTTTTAGGGTACATGTGCACAACGTGCAGGTTTGTTACATACGTATACATGTGCCATGTTGGTGTGCTGCACCCATTAACTCGTCATTTAACACTAGGTATATCTCCTAATGCTATATCTCCCCCCTCCCCCCACCTCCCAGCAGGCCCCGGTATGTGATGTTCCCCTTCCTGTGTCCTTGTGTTCTCATTGTTCAATTCCCGCCTATGAGTGAGAACATGCGGTGTTTGGTTTTTTGTCCTTGCGGTAGTTTGCTGAGAATGATGGTTTCCAGCTTCATCCATGTCCTTATGAAGGGCATGAACTCATCCTTTTTTATGGCTACGTAGTATTCCATGGTGTATATGTGCCACATTTTCTTAATCCAGTCTATCATTGTTGGACATTTGGGTTGGTTCCAAGTCTTTGCTATTGTGAATAGTGCCGCAATAAACATATGTGTGCATGTGTCTTTATAGTAGCATGATTTATAATCCTTTGGGTATATACCCAGTAATGGGATGGCTGAGTCAAATGGTATTTCTAGTTCTAGATCCCTGAGGAATCGCCACACTGACTTCCACAATGGTCGAACTAGTTTATAGTCCCACCAACAGTGTAAAAGTGTTCCTATTTCTCCACATCTTGTCCAGCACCTGTTGTTTCCTGACTTTTTAATGAACGCCATTTTAACTGGTGTGAGATGGTATCTCATTGTGGTTTTGATTTGCATTTCTCTGATGGCCAGTGATGATGAGCATTTTTGCATGTGTTTTTTGCCTGCATAAATGTCTTCTTTTGAGAAGTGTCTGTTCATTTCCTTCGCCCACTTGTTGATGGGGTTGTTTGTTTTTTTCTTGTAAATTTGTTTGAGTTCATTGTAGATTCTGGATATTAGCCCTTTGTCAGATGAGTAGGTTGCAAAAATTTTCTCCCATTCTGTGGGTTGCCTGTTCACTCTGATGGTAGTTTCTTTTGCTGTGCAGAAGCTCTTTAGTTTAATTAGATCCCATTTGTCAATTTTGGCTTTTGTTGCCATTGCTTTTGGTGTTTTAGACATGAAGTCCTTGCCCATGCCTATGTCCTGAATGGTATTGCCTAGGTTTTCTTCTAGGGTTTTTATGGTTTTAGGTCTAACATTTAAGTCTTTAATCCATCTTGAATTAATTTTTGTATAAGGTGTAAGGAAGGGATCCACTTTCAGCTTTCTACATATGGCTAGCCAGTTTTCCTAGCACCATTTATTAAATAGGGAATCCTTTCCTCATTTCTTGTTTTTGTCAGGCTTGTCAAAGATCAGATAGTTGTAGATATGTGGCATTGTTTCTGAGGGCTCTGTTCTGTTCCATTAGTCTATATCTATGTTTTGGTACCAGTACCATGCTGTTTTGGTTACTGTAGCCTTGTAGTATAGTTTGAAGTCAGGTAGCGTGATGCCTCCAGCTTTGTTCTTTTGGCTTAGGATTGACTTGGCAATGTGGGCTCTTTTTTGGTTCCATATGAACTTTAAAGTAGTTTTTTCCAATTCGGTGAAGAAAGTCATTGGTAGTTTGATGGGGATGGCATTGAATAAATAAATTACCTTGGGCAGAATGGCCATTTTCACAATGTTGATTCTTCCTACCTATGAGCATGGAATGTTCTTCCATTTGTTTGTATCCTCTTTTATTTCATTGAGCAGTGGTTTGTAGTTCTCCTTGAAGAGGTCCTTCACATCCCTTGTAAGTTGGATTTCTGGGTATTTTATTCTCTGTGAAGCAATTGTGAATGGGAGTTCACTCATGATTTGGCTCTCTGTTTGCCTGTTATTGGTGTATAAGAATGCTTGTGATTTTTGCACACTGATTTTGTATCCTGAGACTTTGCTGAAGTTGTCTATCAGCTGAAGGAGATTTTGGGCTGAGATGATGGGGTTTTCTAGATATACAATCATGTCATCTGCAAACAGGGACAATTTGACTTCCTCTTTTCCTAATTGAATCCCTTTATTTCCTTCTCCTGCCTGATTGCCCTGGCCAGAACTTCCGACACTATGTTGAATAGGAATGGTGAGAGAGGGCATCCCTGTCTTGTGCCAGTTTTCAAAGGGAATGCTTCCAGTTTTGCCCATTCAGTATGATATGGCTGTGGGTTTGTCATAGATAGCTCTTATTATTTTGAGATACGTCCCATCAATACCTAATTTATTGAGAGTTTTTAGCATGAAGTGTTGTTGAATTTTGTCAAAGGCCTTTTCTGCATCTATTGAGATAATCATGTGGTTTTTGTCTTTGGTTCTGTTTATATGCTGGGTTACATTTATTGATTTGCATATGTTGAACAAGGCTTGCATCCCAGGGATGAAGCCCACTTGGTCATGGTGGATAAGCTTTTTGATGTGCTGCTGCATTCGGTTTGCCAGTATTTTATTGAGTATTTTTGCATCGATGTAAATCAGGGATATTGGTCTAAAATTCTTTTTGTTGTGTCTCTGTCCAGCTTTGGTATCAGGATGATGCTGGCCTCATAAAATGAGTTAGGGAGGATTCCCTCTTTTTCTATTGATTAGAATAGTTTCAGAAGGAATGGTACCAGCTCCTCCTTATACCTCTGGTAGAATTCGGCTGCGAATCCATCTGGTCCTGGACTTTTTTTTGTTGGTAAGCTATTAATTATTGCCTCAATTTCAGAGTCTGTTTTTGGTCTATTCAGAGATTCAACTTCTTCCTGGTTTAGTCTTGGGAGGGTGTATGTGTTGAGGAATTTATCCATTTCTTCTGGATTTTCTAGTTTATTTGCGTAGAGGTGTTTATAGTATTCTCTGATGGTAGTTTGTATTTCTGTGGGATCGGTGGTGATATCCCCTTTATCATTTTTTATTGCATCTATTTGATTCTTCTCTCTTTTCTTCATTAGTCTTGCTAGTGGTCTATCAATTTTGTTGATCTTTTCAAAAAAACCAGCTCCTGGATTCAATGATTTTTTTGAAGGGTTTTTTGTGTCTCTATCTCCTTCAGTTCTGCTCTGATCTTAGTTATTTCTTGCTTTCTGCTAGCTTTTGTATGTGTTTGCTCTTGCTTCTCTAGTTCTTTTAACTGTGATGTTAGGGTGTTAATTTTAGATCTTTCCTGCTTTCTCTTGTGGGCATTTAGTGCTATAAATTTCCCTCTACACACTGCTTTCAATGTGTCCCAGAGATTCTGGTATGTTGTGTCTTTGTTCTCATTGGTTTCAAAAAACATCTTTATTTCTGCCTGCATTTCGTTATGTACCCAGTAGTCATTCAGGAGCCGATTGTTTAGTTTCCATGTAGTTGAGCAGTTTTGAGTGAATTTCTTAATCCTGAGTTCTAGTTTGATTGCACTGTGGTCTGAGAGACAGTTTGTTATAATTTCTGTTCTTTTACATTTGCTGAGGAGTCAGTTTTGGAATAGGTGTGATGTGGTGCTGAAAAGAATGTATATTCTGTTGATTTGGGGTGGAGAATTCTATAGATGTCTATTAGGTCCACTTGGTGCAGAGCTGAGTTCAATTCCTGGATATCCTTGTTAACTTTCTGTCTCATTAATCTGTCTAATGTTGACAGTGGGGTGTTAAAGTCTCCTATTATTATTGTGTGGGAGTCTAAGTCTCTTTGTAGGTCTCTAAGGACTTGCTTTATGAATCTGGGTGCTCCTGTATTGGGTGCTTATATATTTAGGATAGTTAGTTCTTCTTGTTGAATTGATCCCTTTACCATTATGTAATGGCCTTCTTTGTCTCTTTTGATCTTTGTTGGTTTAAAGTCTGTTTTATCAGAGACTAGGATCACAATCCCTGCCTCTTTTTGTTTTCCATTTGCTTGGTGGATCTTCCTCCATCCCTTTATTTTGAGTCTACATGTGTCTCTGCACGTGAGATGGTTTTCCTGAATACAGCTCACTGATGGGTCTTGACTTTTTAATCCAATTTGCCAGTCTGTGTCTTTTAATTGGAGCATTTAGCCCATTTACATTTAAGGTTAATATTGTAATGTGTGAGTTTTTGATGCTGTCATTATGATGTTAGCTGGTTGTTTTGCTCATTAGTTGATGCAGTTTCTTCCTTGCCTCAATGGTCTTTACCATTTAGCTTGTTTTTGCAGTGGCTGGTACCGGTTGTTCCTTTCCATATTTAGTGCTTCCTTCAGGAGCTCTTTTAGGGCAGGCCTGGTGGTGACAAAATCTCTCAGCATTTGCTTATCTGTAAAGGATTTTATTTCTCCTTCACTTATGAAGCTTAGTTTGGCTGAATAGGAAATTCTGGGTTGAAAATTCTTTTCTTTAAGAATGTTGAATATTGGCCCCCACTCTCTTCTGCCTTGTAGAGTTTCTGCCAAGAGATCAGCTGTTAGTCTGATGGGCTTCCCTTTGTGGGTAACCCGACCTTTCTCTGTGGCTGCCCTTAACATTTTTTCCTTCATTTCAACTTTGGTGAATCTGACAATTATGTGTCTTGGAGTTGCTCTTCTCAAGGAGTTTCTTTGTGGCATTCTCTGTATTTCCTGAATTTGAATGTTGGCCTGCCTTGCTAGATTGGGGAAGTTCTCCTGGATAATATCCTGCAGAGTGTTTTCCAACATGATTCCGTTCTCCCTGTCTCTTGCAGGTACACCAATCAGAGGTAGATTTGGTCTTTTCACATAGTCCCATATTTCTTGGAGGCTTTGTTAGTTTCTTTTTATTCTTTTTTCTCTAAACTTCTCTTCTCGCTTCATTTCACTCATTTGATCTTCCATCACTGATACCCTTTCTTCCAGTTGATCAAATCGACTACTGAGGCTTGTGCATTTGTCACATAGTTCTCATGCCATGGTTTTCAGCTCCATCAGGTCCTTTAAGGCCTTCTCTGCATTGGTTATTCTAGTTAGCCATTCATCTAATCTTTTTTCAAGTTTTTTAACTTCTTTGCCATGGGTTTTAACTTTCTCCTTTAGCTCTGAGTAGTTTGATCATCTGAAGCCTTCTTCTCTCAACTTGTCAAAGTTATTCTCTGTCCAGCTTTGTTCCGTTGCTGCTGAGGAGCTGCACTCCTTTGGAGGAGGAGAGGCACTCTGATTTTTAGAATTTCCAGTTTTTATGCTGTGTTTTTTCCTCATCTTTGTGGTTTTATCTACCTTTGGTCTTTGATGATGGTGACATACAGATGGGGTTTTGGTGTGGATGTCCTTTCTGTTAGTTAGTTTTCCTTCTAACAGTCAGGACCCTCAGCTGCATGTCTGTTGGAGTTTGCTGGAGGTCCACTCCAGATCCTGTTTGTCTGGGTGTCAGCAGTGGAGGCTGCAGAACAGTGGATATTGGTTAACAGCAAATGTTGCTATCTGATCATTCCTCTGGAAGTTTTGTCTCAGAGGAGTATCCGGCCATGTGAGGTGTCAGTCTGCCCTTACTGGGGCCTGCCTCCCAGTTGGGCTACTCGGGGGTCAGGGACCCACTTGAGTAGGCAGTCTGTCCATTCTCAGATCTCAAGCTGCATGCTGGGAGAACCACTACTCTTTTCAAAGCTGTCAGACAGGGACATTTAAGACTGTAGAGGTTTCTGATGCCTTTTGTTTGGCTGTGCCCTGCCCCCAGAAGTGGAGTCTACAGAGGCAGGCAGGCCTCCTTGAGCTGCAGTGGGCTCCACCCAGTTCGAGCTTCTGGGCTGCTTTGTTTACCTACTCAAGCCTTGGTTATGGCAGGTGCCCCTCCTCCAGGCTTGCTGCTGCCTTGCAGTTTGATCTCAGACTGCTGTGCTAGCAATGAGCGAGGCTCTGTGGGCGTATGACCCTCTGAACCATGCACGGGATATAATCTCCTGGTGTGCCGTTTGCTAAGACTGTTGGAAAAGCACAGTATTAGGGTGGGAGTGACCCAATTTTCAAGGTGCCGTCTGTCTCCCCTTTCCTTGGCTTGGGAAGGGAATTCCCTGACCCCTTGCACTTCCCAGGTGAGGCGATGCCTCATCCTGCTTCAGCTTACACTTGGTGTGCTGCACCCACTGTCCTGCACCCACTGTCTGACAGTCCCCCCTAAGATGAACCCGGTTCCTCAGTTGGAAATGCAGAAATAATTCATCTTCTGGTTCGCTCCTGCTGGGAGCTGTAGATTGGAGCTGTTCCTATTCAGCCATCTTGGCTCCACCCCACTTTTTAATTTTTTTAAATCAGAGTCTCATTCTGTCGCCCAGGCTAGAGTGCAGTGGTGTGATTCCAGCTCACTGCAACCTCCACCTCCCGGGTTCAAGCGATTCAGCCTCTGGAATAGCTGGGGCTACAGGCGCACACCTCCATGCCCAGCTAATTTTTTGTATTTTTAGTAGAGATGGGGTTTCTCCATGTTGACCAGGCCGGTCTCGAACTCCTGACCTCAAGTGATCCACCCACTTAGGCCTCTCAAAGTGCTGGGATTACAGGTGTGAGCCACCACACTTGGCCTGTTCTTTTATTATAATAACTGAAACAAACCCGTTACACTATTATATGTGTGTGTAACTTGGTGACATAGGCTACAGGTCATAGGCAAAAAATAAGATAAATAAAAATAAACACTAATCTACTCCCACTAATGACATGCCCCTGCTCTACACCTGCTTGGTTGTCATCCTGACTCTATGTGAATGCCGTCACTGCTTATTCTTTCATGAACTCTCTCTTTAATTTTGCTGAATCAAAATATGTCTTCCTGGAACTTACTGATTAGCCCAATTGCTATCTATCCCTAGACGCCTTTCAGACAAGCTTAGTTTTTCTTCCGCACAATAACCCTTCAAACATTTGAACCGAGAGATGTTGTCCCTGCTGAGGTTTCGCTTCACCTCACAAAGCATTCTGGGCTTCAACTCAGTTGATGTTATGAACCTTTGCTGATTAAATTTCTCTATATACCCTCACCTGTTTGAGCTGCGTATAGCTCTTAGAAAGATAGAATTAGATTGTCCTGCAAAGAGAAGAGCCAGATGTGGCTACACCCTGATCAGGAAAAGAAAAGAAAAGAAACAGGCGACGAGCTTCAGGAATGGCGCTGGGTATCATTTACGATACTACTTATAACATCTGGGAAGCTCATGTAAGAAGTTTTATTTCCCTTATGGATCCCTCTTGGAGAATGATTGAAGTGTGGCAACGTCACAAAGCTCAGCCAGAAGCACACATTGAGCGAATTGGAGTGAGGACTGGGAAGAGATAGTTCATAAAGACTTATTTTGGCTTTAGTCATAGATTTTAGAAACGCACACGCTAGTATAAATACATATAAATATCTCATGCTCACTTCCTGAGAAAAACATGCTAGTTTATGTTCACAACTGTTTTCTTTTTAAAGAAGCTGTAAATACCAGGGCCTCAATATCTGAATCTGAACAGCTAATTAAAATTTTTAAAAAAGAACAGCTTATCTTCCATTCCTTTTTTAGGAAACATTTCAAATATAGACTGATGATTTAACAAAAGACAGCTGTTTCATTTCACATGCAAAAACATCATGTGAAAAGCGGCACTTCTAAAAAATTGTTTTGGCTGTAATTCTTTTCAATAAAGTTGCAGATTTTTCACCATAATTCGACAGAAACCCTTTGAAAATGCATTTCACCAGATTTGTTTTTTGAAATTTGTATTGCTTCAGAATTTATTCCTATTTCCTCTCTATGATCCAAAATAAATGTTAGAATTGAAATTTCTAAATTAAACTATTACTCTTTCTTATCAGCAATAATTAAAGATTAAAAATGTATTTAACAAAATTTGTTAAAAGAAAAATGTTAGCTGATTAGTTTTAAAAAGAGATCAACCACAGCTATGGAAGAATAGAAACCTAGAATAGACCTTGTGTGAAAATGACCCCAAACAACTAATTGCTTAGGAGAATGATTGTCACTTCAGTTGTTAAGTATAGAAAAATGAAAAACACTCAACATCAGAAAAATAGAAACAACACAGCCACTAGGCAGCAGTTTCATCTTTGTATGTTGCTTATCCCTCCCTGGGCTAAATACTAATTATTTTGTATGTGAAAGAATTCTAAAACTATTTAAAATTTACTTCATGCCAGGCATCATTTTGGGTTCTGGATTTATACATAAGTTGAGTGAAGAAAGCTACAGGCAATGTTGACTTCTTGACAATTTTTACTGAAAACGAATAAAGAATTAAACTTACATTTCAGATTTCTCCTCTGAGCTCTGGTTTCCTATATTCAGCTGCCTCCTTGGCTGTGCTGCAGGCATTTCAGCTTTACTGCTTTGCATGTCTGAACTCTCGATCTTTCTCTCATGCCCTCTCCACCTTCACCTGCCCCACCTCAGCCTTCCTGACCAACCTGCTCAAGACTCAACCTGGGAGCTCCGTTGACCCTTACCCTACCCTCTATCCAAATCACCAGATCCCATTGCATTTGCTTCCAAAATGCCTTTCAAATAATCTGCTTGCTCTCTGAAACCACGATTGTTCTTTTTTGGTTGTTGTCTTTAATGGCCCAACAGCCAAAGTGCAAAGGGTCATTACAGGAATTAAATAAAATTGCATATGTTGTTATTTAACATTACTATAAAAACAATCCTTTTATTAAGTGATCTAGGGACTTTGAACATAGTGACAAAGGTAGATCCAATCCCTGCTTCTGATAGAGATAGGCTTTAAATGAGTACTCCCCAAAATAAATGTATGTTTGCAAACTCTAGTAAGTGCTAGTAAAGAAGAGCAATGGGTATATTGGCAGGAATTAGGAAAGCTCAGTGAGCAAAGTGACTTCAGAAGAAAACAAAATCTAAATACTTGAGCAGTTTTCCTTCCATGCCTGTAACCTTTTAAAGACTGCCATTTGCACTTGGGATAACATTTTAAATCTCTAACATGACCTTCAGCACCCTGCAGCATTCGGCTTCTGCCTGCCAATCTAGCCTTGTCTTCCTCTCCTCTCCTCATTTGTTTCTGTTCCCCATATATGTTGTCTTTATGTCTGCTTTTCTGTCTTCTAACTCATTCCTACCACAGGGCCTTTGCACAGGATGTTCCTTCCGTCTCCAAAGCTCCTTGCTGTGCTCTTTCACAGGCTTTCCAGGACGCGACCAATTTAAATGAAGCCTCGCCTTGTTTCTCTTTTATGTCTTTGGATGATTTCATTCGCTAGCATGTGTAAACATTTTCTTCATATAATTACAAGTTTACTTATTTGTTTAAAGTCTGTTTTCTTCTTTAGACCTCATGTTCCACAAACACAAGGGTCATTTCCATTTCCCTCTCAATGTACGCCTGACACGGAGTAGGCATTCAACAAATATTTGTGAATAAATCTATAAATCACTGAATAAGTTCATGAAAAGACAAATGGAAGAAAGCTGCAGTAGAATCTTTAAACTGTAGGAGACGAATAGATAATGTGTATAATAAGAAGCTATGCCACGATAGAAAAGAACACAGAATTTGAAATTAGAAAATAAAAGTTCCAGGGTTAGCTCTTCATTTAATTAGCTCTAAGATTTTGGAAAACTCATTTAACTTCTGTAATCTAATGTTTTTTCATCTGTAAAATGAAGATAATACCAGTGATGTAGTGAAAGTCAAATGAGATAATATATGTGAACGTGCTTTTTAAATTTGAACACGGCATGAATTTTTTTGTGTTAAAGCAAAAATGAACAGGGATAATTCAGCTGATGTTTAAAGTACAAATTTCAGATTGCTGGCCTCTACACTCCAGTCGCATTCAGGAAATTGCCGCAGAGGTAAACTAGTGCACAAAGACATCATCAAAGTAAATTCTGTGCACTTAATTTCTTTTGCCTATTAATGTAGTAATTAAATAACTGTTCATTGGATGTACACTGTGTACCAGCTGCTATACCATGCACTAAAGCTATAAGTAAGAATGCACCATCATTTTTAATTTAAAAAGATAAACCTAAGGCACAGTGCATGGCAAAAGGAGGAGCAACAAAGATTAAGGAAACTCTTGGCAGAAAAGATTTTGGAGATATAAAAAAATTTTGGAAATGAAATCAGGTTTTACACTTAGCACGGACATATTGTTTAGCCTCAATGAGTCCAATTCCTTACTTGTGTTGAAAATTAAGGTCAATAATACCTACCTCCAATATGGTTGTAAAGAGTCATTTAGTTATTAGATGTAGAAAACCAGATATACTAGTCACTTAAGAAATTTTTGTTTTCTTCTTTACCTTTTTTTTCTAAAATCTCTTTATTGGACACAAAACTAAGGAAGCTCATTTATTGCTGGCAAATAAATACTAAATCTCTTTGTATAATGAACAAATACAGGAAAACTGATGCACAGAAGAAAATACGCTAGACCAGAAGCTGCTTCTTTTAATCAGTCTTCATTATTATCTTCTGTCTTTACTGCAGAAAGCACAATTCCGTAAGGTGTCCACATGCAATTTGTGAATCTTGCGAATATCTTTTTAGATCCTGTTATCCACATCATTCACTGAAAATATTTATATAAAGAAGGGAAAGAACAGGATGGCAACAGTAAACACCTTTCCAAGCATACATAGTTACCTTTGGCAAAAAGGATCAGCAAATCATAACCTTAGGGCATGTGTCACATTTCTGGGAAACAGAAACTGACATTGTTTCCCTGCAGATGGTCCTGTCCTCTAAACAATTTTGAAACTCCTTAATCTCTCAAATTCATCTGAATGCTTGTAGGCAGTACTCAAGGAGAGCTGTTCAATGTCATGTAAAAATATAATCCAGACTTTCTGAAGACAGAGCTTGCAGCTAATTTGAAAGCAATGCAGGATAGAGTTTAAGATTATGGACTTTGCAGTCAAGTAGCCCTGGCTTCAGGTTGTCTTACAGCTGAAGGGTGAGGGGAGTATATTATTTTCCCATTACTGCTGTAAAAAACTGACATGAATTTAGTGAGTTATAATAAACACAAATTTATTATCTCATAGTTTAGAATGCCAGATGTCTAAAATGGGTCTGCAGGAATCTGTTCTTTCTGGAGGATCTAGGCAAGAATCTGTTTCCTTGCCTGTTCCAGTTTCTAACTGTTGTCCACATTCCTTGGAGCACGGCTCCTTCCTCCATCTTCAAAGACAATAACCCAGCATCTTCTCTCCTTTCTGACCTTCTGACTCCTTCTTATAAGAACTCATGATTACATGGGCTGCCCCGGATAATCCAAGCTAAATCTCCACATCTGAAGATGTTTAACTTGTTCATACCTGCAAAAGCTCTTTTGCTATTTAAAGTTCCCTTTTGCTTATATTCATAAATTTCAGGGATTAAAACATGGACCTCTTATGGAGCCATCATTCCATTTATTACATCATTCCATTTATTGCCTCAGTTCTCTTATCTTTGATTTAAGATCTGCAATAGTTCCTATTGCAAAGGGTCGTTATGAGAATTAAATATAATTGCATATGCTGTCATTTAACATTACTATAAAAACAATCCTTTTATTAAGTGACCTTGGAACTTTGAACATAGTGAGAAAGGTAGATCCAATCCCTGCTCTTGATAGGGCCTTTAAATGAGAATCCCCCAAATAAAGATATGTTTGCAAACTCTAATACAAAGTGCTAAGGAAGAGTAATGGGTATGTTGGCAAGAATTAGGAAAGCCTCTCTGAGAAAGTAGCTTTTAGTTGAGATTGTATGAATAACCAGGAATTACCTACCCGAGACAAAAAGTATAAAAGAACATTCCAGAAAAAGGAAAAAGATGTGCAAATCCTCACTACAGGAATGAATGTGGTGTATCCAAGGAATCTGAAGGCATAAAGACATAGCAGGTCATGTTCAAAGAGGTCATGCAAAGTTTACTTCAAGAGTGGTTCAATCAGAGTGCTTACTAGGAAATATGGCTCTGGGTGTTGTGTAGGGAATTTGGGGCAAGAGGCAAATCAGGAGAGCCAGGAAAGTGAGTTACTTGATCTTAGTCTAGCAAGAGATGATACAGTATTTTAGGCTGGGGTCCCTAGGAAGCAAACTCTGAGATGCAGATCAGCAGTCAGGTGACTGGTTGTAGAGTGCTGTTGGGATCAATGCCTGCAGATGGGAAAGATGCAGGATTGGACAGAGGGAGATCTCAGCCTACCCTGAAAGGTGCTCTGAAGTTTAGATGACCCCTTAGAGTTGATACGGACAAGGAGAGCAGGATTTTACACCACCATGTGGATCAGTCACTGGATATAGCTGCACCTGGAAGGGAAAAAGGGTACCCTTAGGTGACATAAACTTCTTCAGTAGTATCAGTCCCTGAAGCGGGCTGATAGCTAAGCACCTGGGAAAATCTTAAAGGGAATTCTGGATCATGCATCACAGCATCCACCATATGAAGGGCTGGCATAAATGGCAATGAAAATAGAGAGAAAGTAGATGGCTTTGGGAACATTTTCTAGATAGAACTGACAGAACTTGGCCATAGATTATGTGTAGGGAGAGAAAGAAAAGGAGTTATTAAGGATCATAGCCAGGTTTATTTTATAACAGAATGAATATGTATAACATATTTTTATATATTTGTATTGATTAGTTAGATGAATAAATGAGTTTAACACTTCAGAGGCCAGGGCTAGGTAGGGATCAAAATTTAGGAGTAATCAATAAGTAGGGTATCAGAAAAAGCATGAGCCCACATAAGAATCACTTCAAGAAAGAACATAGTATAAGAAGGTTGAGGCCAGGCACAGTGGCTCACGCCTGTAATCCCAGCACTTTGGGAGGCCGAGGCGAGTGGATCACCTGAGGTCAGGAGTTCGAGACCAGCCTGCCCAACATGGAGAAACCCCATCTCTACTAAAAAAAAAATACAAAATTAGCTTGGCATGGTGGTTCATGCCTGTAATCCCAGCTACACGGGAGGTTGAGGCAGGAGAGTCACTTGAACCAGGAGGCGGAGGTTGTGGTGAGCAGAGATCACGCCATTGCACTCCAGCCTGGGCAACAAGAGCAAAACTCCGTCTCAAAAAAAAAAAAAAAAAAAAAAAAAAAAAGAACTTTGATAAATCCTTGAGTTATGACAATAATTAAGAGAGGTTTTGTGAATCTCTTGTCCTCTGCTTGGCACATAATAAAAGCTCAGTAAATCCTTGTTGCCATAATAATAATTTTTTTTTAAATTTAGCAAGGGAAACGATGCTGCCACAAAGGTGTGCTATATAGGCCTGTAAATCCATAGACATAGACAGCAGAACAAAGGGCTCTTCTGGAACCCTTGGAAAAACTGGAACACACATGAGCTGCATGGTTGGAGAGTTGACCACTGGCACACCTGGAAATGTCTTTCAAGGAGGCATCCTTCAGAAGAGATCAGCCTGGGCTCCTGTTTGTTATTCATTCCTCGCATCTAATTTTTCAGCAATCGTCTTAGCTTTACCTTCACAATATGCCAGAATTGGATCAGTTCTCACTACCTCCACATTCTCCCTAGTGGAAGCCTTCATCCTCTCTTTCTTGGATTATTGAACATCTCCTGACTAGTCTTCCTGCTCCCCACTCCCTGCTTGCTTCCCTGAAATCTATTCTCTTCTAAGAAGTGTCAGTAAGCTTTTAAAATTATAAGGAAAACCATGCCATTTCTCTGCTCCAAATTCTCCAAAGCCCACCTGTCTCCTAACAGTGTACGAGCTAAATCCACAATCAAAGCCTGTGAGGTTGCACACAGCCTGCTCCTGCCCTCTTTCCACTGCCTACTCGCCCTTACCTCATCTCCTCCCACTCTGCCCTGCTCACTCTGCTCTGACCACACTGGTCCCTGGCTGTTCTCCATACACTCTTTGCACACTCTTTTCTTCAACCTTCTGCACTTGCTTCTCTGGCAGCACCCTTCCTACAGATATCCATATAGCTGACTGCCTCCTTCACCACCTTCAAGTCTTTGCACAATGTCTCATTACAAGAAGCTGTGCCTGAATATCCTAGGAAAATCTCAACCCTCTCCTTCCACTCCTGTACAACTCTGCTTCATTTTTACTCATAATATTCCTTACTCTGACATGATATATATTATAAATGTATGTTTCTATTGTCTATTTCCCAGTAGAACATAAACTTCATTAAGGTAAAAAAGGGATTCTTTGCATGGTTTGGTTAGGTTGGTTTTGTTTGGTTTTCTGTTTCATTTCCAATGCCTCAAAAAGTTCTGGCTAATAACACACCTTTAATAAATATTGATTAAATAAATGAGTGGATAAACGAGTAAGTGAATGAATGAATTAAAATATAAGGAGAGTCTCTAACTTAATTTCCTAGTGAGGTACCTTCCCCACGGTGTCTCCCTTTGCGCATTTTCTAGATCTTACTTGACTAGATAAAAAGAAAAACGAAAAGACCTGTCCTGCTTTCTTAAAGGACTAGAAAGCGGACCAGGCGTAAGATCCACAAAGAGAATCTCCAGGACCCTTTGAAGCTCACATTTAGCATATGACAACTCCATAGGTCAGTGAGGACACTGGCTGGCTTGAATATTGTGGAAGACAGGAAGAACACATTTATATGCTTCCAAAGAAGTTATTGCTCTATGTCTGGGTAATGCCAAAATAAATTTGAAAACAAAAGATCACCTCGTTCATTTTGGGCACTGTGCACGTAAAACACTTGATTAACTTTTCCTGCTGGCTTTTTTGATAGCTATTGTTGTGGATGTATACACAAGCCTAAGGAGATAGCCTCTACTATTCATATTATTACTACACCCAAATTACAATGGTCTTCAGTGACACTTAGCACTTGTACACAATCTCTGAAAAGTCACCGTTTCAAGCTGTGTCATGTCAGCGTTTTGTATGTAAAATCCCATCCTAGAATTGATCACACCCCAAATTATTATCCTTGATTGCTCAGCTTTCTCTCAGTAGCTCTGGAGTTGCCCCTGATATGGATGTCCAAAGGGCACTGATGTGGACTGCCAAATGTTTGCAGTGCACTTTAATTACTTCTCTGCGAACGAAAGCTTTCCTGTAGTTAGCAGAACCCCTTGTTCTAACTGTCGTTTGGGAAGATTTGAGAGTCTAAGCAACCTCGTTTATGTCTTATCTTTGCATTTTCCTGTATTCAGCTATTTTCTTAAAGGAAGGCCCAGGTCTGTATTATCCTACTGCCACATAGGAAGTAAAATGAGTACTCACAGCCTTGCGCCTAATCACTGAACACAGCTTTTAGTAATGTTTTACACAAGAACAGGATATTGGCAACTCAACTGTTAAGCCTTTCTGTGATTATTCTTCCTTGAGATCACTCTGATGTCACCAGTGTAATTTGAGCCTGGAGCTTTTGTTCACACTTTAAATAGCAGTCCCAGAATGATTTCACTACAGACTCTCTGGAAAGCCTGGGAGCTGAATTCCGGAAGATCCCCACATCGATGAAAGCAAAGCGAAGCCACCAAGCCGTCATCATGTCCACGTCGCTACGAGTCAGCCCATCCATCCATGGCTACCACTTCGACACAGCCTCTCGTAAGAAAGCCGTGGGCAACATCTTTGAAAACACAGACCAAGAATCACTAGAAAGGCTCTTCAGAAACTCTGGAGACAAGAAAGCAGAGGAGAGAGCCAAGATCATTTTTGCCATAGATCAAGATGTGGAGGAGAAAACGCGTGCCCTGATGGCCTTGAAGAAGAGGACAAAAGACAAGCTTTTCCAGTTTCTGAAACTGCGGAAATATTCCATCAAAGTTCACTGAAGAGAAGAGGATGGATAAGGACGTTATCCAAGAATGGACATTCAAAGACCAAGTGAGTTTGTGAGATTCTAACAGATGCAGCATTTTGCTGCTACCTTACAAGCTTCTCTTCTGTCAGGACTCCAGAGGCTGGAAAGGGACCGGGACTGGAAAGGGACCAGGACTGAACAGACTGGTTACAAAGACTCCAAACAATTTCATGCCCTGTGCTGTTACAGAGGAGAACAAAATGCTTTCAGCAAGGATTTGAAAACTCTTCCGTCCCTGCAGGAAAGGATTGATGCTGATAGAAGAGCCTGGACAGATGTAATGAGAACTAAAGAAAACAGATGGCTGGAGATGACATTTATCCAGGGTCACTTTGTCAGGCCCTAGGACTTAAATCGAAGTTGAACTTTTTTTTTTTTTTTTAACCAAATAGATAGGGGAAGGGAGGAGGGAGAGGGAGGACAGGGAGAGAAAATACCATGCATAAATTGTTTACTGAATTTTTATATCTGAGTGTTCAAAATATTTCCAAGCCTGAGTATTGTCTATTGGTATAGATTTTTAGAAATCAATAATTGATTATTTATTTGCACTTATTACAATGCCTGAAAAAGTGCACCACATGGATGTTAAGTAGAAATTCAAGAAAGTAAGATGTCTTCAGCAACTCAGTAAAACCTTACGCCACCTTTTGGTTTGTAAAAGGTTTTTTATACATTTCAAACAGGTTGCACAAAAGTTAAAATAATGGGGTCTTTTATAAATCCAAAGTACTGTGAAAACATTTTACATATTTTTTAAATCTTCTGACTAATGCTAAAACGTAATCTAATTAAATTTCATACAGTTACTGCAGTAAGCATTAGGAAGTGAATATGATATACAAAATAGTTTATAAAGACTCTATAGTTTCTATAATTTATTTTACTGGCAAATGTCATGCAACAATAATAAATTATTGTAAACTTTGTGGCTTTTGGTCTGTGATGCTTGGTCTCAAAGGAAAAAATAAGATGGTAAATGTTGATATTTACAAACTTTTCTAAAGATGTGTCTCTAACAATAAAAGTTAATTTTAGAGTAGTTTTATATTAATTACCAAACTTTTTCAAAACAAATTCTTACGTCAAATATCTGGGAAGTTTCTCTGTCCCAATCTTAAAATATAAAATATAGATATAGAAGTTCATAGATTGACTCCTTGGCATTTCTATTTATGTATCCATTAAGGATGAGTTTTAAAAGGCTTTCTCTTCATACTTTTGAAAAATTTCTTCTATGATTACAGTAGCTATGTACATGTGTACATCTATTTTTCCCAAGCAATATGTTTTGGGTTTAGAGTCTGAGTGATGACCAAGATTCTGTGTGTTACTACTGTTTGTTTAATAGGAACAAATATAGAAATAATATTATCTCTTTGCTTATTTCCCGTTAAAACTATAATAAAATGTTTCTAGGACAGCATACGTAAATGCCTGCTATGCTTTCCTAACAAAAATGAAATTTTTCCACAAGTTAAGCATTTTAGAAACACCTAAAGTGTTTTTCAAAATGCTGATCACAGTAAGTCAAAACAAGTGAATTACCTCACATCTGCTGGGAGGGTTACAAGTCAGGATTATAAATACTATGTTTTTAAAAAGAAAATCAAATGGCAAATTCTATTTTCAAATAGTAATTTACTCGTTCACTGAAGATAATGCAAAGCACTTTATTAAAAATGAGTTCTTTCCAAGAGAGCATTCCGGAAGATAACACATTAATATGCAAAATTGTGTGTGTGTGTGTGTGTGTGTGTGTGTGTGCATTTTTCTAAGAGGAATATTGATAATTTTCACGAGATTTGTAGAGACAGCTATAACTCCAAAAAAAGTTATAAACAGAAAAAGGGTTTGCGGAGTAGCAGGAGAATTGGAGGAAGCCTAACCCAGGCTGGGGACATACTAGACAATTCCATAGAAATTTTCCCTGTTTCATTTTCACTGTGCTGTGTTACGGGAGTATGAAAGAGAAGGCTGTAAAGAGGCCCTCGGCTCCATAACCCTACTTTCCCATCCTTATGAACTGAGCTTTCTTAATGTTCACTGCGTGTGCTAGAAATAACTTCCTTCTCCTGATAGGGCCCATCAGTGAAAATCTTTATTTTCTATTCAAAAATTGAAGCACACTTGGATGCTAAATGTAGTTCAAGAGTTAAGTGTATTATACATACTCATAACTATTTACTCTGCCACTGTTGTTTTCAATAGGGTACAAAGTATATCTTCTCCTCTTTTCACATTAGCATGTATTAAGTTGTTTTCTTGCAGTATATTACGTTATTTTCTGATTTCAAGGCTGTAACATGGGAGACAAATTAAAAAGCAATTTGGATGCACTCCACAATGGTATGGAGAATAATAACACATCCAGTAGATTATCACAAACGTGTCATCTTTACCATTCATGGAGAACAAAAGTTGGAATCAATTTAATTGCATAAGGATGATTTTTAGCTTCATAATACATTCATTACTTAATGTGAGGTGAAAATAAACATCAGTAGAACAGGGAGGATTGGTTCAGTTTAGAAATTTATGGCACAAGGATAAACAAATATATCTCAGGACATCTCACTGTAATTGAAGAAATGAAAGCAGCAAAGATTAAATAGCTCGTTAATCATATTTGTATCATGAGATCACAGTAATAACTTTCACTGAGTGTTTACTCTCAGTCAGACAATTTTCTAAGTGTTTTTTTTGTGTATTACTAATACATCACTTAATTAGTGCCATGACATAAATGCTAAGGGCATGTGCGTGTGTAATATAGTAATAAAACTGAAGCACAGAGAGGTGCAGTAACTTGGTCAATGACACGCAGCTAATAACTCCAGAAATCAAATCCAGGAACTCTGGCCTTCATTCCCAGCCACTAGACTATACCGGTTCTTTAGGAGAAACCAAGCTTCTCTTTTTCTTTTAAGTAACGATACTTCTATGTTAGTCAGTCATGAAGACAGGAAGGCCTGGCCTCTGAAGCATCACTTTTATCTGACCTGGGTATGTTTGTCTATTTATTTGTTACACGTGCTACATGGGGAAAGCGTCTTAGTTTAATAGTTTTAATTGTATCAAGGATGTGCTTAGATACAGGCTTTCAAGCCTGCAGTTAAAATAACACTTGTATTAGCATCCTGGAACACAAGGCCACACGTAAGCTTTGGGTCTTAGTTTGTTCATTGAAGGAACTCAGAAACCATGGATTCAATATTTTATTCACTCAGTTCATCCCCTGGCCCACAGCAAAGGGGGATTTGTCCAGCAGATAGGATTTTCTGAGAAAGGGGTCCAGGGTGTATGGTTGACTATATTTTTCTCATCATCGGAGGGTAACCAGGGTACGCAATTGACATTCCCTTAGAAAGTTTCATCTGCTAGTAAACTAATAATGAAGCCATGGCCTGAGGATTGCATGTTTTTTCAGAGTATTTAGTTGACCTTTCTATACTCCACATGAGGGTTTCTCAGAACAGCCTGTATGGATTCCCAGCAGAACAGATGTGGGGGGCAGGGCAGCATTTGTATCTTACCCATTCAACAAAAATACAGTAAGCACCCATATGTGGGAGCCTCCATGGCCAGAATGGATCCTGGTTCTCCATATCAGAAGAACAGGAAAGGTTTTTAAAAGGGGTATCACACGGTGAGAAGTGTGATGGG
Source organism: Homo sapiens (assembly GCF_000001405.40). Taxonomy (NCBI): domain Eukaryota; kingdom Metazoa; phylum Chordata; class Mammalia; order Primates; family Hominidae; genus Homo; species Homo sapiens. The sequence continues at coordinate 40,157,549 of NC_000008.11, forward strand.
AGTTTAGACAGAATGCTCTGGAAGCATAAGGCAGGAATTATGTGTGTGTGTGTGTGCGCGCACGCGCGTGTGTTTGTGTTTGTGTGTGCGTGTGTGCTTGTGCATGTGTGTGTGTGCTTGTGTGTGTCTGTGTCTGTATGTCTGCGTGTTTGGGGAGTAGCAGGAGAATTGGAGGAGGCCTAATCCAGTTGGAGGAGACCCTAGCAAATTCCACAGAGAATTTTCCCTGTTTTAAAGTAGGAGTTGGGGGAGTAGAGAGAAAAATTTTTATTTCAGCCTATGCCTATAGTATTTGCCAAGACAAGGAGGCAGGAAAGAGTATTTGAAAATCTCCAGGCAGTTCAGTCTGACTAGGGGCCTAAGCATTCCCAGCTAATAATTAGGAAGGCAGCCAGGGCCGGGTGCCGTGGCTCACTCCTGTAAGCCCAACACTTTGGGAGGCCGAGGCAGGCAGATCACTTGCGGTCAAGAGTTCCAGACCAGCCTGGCCAACATGGTGAAACGCTGTCTCTACTAAAAAATACAAAAATTAGCAGGGTGTGGTGGTGCGTGCCCGTAATCCCAGCTACTTGAGAGGCTGAGGCGTGAGAATCACTTGAACCTGGGAGGCGGAGGTTGCAGTGAGCCCAGATCACCCCACTGTACTCCAGCTTGGGCTGCAGAGCGAGACTCCATCTTGAAAAAAAGAAAGGCAGCTGGGTTTTAAATGACAAGTGTAAGTATTAATTTTATATATTCTGGAGGTAATAGAGAAACATTAAAAGTAACATTTACTGTCTAGCTACTGTGTATTGGGTCCTAGGAAAAGATACGGTTAATAGCTTGAAAAATAATCCACCATCTAGCAGTTGAACTTGGTCAGATTCTGCAGAACTCTGTAGCTTCACACTGAATGAAAAGCTATAGAGGACCTTTGCAGTTCAATAACAGTGGGCAGCAATGTGGCAGCTGAAGATAAAACAGAAGTAAAAGATTATGAAGAAAAGCATTGTGAGGCCCGATTGTGGAAACAGCAAACTAATATATTGCCCAATTAAATATTTAAGAAATTGTGACTACACCTGATCCTTATAATGAGTCTTATTATTTAACAAGTATTATAAATAAATGGTTATAAGCTCTTTTTTTTTGTCTTGAAAAACTCTTCTGCAAACAGTTTCCAGATATTTTAAGTGATTATCATGGGTAATGCAAATGTGTTCTATTTCAATGTCTATACACATTGACAGTGGATATGGTTCAGCAAAGTACTGGCAAAACTATGTTACAGAGCTTTGGAAATAAGCATCCTGTGCCAGTAAGATTTAGCAGTGTTGTTGTCGTTGTTGTTGTTTAAATTAAAAGTGGATGAGTAATCAGAAGACTTTTAGTGTAGCTGCTTTCTCCCCTCTGTACTCCTTACACACAAGCATGCACACACACATACACACACATGTGCACACAGACACATGCACACACATGTGCACGCACACAGTACAGACACATAATCCTACTAGAAGCATATCAGCTTTTTTCCCTGAGCTTTTGTTTCCTCATCTGTGGACAATAGCATCGTGTTGAGCAAACAACCCCAGACTGAGCCTGGAATTCTGGGGTTTTTCCCGACCCTGCCTTAGACAAATTCCTTTTTTATCTCTGGGTTTCATCTGTAAGAAAAAAAACAGCTAGACCAGACGGATGATGTCTGTGACCTTTATCAGCTCTTATATTCTACATCAATGGGAAATAGCAACTGTGCCACCTTACGTGATAGGATTTTTTTCTGGACCAGTTGGTATTCCATATATGATAAGAATTTCTCTTAAGTATGATAAAGGCCTAGTTTAAAAGTTTTCATCTTTAGCCAATGGTTGCTGAAGGCACAATGTGAGGAAAATCAGTTTTTGTATGTATATCTCTGCTTTTTAATAGCCTGCCTCCGTTCTGGTTGGTTGGTGCCTGTGCCAGGGCTGGCTGGCTGGCAATATTTTGACTATCTCTTCCATAGCCAAGCAATGACAGAGTCACTGAGACAATCTCCACTGTTGGTGAGAATTGCATTCATATGTAAAGTTTTCAAAATAGAGATTCTTGGTCCCAAACTCTCCAGGCATTGTTTTTAGGACTAGGTATTTGTACAAAGCTCTACAGTCAGCTATAAAGAACATGAGATATATGGAACCATTTCTTATGTTACATTGGCTCTTCTGTTGGTAGCACTTCATAATATAAAGACCAAGAAAGAGGGTTTGATTTCATGGCATTAGTTAGAATTTGTTTTACCATATTAATTCTGTCATTAATTGAAAATGATACTGATAGGGTTTGGCTCAGTGTCCCCTCCCAAATCTCCTCTTGAATTGTAATCCCCACAGGTTGAGGGAGGGACCTGGTGGAAGGTGATTGGATCATGGAGACAGTTTCCCCAATGCTGTTCTTGTGATAGTGAGAGAGTTTTCATGAGAGCTGATGGTTTAAAAGTGGCAGTTTCCCCTGACCTCCCTCTCTCCTGCCACCATGTAAGACGTGCCTTGCTTCCCTTTCACCTTCCGCCATGATTGCAAGTTTCCTGAGGCCCCCCCCAGCCATGTGGAACTGTGAGTCAATTAAACCTCTTTTTTTATAAATTACCTAGTCTCAGGTAGTATCTTTATAATAGCGTAAAAACAGACTAATACAGATACCCTCCAAAAATAAATATATTTTGAAGAGAATAATTACAGTATGTATTTATGTTAATTAATTCATTCTGGGTTTTTTCTTTCTTGAATTTCGGTCTGATATTTATCTACCTTGATACATGTATATTTGACCAAAAAGAAATCTTCTGTTTCTTACCACTACCTATCCTTTAAATTTTTTTGCAATTTGTCTATGTTTATTATTTATGCCCAGGTTTTATCATCTGAAAGATTCCAGAGAAGCCCAGTGATCCTGAAGGGTACTGGCAGCCACAGTATCTGAAATGCTGTGTCTGAGGACCATCTTCCCCTGACATTGCAGAATACCTAGGACAGAGCAACTGTTTCCAGGCCTACTCTTATCACAGTCTCCTTGGGGACTTTTAAAAATCCAGGCCTTTGGACTTAATGATTCAGAGTTTCTGGGGCTGGACACCTGCTAGCTCCGTGCTTCAGTCACTCCCCAGGTGATTTTGCTGCTCAGTCATATTGAGAAGCACTGACCTAGATTAAAATCACAAACTGTGCATGGTGTGAGGACACGGCTCATTTCAGTTCATCCATGTATCCCCAGGCATATTGCAGGCCTCAATACCTTTCGGACCGAACAACTGCAGCAAAATGTGACTAGGACTTTATTGTGGAATACTTTATTCCTACTATCTCTAATTCAAATAATACCATCATTTTGATTTTGCTCTAAATTTTATTTGTTTTAAGAAATCCTACCAACTCACAATGATCACATCATTATCTAACTCCCATCAGGCTCCCATAAAGCATACAGTTGCAGCAATGAAAACACATTTTTCCAAAGAATGTAAGGGCTGTCTCCCCCTAAATATATTTACCACTTGCCTGCTATTATGGAGATTCATTTCTTAGTCCAGAGAAGTTTGTCTTTTCAAAAGTAAGAATTAGGCTGGGCGTGATGACTCACGCCTGTAATCCCAGCGCTTTGGGAGGCCGAGGCAGGAGGATCTCTTGAGCTCACGAGTTCAAGACCAGCAAGGGCAACATGACAAAACCCTGCCTACAAAAAAATACAAACATGGTGAGGCTGAGGTGGGAGGATTCCTCGAGCCTAGGCAGTCGAGGCTGCAGTGAGCTGTGATTGCACCGCTGCACTCCAGCCTGGGCAACAGAGTGAGACCCTGTCAAAAAAAAAAAAAAGAATGAGTAGCACTTATCACTAGCAGTCACTTCTATAAACTAGAATATTAGCATTTAACAAAGCACTTCCTTCCTAACAGCAAATATCTTCCACTGAGATCGTGTGGTTTTAATCATACAAGGAGAGTGGCAGAAGAACAGAAAGATTGAAACCAAGGACAGAGAACACCTGAAATTGGTAAGGAAGAAAACAACCAAAGGTAGTATTTCACTAAGAAAAACATCTTAATTTTTCCTAGCCCTGGTCTTGGCTGTTACATAGTGGGATAGCTCGATGTGCATACAGCGTGGTTGGCAGTAGAAAGATCAATAGAGGAGTTTATAGGGTTTACGAAGACCTGGATTCTAATCCTGCCTCAGCTATTTATGAGGTATGTGTAAATTTTTAGTAAATTACTTAATGTCTCATAACCTCACTTTAACATTTATAAAATAGGGACAATAATACCTTCTGTATTAGTTTACTAAGGCTTCTGTAACAAGGTACCGCCAACTGGGTGGCTTAAACAACAGAAACTTACCTCTTCACAGTTCTGGAGGGGGAAAGTCTGAGATCAAGCTGTCAACTGGGTTGGTTTCTTCTTGGCCATCTTCTCCCTGTGTCTTACATGGTCTTCCCTCTGTGTGTGTCCATATCCTAATCTCCTCTTCTTATAAGGACATTAGTTATATTGAATTAGGGCCCACTTTAAATACTTTAGTCTAACTTACCAACCTCTTTCAAGGCCCTGTCTCTAAATGCAGTTGCATTCTGAAGTACTGGGGATTAAGACCGCAACACGTAAATTTTGGTTGGGGAAACAGAGTTCAGCTCATAACATCTTTGTATTTCTTTCTCTTGCTTGTTGTAAGCATAACATAAGGCAACATATGTGAAAACACCCACAAGTTAAGTATGATATCTGTGAAGGTAAGGTCCTTGGGGACCAGGACAACACTTTGCTCATGGTTGAATTCTACAAAGCTTCTTGCACAGGCTCTGGCGTGGGGTGGGTTCCTCATAAGTGTTTTCTGAACATGAACACACAAATATCCCTTAAAAATGAGGTATTTGTTTATTAACCTCTGAAGTCAACATCTGTACCCTTTTTGTCTCTTAAGCATCTCCAAGGAGGGCTAAGTCAACAGTGTTCCATTAGCATTAAATAGCTGAACCTGGGGATGAACCACAGTTCATGCTGAAAGAGCCATGTCGAAATGGCATTGTGCAATGGTGCATTTCTGCCACTAAAAACTTTGTTTGCTTTTCATTATACAGGAATGGCTTCAAATGTTCAGTGGAAGTGAACAAGTTCTTGTATTGTTTTCTCCTATTCTCCTTCCAGCTTCAGGGTCATATGTCACAGCGCTGGGCATTTCATTTGGGTGAGTGAAAGGAGGGAAGGGAGCAACGCTGGGAAGGTTTAAAATCTCCAAGTGATATACGAGGAAAAAGGCTGTGCTCATCACAAAAGTAATTCTATCTATCTTACCTTATATAGTAAGAATTTCAGCATGAATAGAATGAGTTTAGAGGGCTTCATAATCTGTGCTCAAGAAGTGTGGGAATCTTGGTGGAATAGAGCCCTGCACGATGTTGTTGGAGATCAAATGCCATTGGCTACTATCTAATTTCAATTTGAGAAGAAAATTACTAAATGTATATCATATCAACTCTGAAGACCCTATTACTTTGACACAGAAAAATAACTTCATAAAATCAATTGACTAAAATAAATTAGCCAAGCAAGGGTGGGATACCTTGTGGCCAA